>NW_025791756.1:943611-1258148 GCF_000001405.40 Homo sapiens
CTGCCTCTGCCTCCCCAGTAGCTGGGACTACAGGCACCCGCCACCACGCCCGGCTACTTTTTGTATTTTTAGTAGAGACGAGGTTTTACCGTGGTCTTCATCTGACCTCGTGATCCGCCCGCCTCGGTCTCCCAAAGTGTTGGGATTACAGGCGTGAGCCATCGCGCCCGGCCAGTTGTCTCTTTCTTTTGCCTACTGCCACACACGTACCACCAAATCCTGCACTCCAAGCTGCTTCTACACCCTGGACTCCCAACCTCCAGTTAGACAATCCACATCTTCCCACACGTGCCTCAGGCTCCATCAGGCTACTGTGCCTCCTGCAGCAACCAGGCCAGGGGGAATCTGGATTCCTATTACACTTCTGAGGAAGGTGGTCAGGGAGTGTGGAGGATGTGGGTGGGAGGGGGTGAGGTTGAGGGCAGGAGTACACTGTGGTCTTCTGTCTTCTACCTCATTGGCCCAGGTGCTGCTCTCCCTCCGGTTGTCTGCTTTCAGCCCTGCCTGGGAAATCAGGCCGGCGCCCTGATCTTCCTGACTCTCATTTTGTGAGGAACCTGAACGGATGAGCCATCGCTCTTGTCCCACACGTTCTGTCCAAAAGGTGCCCTCCTCTCTGCTTGCTCGGGGGCCTGCCCTCTGAGCTCTGGCACTCAGGCTGGGATGCCGCCCAGTACAGAGGCTCTGCAGCCCTGCAGGGGTCTGACTGTTCCACACCAGCAGGATAAAGGCCACAGGGCATGCTGTGGTGGAAAAGCATTCAGAGGTGTGGGCTGAAGGCCTCTCTTTCCACAGTCCCTTTGAAGACACCATGGAAGTAGGCACCCCCTTGACAGACAAGGTGGCCTAAGGCCTGGCTTCACATGCAGGCTCTTGGGTCCCAGCGGGTCCTCTCTGTGCCTGGTATAGCCAACTGCTTCACGCATCTTACCCGGTTTCCTCTCCTCCACAACCCAAGCTCCTCCTCGACCCCCTTGCTCAGCTGTCCTCAGGACAGCAAGATCCCCAGCCCTTGGAAAAGCCCATCTCTAGTGCTTGGGGAGGGAGCTGGGTTCAGGTGGTCTAACCACAGAAGAACAGAGAACCTGAGGCAGGAGGAAATCCCTTCCCTTGCTGGGTCTCTTGGCACAGCCCATCCAGGGGTCTGGGTCAGGGTCCAGGTATACTCTACCCTCCTTGAGGACCTGGGTTTTCAGGCCCCCGAGGTTGGTCAATGTGGAATCTTTCCCACTGTTCATCTGGGAACTGAAGGAATATCCCATGGGGCCCTCTCTTACTCATTAGAGACACCCAGAAAATACTCCATCCAGCAGAAACTGGGTGCAGTGTACCAGACCACTATAATTATAATTGCAGGGTGTGGAGGTCAGATACGTTTTGTGGGTATTTTCTCTCTGTCTGTGGCTTGCTTGCCTTTTCGCTTTCTTAGTGGTATCTTTTGATGAGAAGGTGTGGCTAATGTTGATGAAGTCTCATTTATCATGTCTTTCTTATATATGTATTTTTTCTGTGTCCTGCTTGTTGGTAGGCTAATCTTTGCCTGCCAACAAGTCACAAAGTATCCTTGAAATGCTTTATATCTTTAACTTTTAAGTAATGCGGCTGAAATTACTTTTGTGTGTAGTGTGAGGGAGAATAACATTGTTGGTCTCCCCACATCCATATAGAAGTTCATTAATTGAAATGACTTATTTTCTTTTATTGAACTGCTTTTATTGAAAACCCATTTATTGACCGTATAGCTGTGGATCAATTTCAGGTCTTCTAACTCAGGCTGTTTATCCGTTTGTCACTCCTGATGCCTTGTGTCTAATAGCTTATAGTAAACCTTAAAGTCAGATAGTACAAGTCCTTGTTCTTTTCCACACATTGCAATAAATTTTGAAATAGATAATAACTCATGAAACCATCACACACATCAGGATATGCTGTCACTTCATCCCTTTCTGATATAGTTTGGCCGTGCCCTCACCCAAATCTCAACTTCAATTGTATCTCCCAGAATTCCCATGTGTTGTGGGAGGGACTTAGCAGGAGGTAATTGAATCATGGGGGCGGGTCTTTCCTGTGCTATTCTCCTGATAGCGAGTAAGTCTCACTAACTGATGGGTTTCTCAGGGGTTTCTGCTTTGGCTTCTTCCTCATTTTCTCTTGCTGCTGCCTTGTAAGAAGTGCCTTTTGCCTCCCGCCATGATTCTGAGGCCTCCCCAGTCACATGGAAATGGAAGTCCAATTAAACCTCTTTTTGGTCCTGGACTCTGTTATGTATTTGTCAGCAGCATGAAAACGGACTAATACACTCTCATTTCTGAGTGGGACACATGCTGTCACTCACATATGCTGGTTGCTGACTTGTGACGGAAGATTCTCTATTGTACCCTCTGGGGACAATACATCTCCAGTTGCCTGCGGGGAGGATGAACATGCAAAAAATCCACAACACTCAGCACAGAGTCTGGATTTAGTCCCATTAGTCTGAATGGGACTAATGCCCTTATAAAAGGGACCCTGGGGAGCTCTCTCGCCCTCTTTCTGCCCCCTGAGGATACAATGAGAAGGTGGCAGTCTACAACCAGACCAAAGGTCCTCACCATAACCCTACCACGTCGGCACCTTGATCTCGGACTTCCAACCTCCAGAACTGTGAGAAATCAATTTCTGTTGTGAATCAGCCACCCAGTTTATGGTACATTGTTATAGAAGCCCGAACTAAGACAGAGATGAAGTCCCGTGCAGGGTCTCTAATTTGCTAAGCTGGTCATCAGGCGGGATATTGCCAGTCAGAAACAGGAAGAGCTGACATTTTGTGTATATGAAAGAAGATAGTGGACAGGCCCATTGTGTCAGCTTTGTCCGCCTTGGCAAACTGGAGACGGAAACTCGATTCACCATCGCCAGCCACGGGAGGACTGGGAGGACCTCCAGAGGAGGTTAGGTCGACTTCATGGTAACTTTAGATCCGGAAACCTCCCAGGATATTTCTTGTCTTCCCTTTGATCTCTCTTCCACCTACCCAACAGGACAGGACTCGCCGCCTTTCTTTCCCGGCAGAAAGGGGTCCGTTGCGGACAAGACCAAAGTGAGCAGCTGGTTTCCCCTACGTGTCCTTCCGGGCCTGGGCGTCTCGGGAACTCAGGCTGACCCGACACCTAACTCCCGGCGAGTGGGACCAGCAGGAGCCTGGAAGAGCGCGCGCACCGAGGTGGAAGTTGGGCACCGGGGGTCGAGAACCGCGGTCAAACCCTCTTCTTCCAGGGGCACCGCGCACCTGCCCCCGGGGATGCCGAAGGAAGTGACCCATAAAGCTTCTCTGCAACCGAAAGAGGCCTGAAGCTCCAGGAGGGCCGAGAGGAGCCTCGTTGAGCGAACCCAGCCCTCTGCCTGGCTGGCCCTGGTCAACAGGCTCGGAAGAGGCCGATTTGGAGGACAGAACGGAAGAAAAGACCTAAAGGTTTCGAATCTCATGACGCAGAGATGCTAAAAATCTCCAATCCTAAGGTCCGACTGTGCGGGGGAGCGAGGGGGTCTCAAGCTGGATTGACCCCGAGCCTTCATCTGGAGAGTCCTCTGCACAAGCTCAGACAGCAGGACAACGCGCATCAGTGGTTCTCAAGAGGGGGCAACTTCGCCCTTACACGCCTCTCCCATCCCCGCTGGGACACTAGGTCACGAATGGGGGAAGCGGGGAGGGAGAATGCTAACCCCCTGGCATGTATCTAGTCAGCGGAGGCGACGGCTGCTGCTAAACACCTTACAATCCACGGGAGGGCCCCTCCCCTACCCCGAAGTAGCCATTCCGCAGAGGTGGAGAGACTCGCGTGTAGCTCAATGCCCACGCACTTAGCCGATGGGAAATCACGAATTGATGACCAGTTGGCTCTTGGATCTGAGGAAAAATCTCCAGCGTCAGAGGGAACTCTCGAAGTTTTGCCCGGAGCAAACGGAAGGGTGGCGTTGCCATCGCCTAAGATGGGAAAATGGCAGGTGTCACAGGTTGCAGGGGAAGGTCGGAGACCAGCTGAGGGCCCCGGAGCCTTCCTGGAAAGAGTTTCCCATCCAGCCCGTCTCGGTTTCCGCATCCGTCTGATTCCTTATGACGTTGAGGGTGCTGGCGTCTGGGTCCTTTATGATGCAGAGGGTGCCCCCGTCTCACCCCGGGCGCCTCCGCGCTCTCGCCTCCTCCTGGCAACCTGGTGCGCGACTCCGGACCTGGCGACCCACGACCGGCTGGTCACTTGCTGCCACCTCGCAAAGGCGCATCTCTAGTCCAGTGGTGAGCTGCGGCCGGGTCGCTGCAACTCGCTCCAGGCCTCCGGACTCGTGGCCTCGGTGTCTCTCGCGGAGCCCTCGGTGTGTCGCTTGCAGGCTCTTTTTTTGAAGAAAGCAGGGAGGGAATGGCCTTGTGAGAGACTCCAGGAGCAAAGAGCGACCCTCACAAGGCCCAAGTCCTCCCAGAGCTCAGGGAAGCTGTCGCTTCTGACAGAAGAAGGGAGACAAAGCTCCCTCCTGCGAGTCCCTGGTGGTCTAGTGGCTAGGATTCGGCGCTTTCACCGCCGCGGCCCGGGTTCGATTCCCGGTCAGGGAATTGTTTTACACTGGCCGCCCTCCCGCAGGAATCTTCCTTCACTACGCTGTCAGCCGGCCTGCTCCAAGGGCCAGAAGCAGAACAGTCTCCGCAGCGGGGTTAAAGCCGGACGAAGGAGGGCAAGTGCTGGTGGACCACCTCTCACGACACACCGTTCCTGTTTATCTCCGTGTCCGTCATCCGCGGGAGCAGCTTTAGAGAGCGACTGAGCGTCTCGCTCAGGTGTACACAGCCCGGCAGAGATGCCAGCCCCCGTGGAGCTGCACCCAATAAGCCCACCTTCTTTCCTGTCGCCACCCCGGAGACGCCCATCGGGCTGAGCTGCGAATAACTAAGAGAGAGGCCAAGCCAAGTCGTGGCGTTTGTGGCAGCCCCTGACACGGGCACCAGCCAGTCAGCGGAGCCTCCTCACCTCCGTTGCCAGCGAAGGCGCTCGTTAGGCCTTGGGAAGAGGCGACCGGAGGCCATGCCCGCGAATTTGTTAGGGGGGTAAGCGGCGGGTGAGGTCCTCGAGGGCCGTCCCATTTGCTGTTTGAGCGGTAGAGGGAGGCGATGTTCGCTGACCCAACAAGGACAGCAGGTGGAGTAGGCACAGATGGAAAACTGCTGCCGGTGCCCTAAGCAGAAGGCAGGTGGAAAAATCAGCACTAGGACGTCGAAGCGATGGTACCACAGTCAAATCCCACGACGTCTACACTCTACCAAGCACTTGCGCACGCTCCCCCTTTTCCATTCAGTACTCCCAAGAGGGGTTCGGAAGAACCCCGAGTCCACTGTAAGCTCGGGAGAGCGGGAGCCAGGGAGGTGAAGTGCGCAGACTCGGCAGCGGCGGCGGGCAGAACCGCGGCGGGGTGAGAGGGCGCGGTGGCTGCGGGGCGGGAGCCGCTGCTGAGAGGCGGCCTGGGTTGTCTTGTGGGGTGACTGTCGGTGGAATCTTTGGTGGAGAGTGGTTTGGAAGACTGGCGAGGGGCGGCACTGGGGAGGGTGGTGACCCTGAGTGACCGGCCAGGGCGAGGAGGCTGTGCTGTCCCTGCAGGCCATGTGCTCATTTCCACTTTACCTGGCAGGGGAGAGACAGTGGTCACGAAGGGGGTTCTCCCAGAGTGAAGCTTCTTCATCGCACTCTAAAGTTGCTGATTCCTGTGATTTCCTCCATGTGGGAAACGGTGTTTGTGCTAGAAGAGGCTGCGCTCTTTACCTGACATAAGGGGGTTCAAGACTGACATCGCCTCACGCCCACCCGAAAACGTTTACATGGCTTGTCTCTTTTTTTTTCTGTCCTAAAGTCGCCTCATCTTCACATCCCCTCATTTTTTCTTCCACACTCGAGAGTGTCTCTCTCTCTCATTAAAAGCTCCACCAAATATTTGAAATATCTCAACCAGAAAGACTGCAATAAATACATTATTTCATTCGTGGAAGCTACAGACCAGCTAGGTTGAGAGTTGCTTGATATTTTCTGCTAAACGGTGAGGCATAGAGCACTTGGAAGGTTTCTCTTTGGGCCACTGTTTGTGTACTCTTGGGTTTCCTTCTTTTCCCCAGACAGTATGGCGCTGTGGGGCCAGCGGTAAACCCTGCTTTCCGGCTTTCTGGCTGCAGATAAAGGCCGCAGCTGCTGCAGGAATCAAAAGCAAACCAAAAGACACGTGGGTTCGCCCCAGTGGGTCCAAGATAGAGTCTGACTGTACCAGGATTTGGATTAGAACAGAGGTTGCTGCAGGCACAATGCAGACTACTAACCACTAGAGAATCCCAAGGCGCCCCACACCTACTGCCCATCGTTTTGCTTCCCCACCCCTCTATTATTTATTTAAATATATATTTTGAGAGACAGAATTTCGCATTGTCGCCCAGGCTGGAGGGCAGTGGCACGATCTCGGCTCACTGCTACCTCCGCCTCTTAGGTTCAAGCGATTCTCCTGTCTCAGCCTCCTGAGTAGCTGAGACTACAAGCGTGCGCCACCACGCCCAGCTAATTTTTGTATTTGTAGTAGAGTTGGTCCCGCTGGTCTCGAACTCCTGACTTCAAGTGAGTGATCCAGCCACCTCGGCCTCCCAAAGTGCTGGGATTACAGGCGTGAGCCACTGCCCCTGGTCCCCCGATTTTATTTTTATTACTGTAAAAACATTATGCGATTTTTACTTCTTTATTCTTGGGCAGCTACAGGTTCTTGTGATTTTCTCTCACATCTTCTCCCCATTTCCCCCTCTCCATTCTGATACATGTCCCATCTTCTCTGCATCCAGCCGGTGCCCTCTGCACGGGCATCCTGGGCTGTCCCATTGTCTAGTCCTGGTCTCCTCTGCTTCTCCCTCCTCCTTTTCACGTTTTCCCTTTTGACTCCCCTGCCTCTTTCCCGCTCCCGCCCCACCGACCCCATCTACTGAAGCCGAGTTGAGTGAAGGGAGAGCAAGCGGAGCAGATGACTGCCTGAAGGCGGCGCAAAAAAACAGAAAGAGCTACCGTGAGAGCCGTCGGGGAGTTCAGCTTCCCTTGGGCCCCACTTGGCTCAGGCTGGGGTCGCAGATCCAGGCATTTCCAGAGGCACTGGCTTCTGAAGCAGGCGAGGGTGAACGCAGGGTGAAGGCCATTCGGCCGCCCTCCTGGCTTCAGAGTCACGCAATGCACGCGTTTCTAACGTGCAGCAAGACGATTAGTCGACTCAGCCTCTCCGGTTTTCCGAAGCTTTGTAGTCTGCACAGTTGTCCCGCAGAAAGCGAATGGCAACCCCTAGGGTTTTGTGATTGCTTAATGTATATAGAGATGAAAACAGACAATCGACGTTGTCTCTGTGGCGCAGTCGGTTAGCGCGTTCGGCTGTTAACCGGAAGGTTGGTGGTTCGAGACCACCCAAGGACGTGATTTTAAATGTTGGTGGTTGTGGCCGGGTGCAGTGCCTCACGCCTATTAATCCCAACACTTTGATAGGCCGACGTAGGGGAAGCCTCCACTGAGCTCAGAAGTTCAAGACCAGTGAGAATCGCATCTCATTTAAAAAAAAAAAAAATTGCAGCTGTATCTATCTCCTCAGACCTATCACTGTATTTAAAAGTGAAAGACTGTTCCCTTGTGTCTTGTGCATCCCATGAGGACAGACAGCAGAAGGTCCCCCTTCGAGCCTCCTAGAAAATAAGATCTCTGCAGCACAAACTAGCTTGTATGTATGGGAAACAAAGTATTTGAAGACACAAACTTCAAAAATTCTGCCTTGCTTTCCACAAAAATTAACCCATCACAGTCTGCCTTCAAGTGGCATCATACCTCTTCACATGACTCCTCTCCCTGCCTTTATGCTAGTGTCATGCATTTTACTTTACACCTGTTATAAACCTTACAATCCATCTCTATTACTTTTGTTTCAAGAGTCAGATGTGTTTTTCTTTGTTTGTTTTTGGTTTTTTTTGTTGTTGTTGGTGGTGTTTTTAAGACGAGTCTTACTCTATCGGACAGGCTGGAGTGCAGTGGCACAGTCTTGGCTTACCGCAACCTCTGCTTTCCGGATTCCAGTCATTCTTCTGACTCAGACTCCTGAGTAGCAGAGATTACAGGCTTGGGCCACCACATCTGACTAATTTTTGAATTTTTCATAGAGAGGAAGGTTCACCATATTGGCCAGGCTGGTCTCGAACTCCTGACCTCAAGTGATCCGCCTTCCTCGGCCTCCCAAAGTGCCGGATTCCAGGCGTGAGCCATCGTGCCCGGCTAAACAGTCAGATGTTAAAATTACATATTTGCCTTTGTAGATGTCATTTCTAGTGTCTTTTTTTTTTCATCCAGATTTTCATCCCGTGTCACTTTCCTTCTGCCTGGAGGACTCCTTTAACTTGTCTATTAGGTGTCTTAAACTTGCACTATCATTCACTGATGCTCTGTTCATTAAAGAAAAAAAAAATTGTTGGCTGGGTGCGGTGGCTCACGTCTGTAATCCCAGCAATTTGGGAGGCCGAGGCGGGTGGATCAGGAGGTCAGGAGATCCAGACCATCCTGGCTAACACAGTGAAACCCCGTCTCTACTAAGAATACAAAAAATTAGCTGGCTGTGGTGGTGGGTGCCTCAAGTCCCAGCTACTCAGGAGGCTGAGGTGGGAGCATGGTGTGAACCCAGGAGTCGGAGCTTGGAACCTGTCAAAAGGCATTCTTAGCCTTAAAAGAAAAGCCAGGGACATCCCTTGCCTCAGGACTCTCAGACTTAGAAAAACCTTTCACCCTCTATGTGGATGAATAACAAGGGACAGCTTTGGATTTTCTAACTCAAAGACTGAGGAATTACTTTGGACCAGTGGCTTATTTCTCTAAACAGCTAGACCAGGTGGCAGCTGGGTGACCAGGAAGCTTGAGATCTGTGGCTACCATCACTCTATTGTTAGAAGAAACCACTAAGTTTACCTTGGGACAACAATTAGATGCCATACCACCCCACCCCCACCCCCTGCCACCCCATGAAGTACAGTACAGAGGTTCCTAGAGGCAAAAGTACAGCAATGGCTAACAGAGGGCCAGTTACTTAAATATCAGACCCTTCTGCTTGACACCCGAGATGTTACCCTGAAAATATGCTGATTTTTAAACCCTGCTACTCTGTTGCTGCACCTCACGTCTCAAGAAAGAGCTCCCCAATTCATTGACTCCTGTGTGGAAACCACGGAAGAGCTCTACTCTAGAAGGCCCAACCTTGAAGACAAGCTCTTGTCTAACCCAAATGTTGAGTGCTTTAGAGATGGAAATAGCTATATTCATGAGGGAGTAAGAAAGGAAGCTTAGCCAACAAGAAATCATTGAGGCCAAGGGTTTACCTTCTCAGACTTCTGCTCAAAAAGCAGAATTAGCTGCTCTAATTAGGGCCTTCCAACCATGAAAAGACTTAAGCTGGGCACGGTGGCTCACCCCTGTAATCCCAGCACTTTGGGAGGCCAAGGTGGGTGGATCACCTGAGGTTGGGAGTTCGAGACCGGCCTAGCCAACATGGCGAAACCCCGTCTCTACTAAAAATACAAAAATTAGCTGGGTGTGGTGGGGGGCTCCTGTAATCCCAGCTACTTGGGAGGCTGGGACATGAGAATCCCCGAGTTTGCAGTGAGCTGAGATCATGCCACTGCACTCCAGCCTGGGCGACACAGCAAGACTCTGTTTCAAAAAAAGAAGAAGAAAACCAAAACCCTCAAGAGTCAATGTGTTGACTGACTCTAAATGTGGGTTCCTGGTGCTCTATGCTCATGCAGCCATAGGGAAGGAAAGGGAACTATCAAAAGCCAAGGGATGCCCCATACAACTTTACTCAGATCTTGGAACTTTTAGATGCTGTCCAACTCCCAAAGAAATAACAATTACTCACTGCAGGGGACACCAGAAGGGAGACACTTTTATTATTAGAGGAAATTCCCTGGTGGAAAGAGCAGCTAAGGCCACAACTAAGGAAACCCTGGTATTTCAAGCTGCTGCGCTACTACCAGGTACTCCATCCGTGTCAGTGACACCATACTATACCCCTAAGGAAATTAAAGGGACTGAGTAAAAGGCTTCCAGGGAGACCCTCTGGATGGTTGGTAGAAAAGAACAAACTCTATTCCTGAGGCTGACAGATGGGAAATAATTAAACATTTTCATGATTCCTCACATTTGGGACGGGATTTTCCATTCAAATTAGTTTCCTAAATATTCTTCGGGAAGGGACTGTTCTAAACTATAAAAAGGGTTACCACTCAGGAAGCCACCCCATACCCCGATCCCTGCTTAAACCTGTACAACACCAAGGAACATACCATGGTGAAGACTGGCAGACAGACTTAACCCAGATGCCACCTTACAGGGAACTACAAGATTTGCTAGTATTTATAGGCACTTTCAACAGGTGGATAGAAGCTTTCCCCACAAGGACAGGAAAAGTACTGGAAGTGTCTAAATTCTTAAAGAAATCATTCCAAGATTTGGATTACCAAAAGGTTTGCAAGGTGACAACTGACCTCACTTCACAGCTAAGGTGACCCAGTGAGGTCATGCCTCAGCCTTAGGCATTACCTATCTTCATTCCTCATGGAGATCTCAGTCTTCCAATAACATAGAAAGCCAATCACGACATTAGCAAAAGTCTTTCAGTTTGGGGGCTTGCCTGCCCTGCGTCACTATCATTGTTTCCTTGGGTTTCCCAGGAATGTACATGTGTGAGACTGCCGCCCTGCTTATAGATCTGTTTCCCTGCAAGGAAACAGGAATATGTTGCCTGTGGCTTCCAGAGTTGGAGATACATGTAGTTGCACCACTGAGGGCTAACATTTAATTTTGGAATCAAGTGATGCATTCAGACTGGTTGCTATCATTCTGTGGTATATATTTAGTGAACACATTCATGATTGAGTTTCCTGCTTTTAGCTGGAGCAAGAAAGTTTTATAATTGTGATTTGTATGAAAAAATCATAGGCAAGGGAATGGATGCAAAATAAACTTTATTGTCAGAGGTTTCTAAAGGCTCATCCTTCAAGGAAAATGGACATATGCTGAAGAGCTGATAAACTGTCTACAGCAGTGTTATTCTAACCTAATCTTGATTCCAAGTTCTTGCCATTTTCCTCCAGCTGCTGTTGACTCCAGTTATATATAGGATGGGGGAAAGGGGATTATCTATGAATGTAGGCATCACTTTCTCTTGGGCAGTTATCACATTGGCAGACTGAAGGGATGTGATTTCTACAATCAAACTATCCATTTGGAGTACAAATCTGGAGTGGCTGTAAAATTCGGTTCTCAGAGATGAACTTGCAGATTCGGACTTTCAATTGTTCTGTTGTTTTAGTTTTTCTTATCAACTGGGGAACTGTTTGTGACTAAGCTTTGTTAAAAGTAGAGAAGAGCTTTTCATAGTTCCAACATTAGTTGTTACCTGAAACAAACAAAAACACACACAGAGACAATTAAACAGTAATCTTTGGTGAGGTCTTGCTGATACCTGAGGCTGGAGTGAGAGCTGAGTGGTGATACAGCTCATGTGAGTGGTCCAGATTGCGCACTCCTTATGAGACTGTAACTGATGCCTGATGACCTGAGGTGGAACAGTTTCATCTGGAAAACATCCACCACCCCCTTCCATGGAAAAATTGTCTTCCATGAAACCAGTCCCTGGTGACAAAAAGGTTGAGGACAGCCAAAAAGGCTGCTTTAAATGATAACCTTCCCCAAAACTAAATTACCCCTGTAAAATGAATGAAAGGCTACCAAGTTAGAAGGATGAAAGGGGCCTGATTTCTACTAAGATGTATGCCTCGTTAAATAATTACCAGTCATTATTCCAGAAGTCACAAGATTGGCAGCTTCCCCAATTACTGCTGTGAAGAACATCACTATTGTAGAACCTAAGATTGGCCTCTTGAGATGTCTTTTCAGGCTTTTGCATTTCTGACTGCTGGAAGGCACCATCTGGCCCGAAAATCAACCAGTCCCTTAGCCCCCACCCAGAAGCTGACTCCATGCAGGAGGACCATTTTCCACGCCCCTGTGATTTCATCCCCAACAATCAGCACCACGCAAGCCCTAGCCCCCTCCCCACCAAACTATCTTTGAAAAACCCCTTACCTCCAAGCCTTCAGTGAGATTGCTTTGAGTAATAACTCTGTCTCCCACGTGTCGTGGCTGGCCTGTGTCAATGAAACTCTTGCCTGCAGTGCCATGGTCTCCATGAATTGAATTTTTGTGTACATTGGTCAGGAAGAACCCATCAGGCGGTTACATCTGCAGGATGGTGCCAGTTCTTTCCACAAAGGCTGGTCAGATACCCAGAAAGCATTTCTCCACTACTACCTGGACAATGTGTCTCCCTGTCAATCTCCAGGGAATGGGGCCTGGATCAAGTATTTAGTATTCAGCAGTTACTACACTGTCACCTAATCCCTCATTTTCAAAATTTTGCCATGCTTCCAGTGGCCTAACTGGCCACCATGCCACAGAATCTTTACTTTATGATCTCCAAGGAGAACTCTCCACTCGATGTTTTGTGATTTGAGCAATGGAATAGAATCTGATACTGGTGGGCTGGGGGAGGTCCCTGGACACTGGTGGGATCTCGACCCCAGCTGTGGTGTCCAGGCTGTTGACACCATCGCGAGAACAAAGTCAAAGATGAGTCAGCAGATAGTGAAAGAAGAGATTTATTGCAAAGCAAAAAGTACACACTCAAGAAAGGGGAGCTTGGGCATACCCAAGAGAGAATAATGGGTTCTGGGGTTTCATCTTGATGGGTTTCTTTAACCAAGGAGTGGAATGTTCACGAAAATTCCTGGGTAAAGGTGGAGATTTCTTGGAACTGTGGTGCCATTTTTACATCAAACACTGGTCTCAGAACTGTCATGGCACTGGCGGGTGTGTGATTTAGTATGTTAATGAGCATATAATGAGGGCCTAGGTAAAACCTCCATCCAATCCAGCACCACGTTGGGTCCACTCAGCCTTAGCCAGCTTGGTCCACACCCTGGTTTTTCAGCGTCTTAACAGCCCACAGCCTCAAGTCATGTAAATCTGCTGCCTAGAATTTGTTATCCTGTGACCACCCTGTAGTATTCCTGTCTGAAATCTACTTGTAAATATTCAAATGGTCTTTCACTTGGGCATTCCAACTTTGCTTACTTCACAGTGTTTCCTGCGTAATATATAAGAAAAGATGATCCAGACATTTGTTAAACATCTCAAATAAGATGTAGCCCAGGTATTTGTGTCAAATTTGGATTATTTTGGTTTCGTCTTTGCAGAATATAAAAAACTAACTTGAGGTAAGCACTAAGGTGTGGAGATGGCTGTGCAAGAGATGACAAACTCCAGCACCACGCTTGAGAGTGTCCAATCATCTCTTCTGGGACAGCATATTTTTCTACAATATGGATTTTTGAAAAAAAACAACATCAAAAAAAAAAACCTACAAGATTCATGAAACTGGACAACTGTCTTTATAACATTACCAGTGATAAAATCAGTAAGGAAGGCTGGTTTGCAGTCATCTGAGCAGCCTCTTTACTTTCATAAATATGGTTTCTCTCTGATATTAAACGGCTTCCAATTGCAAGCGGAATGCTGCATCACAAGGATAAGGATGTGAAGAGAACCGGTTTCTTTTGTAATCCGAAACATTCTAGTCTGCGAATTAAAAGCCATTATTTGAAGAAGGATGCCCCGGCTCCATCTGGCCACCGAAAGGTTGCTCCTTAACACAGGCTAAGGACCAGCTTCTTTGGGAGAGAACAGACGCAGGGGCGGGAGGGAAAAAGGGAGAGGCAGACGTCACTTCCCCTTGGCGGCTCTGGCAGCAGATTGGTCGGTTGAGTGGCAGAAAGGCAGACGGGGACTGGGCAAGGCACTGTCGGTGACATCACGGACAGGGCGACTTCTATGTAGATGAGGCAGCGCAGAGGCTGCTGCTTCGCCACTTGCTGCTTCACCACGAAGGAGTTCCCGTGCCCTGGGAGCGGGTTCAGGACCGCTGATCGGAAGTGAGAATCCCAGCTGTGTGTCAGGGCTGGAAAGGGCTCGGGAGTGCGCGGGGCAAGTGACCGTGTGTGTAAAGAGTGAGGCGTATGAGGCTGTGTCGGGGCAGATCCCGAAGATCTCATACTTACCTGGCAGGGGAGATACCATGATCACGAAGGTGGTTTTCCCAGGGCGAGGCTTATCCATTGCACTCCGGATGTGCTGACCCCTGCGATTTCCCCAAATGTGGGAAACTCGACTGCATAATTTGTGGTAGTGGGGGACTGCGTTCGCGCTTTCCCCTGACTTTCTGGAGTTTCAAAAACAGACTGTACGCTAAGGGTCATATCTTTTCTTGTATTGGTTTGTGTCTTGGTTGGCGTCTTAGGTGTTAATCCTACAGTAGACGGTTGGGGAATAGGAAGTAACATGTGGCCTGCACGCCATAGGAGAAAAAGCGAGCATCAGCCGTATCGGCTTTGTAACACAAATTAGCTATCGTGAAGTCCGCTCAGCTCTTCCCTTTCTACCCTGGCTGCTTTTTGCAGGGATTGGTCCGTGGTCTCCAGTCTCTTGGGTTCTCACCCTGTGTGAAAATCTTCGTGTTTTTCCCTACCCCCCAAGTCACCTCTTACACAGCCTCTGCTTCCAAGCGCAGCCCCCACAGGAGTTTGTAGGATTTCTGTGCTAGCGGGGAGTGTGTTCTCACCTCATAGAGCCAGGTAGAAACTACACAGATGGGCGCTGTTCTCTGGGAAGAAAGCAGGGCCTTTGGGGCTCTCAGTGTCCCCATTGGGTTGTAGACATAACACGCTTACTCTGCGTAGGGGAACGGCTCTGCCGGCCCCCAGGTGCCCTAGCGCATATGCACGGAGGCCCGCAGGTCAGAACCGCAGTCTCACCTGTCTTGGCGGAAATGCCCTGCGATCCTCCCGGAGATAGAAGGTGGGAAGTTTTATGAGGAGCCGGTCCAGTTTCCCTACTATCTCCTGCAGTTCATATATCTAGTGTTTCTTCAGACTTTAAGCGACTGCTTCATGTTTGATGTCTCACTCCCACATCCTACATCCATTGCCAGGCAACTTTCTAGATAGCACCCTGACCCATCCTTCCCACCCCCAACAAGCCCTTTCCTATTTCTGGTGCCAGTGTCCTCCCCAGTCCCTCTTTCTTCAGGCCCTCGCTTATCACCCTCATGGACAGAAAATACTTAGCTCTCTCTCAACCTGAGGTTTACACCTGACACGCGTCAGTGCCCTGGCAAATTCCTTAATACCCCTTCTCAAATAGCACTGTAAATCACCTCTTTTTAACTCCCAGAACTATCTAATTGGTTTTGTCCCTGCACTACATGAATACTAGTATTCCACTACAGAGGAAAACCCCAGGCCTAGTGATGGCGGTTCTGGGCATTGTGCCAGCCTCTCCCAGGGTATGTTTTCTGACCTCACCTACTTTTGATCAGCTGAGGTCAGGAGTTCAAGACCAGCCTGACCAACATGGCAAAACTCCGTCTCTACTACAAACACATACACATGCACAATAATAATAATAACAATAATAATAATAATGATAATAATAATAATTACCGGGCGCAGTGGTGTGTGTCTGTAATCCCAACTACTCGGGAGGCTGAGGCAGGAGAATCACTTGAACCCGGGAGGTGGAGGTTACTGTGAGCCAAGATCGCGCCATTGCACCGCAGCCTGGGCAACAGAGTAAGACTCTGTCTCAAAAAAAGAAAAAAAATTAGTGCATCTGAGACATATTATTGGAGACAGTAGAATCCTGCGTCCAACAGGCACTTGGTGCAGATCTGAACCCATTGAGCTATTGGCTCATGTTCCCTATGTTCTATTAAGTATCATGAGCAGAAATTGAGCTCTTTGGCTTTTACCCACTGAGTATGGCTATAGGACAGGTCTCTCTCTCTCTCTCTCTCTCTCTCTCTCATTCTTTGCATCATTATTTTTTGCCATCAGTGTGGGTTTTTGGTTTGGAGGTTATGAAGTGAATTTCTGGGGACAATCTCTGTTGGGTCATGTTGACAAGGATCCAGTCCCTGTTTGGTGATACATGACAGCTAATCTGCTCTGTGAGTCTTCTTTATTGTCTATTTATTGTCCTGAGAATAATGGCATTTCCTGATATTTGAGACTGCAGCAATGATAAGTTGTTCAGATCTTGTCTTTCCAATGTTTGGTAAACATTTTATAGGCCCAATTGTTGTCAATATCTGCAAGAGTGGCATCTCTGTTACAAGAGTGATCTTACTACTCGATGTCCCCCCTCCCAACCAACTTCGTTTCCTAGGGGCTCTTGGCTTTAACGAATTTACTGTGTCTAAAAGACATCTTAGTACAGGAAGAAAACTGAATCTGTAGCATGTAAGGAGCAGTTTTATTTGATTGGTATATTCAGGTTTCTAACCAGCTGAAAAATTCAAATACATGCCCTTTAAGAATTAAGTTTAAACCACACTACAGAAAGAGAAAAGATTTATATGATCACATATAAGCAATGGAATCAGCAATATGAGTACTTTTCACAACTATACAAATCAAATTTAATAATCTCCAGAACATTAAGGAAGTTCAGCCCTTAATGGAAATGAATGAAAAGCAATTATTCACCCACTGTTACATGCCCTGGAAAGACAATGTCCTGCCAGACTCAAAAGAGTATCACAGTGTTACTCAGATTTTCAGCAATGAAGGCCCTCCAAGGATCTAATGATGTTCATATTTTCAGTTTATTTCCTTCACTGATAAACATTGTTAATAGATACCATTGCCTCTGTTTTCACTTTAAGTGATGTTACTTAGCACAATTCGTTTCTTTAGAATGCACCCTAGTTTGGTGGAAGGAATTTTCCTGCTTTATAAATATAGGATATTTTCTCATGAAACAAATTGGCATACTCTTTCAGTGAAGTGAATAGACAAATTAGATCTCTACAATTGTAAAGGAGTCACTGCCCCAATTATCTTAGGAACAATAATAATCACTTATATAAAATTAAAATAAGAAAATTAAGCCAGGTATGGTGGCTCATAGCTACAGTCCCAGCACTTTAAGAGTTGGAGACCAGCCTGGGCAACACAGTGAAACCCCTGTCTCTACAAATTTTTAAGTATTAGCTAATTTTTAAAAGTTGGCCGGGCATGATAATGCATGACTGTAATCTCAGGCTGCAGTGAACTATGATTGTGCCACTGCCCTCCAGCCTGAGTGACAGAATGAGACTCCCAACTCAAAAAAAAAAGAAATAAAAAAGAAAAAGAAAGAAAATTAAGAATTTGTTGAAAATTGTTTTACTACAACGCTAGGCTGCATGTCTTGCACCTGTACTCCCAGCAACTCAACAGGCTGAGGCGGAAGGATTGCTTTAGGCCAGGGGTTGGAGACCAGCCTGGGGAACAGGGCAAGACCTCATCTCTAAACAAACACAAGGCAAGCTGAGCCAGGAGGATTGCCTGAGCCCAGAAGTTCCAAGTTGGTCAGCTATGATTGCCCCGCTGCACTCTAGCCTGGATAACAGAGCAAGATCCTGTGCCTTATTTTTTAATTTATGTTATTTTTTTACTACTTATGCTTATTTATCTATTTATTTATTTTTGAGACAGAGTCTTGCTCTGTAGCCCAGGCTAGAGTGCAGTGGTGCCATCTCAGCTCACTGCAAGCTCTGCCTCCCAGGTTGAAGCTATTTCCCTGCCTCAGCCTCCAGAGTAGCTGGGATTACAGGCGCACGCCACCACGCCCAGCTAATTTTTATATTTTTAGTAGAGACAGGGTTTCATCATGTTTGCCAGGCTAGTCTCAAACTCCTGACCTCAAGTGATGCACCTGTCTCGGCCTCCCAAAGTGCTGGGATTACAGGTGTGAGCCACCTCGCCCAGGCTGCTTATGCTTGAAATGTGAGGTTTCGTTAGGGAAAAATTTTCTTGTTGAATTTCTAACACGAAAAAATAAGAGATTTAGCTGTAGATTAAATTAATGGTCCTGGTAGTTTGGTACAATAAAATAAATGAAATGAAATTGATAGCAGAGAGGAATCTTTGATGCTTTTGAACAATTTAAATAATGTAATATTTATTATATAAAGACATGAAAAAGTTCATTACATTATTATTATATGCATTTATTTATTTATTTATTTTGAGATGTAGTCTCACTCTGTCGCCTAAGCTAGAGTGCAGTGGTGCAATCTCGGCTCACTGCAACCTCTGCTTCCCGGGTTCAAGCAATTCTCCTGTCTCAGCCTCCTGAGTAGCTGGGATTACAGGCGCACACCACCACACCTGGCTAATTTTTGTATTTTTAGTAGACACAGGGTTTCACCATGTTGGTCAGGCTGTCTTGAACTCCTGACCTCATGATCCTCCTGCTATGGCTTCCCAAAGTGCTGGGGTTACAGGCATGAGCCACTGCACCTGGCCCATTACATTATTTTTTAAAAATCAGTATGACTCTTTTGACAAATTAGAATGGTTTAATAATCTTGGTTAGGCTGGGCATGGTGGCTCATGCCTGTAGTCCCAGCACTTTGGGAGCCCGAGGTCAGGAGTTTGAGACCAGCCTGGCCAACATGGTGAAACCCTGTCTCTACTAAAAATACAAAAATTAGCCGGGCATGGTGGGGGGCTCCTGTAATCCCAGCTTCTCAGAAGGCTGAGGCAGGAGAATTGCTTGAACTCAGGAGGCAGAGGTCGCAGTGAGCCAAGATCACGCCATTGCACTCCAGCCTGGGGGGGCAACAGAGTGAGACTCTGCCTCAAAAAACTAATAAATAAATAAAAATAAAGTATAAAAAGTTAAAATTATGTGTTCAAATACATTAAATATATGGCAATGAAAAGGAGGCCTAGCATGACTGACTGCATTTTGCTCCTAACCCTTCCTACCCTGTGGTGACATCTTCCAGGCTAACTGCTTTTTCTTATTTCTGCACATAGGCCAAGCTATCTATGGGAGGGATTTAGCTTACAGTTCAACTTTAAAGCACAGATGATAATAATCCCTTCCCCAAACTAACTCCTGAGAAGATAGAGAGGTTGTATACACAAGTAACAGTGTTATGCTGAAGATTTATAAGAGCAGTGTGACCTGACAAAGGACAAACAATTTTCACCATCCCCTTGGGCTCCCACTGCAGCCCATGTCTGTCATTGTCAGACCTCTTCACCTCAAGCGCCTCCTTCTTCCTCCCTTCCCTAACGTACAAGGAGCCTGAAAATCGTATTAATTTAAGATGGTTCTTCAGGATGTTACTTCACCATCTGTTCAGTTTGGTGGCTCTCTGAAATAAAGTCACCTTCCCTGCCCCTACACCTCAACCCTCCACTTACTGGCTGTCATGCAGCAAGCGGTGAGTGCAGTAAGCGGAGATCACACCACTGCACTCCAGTCTGGGTGACCCTGTCTCAAAAAAAAAAAAAAGAGAGAGAGAGAGAAATTTGGTTTTCGAACCAGACAAATTAAATAGGAGACTTAATTCCAATGAGACCTAGAAATGTCTAAATTTCTAAAATTTCTAAAAGAACTGAGAAAATTGCCTCCATTGAGGAAGTAAGCTGAAGGAGGTAGACTGTCATGTTTTCTGATTTGAGAAATATCGAGGAGGCTTTGTCTCTTTCACCTCCAACTGCTCCTTCTCCTCCTGCCCCTGCACCTGCATAGTCTTTCTTACCTGAGCCTTCCTGTCCTGCCTTGCCTCTTCTTCCATCACCATCACCTAAGGAAAGTCCCCAGGGATCTGGTCCCTTCCCTGAAACTTCTGTTCTGACAGCCCCTTTCAAGGTAAAACCCAAACCCACAGGAAGAGGGGAGCCTACCGTTGTGTATACCACTTCACCAAAACGTGAATTAAGAATATTATAAAGAACTTCCCTGATCTAAACTTAAATATATTTCACTCTTCTGTTTCTAAAGCAGGCTCCAAAATCCTGTAGGCTTTGGCAGAAAACTTGACTTAACTGTTGAAACCTTTGAGCCCAAATATTCTGATCTTTATCAATTAATTCACATGCTGGTGAAGAAGGGAAGGACACTAACTGGTTGCAAAAGGTAAATTGGAAGGATTTTCAAAAAGGGACTGAAGCAGAACATGAAAGGTTCACATTTTCACCAAATATCTCCAAGTTGCCATTCCCCAGGTCCTTCCTAAAAATATAGATTGGAGGATAATTCAGCATTGTACTAAAAAGCCAGACAAATCTGTCTTTGCTTAACTAAAATGGTTTGAGATCCAGGTGTGGTAGTTCATGCCTGTAATCCCAGCACTTTGGGAGGCTGAGGCAGGTGAATCACTTGAGGTCAGGAGTTCGAGACCAGCCTGCCAACATGGTGAAACCCTGTCTCCACTAAAAATACAAAAATTAGCCAGGTGGCTACTCAGGAGGCTGAAGCAAAAGAATTGCTTGAACCCAGGAGGTGGAGGTTGCAGTGAGCTGAGTTCCTGCCACTGCAATACAGCCTGGGAGACAGAGCGAGACTCTGTCTCACAAAGAAAAAAATAAAAAGAAAAAAGAAAAATAGAAAAAAAAACAGCAGGGTAGTAGAAATATAAGGCACACAAGAATGATAATCATGAAGACAATCTGATTCTACAAGAGTAAGGGAACCTATTCCATTAGAGAGCCAACTGAAAACATCAAATCCCAGTTCACACCCCAGGGTGTGGGGTCACGTGCCTGTAGTCCCAGCTACTCAGGAGGATTAGTAAGGAGGTTTGCTTGAATTCATGAGGTCAAGGCAGGAGTAAACCCTGATCATGCCACTGCACTCCAGCCTGGGTGACAGTGAGACCTTGTCTCAAAAACAAACAAACAAACAAACAAAAACCCACAAAACCAAACAACAACAAATTGTCCCCTCACTCTGAAATGACAGTGGCAAACATCACTTTGCTATTGACAAATTAAAAGAAAAACACTCCCTCTTGCTATCAACCTGGCCTCTTGCTCTAACATGTCTGACCCATGGTTTAAAATGCCCAAAAGCTGATGTCCTCAAATTATAATACACTTACCTATTCTGCACCAGCATTTATTTTTGTCTGGAGGAGATCACCATCCATGGTCCTGTAAATGTCTAACAGCATGGAATGATGAAGGGCAGTGTCTTTTAGGATATTTGGTTATATCTATATATATGGCTCTGAAGAAACCCAACATTGGGTGAGTTCCCTCAAACTTTTCACTAGGCATGACCACTGCTGTATTTTAGATAGAGATTCTGTGGGGCAAAACCTGAGAATTATCTGCCTGGCTATCAAGAAGATAGCTCCTTGCATTTTTTGGGGGAGAACACTTTTGCTTCAAGGGAGTGTTTCCTCCCAGGATTAGAAATCTTTCTGTAACCTCAGGAAACATTGCTGATGAAAACCAGGCATGGTGTGCTGTACAACTTGTAGTAATAAGGCAGAAGTTAAAAGGAAAAGACACGTTTTCCTGTACTTGGCTGACTCCAAGACCTGCCATAGATAGAGCCCTAGCAGATCCTCGGTAACACTATCTGAAAAGTCAGAGCCCCGAGGAATGAGTTCCGGAGACTCTCTCAATACAGTCACCCCTAGCAAAGATAAGATGAAAAAACAACAAATGCCTTTACTACCTTCTCTTTCCCCCTTTCCATTTCTAATTATTCAAGTTTTGTTAAGTTCCCGATTTCCCTTCAGTGCAGCTGCAAGGTCACCAGCTATACTTGCATTGCAAGACCTGTGACAGTTTGATTAGCTGCCTTTGTTCTGCTTCTATAAGCCCTCTTGCCTGCCCCTGAGTTTCATGCCATCAAATTCCCGCCGCGCCATTCAAACTAGCCAACCCCCTTTCAGAAGTGTGTATAAAGTTAAGCCCTGTCTTTGTTCGGGGCTCAGCCTTTGGATTTTCATCTGCTGGGCCTCAGTGCAGTCAATAAATCCTCCTGTTCCACCCATTGGTCTCTCTGTTCTCCTGATTCCCACAACAGTAGTAGGGGACTGCGTTCGCACTTTCTCCTGGTCTTTCATGGTATGAATAATGGACAGCATTTTTTTTTTCACCTATAGTCGCAGGCTCGGTCTCAGTGATTGTATGCTGTGGTCAGCTGTTTTTGTTTTTGTGAGACCTTGTTTTCTTGTTTACTGTCCTGGGACGGATGTCTGTAGTCACTTGTTTCCTCGGGAGGCAAATTTCAGTCTCTGTGGGGGAGGTCTCCCATGTTAGCTGTGGTGGTACTTGGCAGGCAGAGCTCAGGGATCTAGGCTTCCGTGCTTTGTAGATTGCTCAATGGTCCCCAAGGCCTAGTGGCTTTTAACACCACTTGAAAACCTTAGTGTTTTTCCACTGTCCCCAGAGTCACCTCTTACACAGCCTCTTTTTTTGTTTGTTTGACTTATTCTCTGAGAGACAGTCTCACTGTATCTGGTGGCATCTTGGTTGAATCGATCCTCCCACCTCAGCCTCTGGAGTAGCAGAGGCACCAGTCACCACAGCCAGCTAATTTCTGTTCTTGTTTTTGTTGTTGTGGTGGCTGTCTTGTTTTTTTAAGAGTTGAAGTTTCTCCATGTTGCCCAGGCGACGTGCTCCCGGCGAAGGAGGCCGCCTGCCTGGGGGCGGGCTGGAGCCACGTCCCAGGGCTGGGGGCGCTGTGGGCACTGTGGGTGCCGCACCCACTGCTGCCCGGCCCCGGAAGCCAAGAGAGCGTTCTCGACGGGCTCCGCGGATGCCCCGCTGCGTCCTGCTGCCCATCCTGCCCGGGTTGTCGCGGGCCGGGGGCACGACAAGAGGCCGGGGTCTGCCCGGACGCAGCGGCCTGCAGGGCGCAGCTGTCCCTCCACCAGCCGGGGTCCCCTCGCTCAGCCCATGAGACAAATAAATGAATACATAAATAAATAAAAGATGGAGTCTTGCTCTGTCGCCCAGGGTGGAGTGCAGTGGTGCGATCTTGGCTCACTTCGACCTCTGCCTCCCAGGTTCAAGTGATTCTCCTGCCTCAGCCTCCTGAGTAACTGGGATTACAGGTGCATGCCACCACACCCGGCTAATTTTTCGATTTTTAGTAGAGACGGGATTTCATCACGTTGGCCAGGCTGGTCTCGAACCCCTGACTTCAAGTGATCCACCCGCCTTGACCTCCCAAAGTGCTGGGATTACAGGCATGAGCCACTGCACCCAGCCAGAAGTGGGCATTAATATGCAGGCGCCGTATAGGGCAACATCTGTGTGCACCTCTTACAAATCTTAATGCTGTGTATATGAGGGGGTTCCTTCGTGTCCCCCTGGGGATGTTTGAGGTTGCCTGTATGTGTTATGTGTGTGCATATTTTTAAGCTCAGATATGCATAGGCGGATTGACACCTCTGTTTGAATGTATTCCCATGAGCTCATGCCATTAATTCACCATCACAAGAAATATTTACTGAGCATGAGCCATGCCATTCCACAGCCACCATTATAGCACTAAGATACAATGAGGAACAAAAAATCCAGGCTTTCTGAGCTCACACTGGGGTGGGGGCATGGTGGGAAGACACAGGCATCAATGTAATAAACAGAAACCACGACAGGGCTAAGTGTTCTGGAGGAGAGGCGCATGGTGTACTGAGGCCCCTGAGGTTGACCGAGGTGCACCTTTGAGCTTTGCCTGCATGGTTTGGGTTTGTGGGCTCACCTGCATGTGTCCATGCATGCCCCATCTGCGTGCCCGTGCATGGCTGCATCACCCCATGCACACGTGCACTGCCCCTGGGCTTGCCCACATGTGCTGCTCCCCAGGGCGCCAGGCTATCAGCCTACAAGGCATTGTGGGTCTGGGCCCAGCCTGCCACCCCCTACAGAGGCCTGAGCCTGCCTTCCCAGGAGGCCCAGGACTCTCACCCAGGGCCCTTCCCTGCAGCTGGAGCAGGCTCTGTGGCTGGAATCTGGTGAGCTGGAGACGCAAGAGCCCAGGGGGCTGGTACTCCAGAGCGTGGAGTTGCGGAGGCAGCTGCAGGAGGAGCAGGCCTCCTAGTGGCACAAGCTGCAGGCCTACCTGGAGGGCCAGCAGCGGCAGGCCCAGCTTGTGCAGTGGCTGCAGGGCAAGGTCAGGGCCACCCATTCCTGCTCTTTCCCTCCCACGTGTTCACTTTGCCCTGCCCCCACCCCTGGGGCTCACCATCAGCTCCCAATCCCCAGATTCTCCAGTACAAGAAGAGGTTCTCGGAGCTGGAGCAGCTGTTGGAGAGATCCGGAGAGCTGGAGCAGCAGCAGCTGAGGGTGGGTGCCAGGGTGGGGCAGAGGCAGGCCCTGCCCTCCACCTGCCCAGCCTGATGCTTTAACCTCTCTGCCACCCAGGACGCAGAGCACAGCCAAGACCTGGAGAGTGCCCTCATCTGGCTGGAGGAGGAGCAGCAGGGAGGGCCAGGGCTGGCAGCATGGCCCCCTGGGCGAGCGCCTACTGATCCCCTGTGCCCCATTCAGGAGTGCCAGCCTGGCCCAGGTGAATGCCATGCTCTGAGAACAGCTGGACCAGGCAGGTTTGGCCAGCCAGGCTCTGAGTGAGGAGATACGAAAGGTGACCAGTGACTGGACTCGCAGCTGCAAGGAGCTGGAGCAGTGGGAGGCGGCATGGAGGCGCGAGGAGGAGGTGGGCATGGGGGTGCAGGGAGGCCGGCGATATAAGAGGAAGATAATGCACAATTATGCTAGTGAGACTCTCTTTTCCAATAATGTTTGCACTTCTCAATACTACATTTAAAAAGGAAATAGGAGCACTTGAACGGTTAAGTAAGAAGATGAACAAAATTGAACAGAGGAAAAATAACTGTCTGAAGACATGTTGAAAATACATTTAAAGACAGTCTGTCTGAGACAGGAGCTGAGCTGGCCAATCCATCTTTTAAATAATTGAACATCATTCAGGTGTCAAGTATTTGACCTGGAGCCTGGAAGGGGAGGAGAGAGTCCAAAAAAAAGTCCAAATATAAAGAAAAAAAATTAAAGAACTTGTCCCACAAATCAGGCAACCAAGGTCTAAACTTATACCCTCTGCCTGGGTAAATTGTTGTTGCTTCTTTCTGTGACTCTTAAAAGATGTACCATATACCACATTTAATGACTTTGATTTATTCATGAAAACTCTATCCCCATGGGAAAAGCTGTTAAATGAAAAAAGATTTCTTTTAAGTAGAAAAATTATGAAAGGATTCCTTCCAACCCTCCATACCCAAAATATCTCAAATGAATTATATAGCTATCAATTATCAATATATATCAAAATATACCAATTAAAAATATCAGTTAAACGATACGTCAATTGAACTATGAAAGCAAGCTTATTTAAGTAGCAAAGAATAACGTGAAGGTTAGTAAGTATAGCTTATACTTAAAATACAATGAATTGAAAGCTCATGGCACTTCATAGAGTAGGAAGAAGAAACTTAATAGAAAGTGGTAGTTGGGGGAGAAGGACTGCAAGGGAGTTATTTGGAAAATGCATTTTTTATTTCTGCATCATTTTGTTCACAAATTATTCTTAATCTTTTGTGAATTTGTGGATTTCTTGAACTCAAACCAGACTTAAAAATACAGTTATAGCACAGAAAAAAATCTTTAATGGCAAAATAAAAGCTAAGCAAGAGAGCCTTTCAAAACACATGAAAATAACACACACATACAAAAAAAAAAAGAATAAAGAGATGTACAAGTGACACCTCCTCAACCTTCTCACTTGGTGTACATATGCACAGTAAATTATTTTGGGCTCAGCCAAGCATGGGAGCAATTCAAATAGATCCATATGATATTCTCTGATTAGAAACTCTTGTGGAGTAAGTTGGTGAGTGTATCTTTGCCTAAAACAGTCATGTCAAAATATAGCTTCCTATAGCATATTTATTTAGTATCATTTTGGTGAAAAAGTGGTTATACAGAATAGAAAAGAGTTGTCCAAAACTAAGTGGTTGACCTTTCCAGAGCCATTACCTGCAGAATTGTTATGTAAGTCTGTTCCATACTCGTAAAGGAATACTCAGCTGACCCAACTGATTTTCTCGTGTTTTTTCCTTCAAGGGCTAGTAGAAGTCTATATGTTGTGGTGGAAAACAACCTCAGCCCTATAGTCCAACATTTGCCTATCAAAACTTGTCCTATGATTTATAAAACTAGAACCTCACTGGTAAGTCACATTCCTAGAGTCTCCCCCATCCCTAACCCCAGTCACGGAAAATAAATCAAATCATTGTCACTCTTTCTTAACAAAGAGCATACATTTAAAACTTGAGTAAAATTACAGGTACCGTCTGGGGCCTTCAAGGGGGAACTTGAAGTCTCAATACCGCAGTTGTCCAATCAGAGGATCCAAGATGAATATACTCAAGGACTTTATGCTTGGCATCCTCTGGAGACAGTACATAACCACCAGCTTGGTTTAACTGGAGATTCATTTGGGTTAGGAGAAATTATGTAGGCAATGTACTTAGTCAATGGAAGCCTTATGCCTGAAGACTTACAAGAATCTGAATTCGTATGTTACTTTTCCTTTAATGGAGTGGAATTCCAAATGAAAATAATCAAACAGCATGTGCATAAACATTAGATATAATACCCACATTTACAAAGCCTTTATAGATATGCAAGTGTTATTGCGTCTGTCCCTAGCTTCTGTACAGAATTTAATGGGTAGCTGTTACTATTTTATTGCTGTATAAAAATGAGGAAACTGATAAGTTGTCTAAAGGTGCACAATCAAAACACATCAAAGCCATTGTGAAATACAGGTCCCCGGATTTCAAAAACAGATCTTCTGCTTATAAATTCAGTCTTTTTCATACTGCCATAAACTCCAGAATGGGAAAACAAAGTTACTATCAGAAAAGCTTCTTTTAGCTGGGCGTGGTGGCTCATGCCTGTAATCGCAGCACATTGGGAGGCCAAGACAGGCGGATCACTTGAGGTCGGGAGTTCGAGACCAGCCTGGCCAACATGGTGATCTCTACTAAAAATACAAAAATTAGCTGGGCATGGTGGCGGACACCTGTAATTCCAGCTACTTGGGAGTCTGAGGCAGTAGAATCGCTTGAGCTGGGGAGGCCGAGATGGCTTAGTGATCCGAGATGGCGCCACTGCACTCCAGCCTGGGTGACAGAGTGAGCCGACATCGCGCCACTGCACTCCAGCCTGGGTGACAGAGTGAGACTCCATCTCAAAAGAAAAAAGAAAGCTTATTTTTTCCCCTAATCACCATAATATTCACTATTAAGTGAGGGAAATAGAAATAATTTACTTAGCAAATCCTTTCTAGTTCAAATAATTTCTATACAGGCTGTGCAAACATAATAATGAGAGATTCTTTTTACTCATCTTGCTTTATATCACTAATTACACTCTTATTTAATGATATTTTAAAGAAAAACGTGTTTATTTTCAAGTAGAAAACTCATATCTGTCCACCAAGGAAAGCTGTAACAAATGTAAAATACATAAAAAAGATAACTGCTAAATTTCTAAAGCATTCCAAAAAAAGACAAATAGAAGGGTGTCAGATTAGGAAAGTATGTCTTGTAAGGTGTAACGGACAGACTGATGAGCTTAGAGATGTGGATCTCAAAGTGGTTCTCAGAGCAACAGCATCAGGGTCACCTGGGAACGTGTTAGAAATGCAGATTCTCAGGTACCATCCCACATTTAATGAATCAGAAGCTCAGAGTAGAGACCAGCAATTTGTTTTAACAAGTCCTTCAGGGATTCTGATACAGCTGATGTTTGAGAAACACTAGCTTTAGGTAAACGTAAGAGGGTCACGTTAGTATTTTTAAATCATTGGAAGTTGGTTTGTTTTGTTTTTTCTTAAGTGGGACTCATTTATACTTCAATACACAGAATGGATATTTAGAGGAAGTCGTTTTTGACCTAACACGGATGAGCATTTCCAATTGAATAGCGCTTTCTGATAATGGGGCTGCCCACTACAAGTGAATAACTGGGTTTCTCTAGGCTGGAGCTGCAGACAGGTCACTATGTGTATGGAGGATTGTATTAATATGATCGTGGCTCTTTATAGCTCTGCATTACTAATATTCTGTTTTAAAGTCTCTCCTCAATATCCAATGTCTCTGTGTGAATGATGGTAAGGACTGGGTAACAGTAACAATCATCCTGTTGTTGACAACAGATGATAAGAGAAAGCCCAACTTTACACTCTGTATAATCTTACACCAATGCCCCATTCCTCGTCTAATTTTTTTTTACATGTTAACACATGACCTTGGCATTACTAAATAAGAAGCCCTCTCACTTAGAACCCGATGCAGTATGATAAAAATTATTTTGAGAACAATCAGGAGCTCTAGTTTTCAATTCTGCTTCTCTTCTCAAGTAGTTCTGTGCCTTAGTTTCTTCTTTGTAAATTTAAATGGTTGGAACAGAGGATCTGTTAAGTGTGATTCAAGCTGAAATTGTATGTAGCCCACACTGAGTTTCTCTGCTATACCCCTAACCCATTCAACAATCACACCACCAGTTTTCAGGACTCACAGTAGGATAGCCGTCTATCATTTGTTAATAGGTGTGCTCTTTCATCCAAACAAGAAACTCATGATTTCTGCAGTTTTTTATTCTAGCCAGGTTCTAGGTGCTGGCCTGGAACTATAAAACAAACATTTCACAAAAAGTTATGACAATATACAAAGGAAAGACAATTTCTTTGAATATCCATAATCTCAATATGCAGTCTGGCTGTGGATGGCCAAGAGATAGTTTCCTTAACTGGAAAAAGCTTTTAAATGAGGCTTGGTGGAAGATATATCTTTGCATCATTACAAAGAAGAAAAAAGAGAAATCTCACAACTGAAGAAAGTGAAATCCACTTTACTTAATGCGGACCTCTGTCTCTGGTGTGCAGGTCCTCTGTGTCCAAAGATAATTAGCACTTTATAATGCTAATTATTATAATTAGGGCTGAGAAAAAAATCATTAGGGGGTAGGCCCATTCACTGATTTTCAACTGCCCCCTCTATTTAAAAATAAGGTCATTTTTCTATGAAATAGCTTTAGGAGCTCAAAGCAGAAAGAGGGTTATAGAAAATCCTGTGTAGGTATAAGCCTGAGTTTTTAATATTCTTATAATTCTGTGATGTGTCTGGAAACTGAACCGGGAGGAAAACAGTGAACCTATTTAGTCCAGGAGACTAGAAATCAGGACTCAGAAGAGTAAACATTTCTGTAATAGTTAGTCCTCAAATAGTCATTCATTGACCTTCCACTGGGTGTCTGGCAATGTGCAAGCTGCTTCTAGATGCTACCTCATGTAACAACCATCACAGTTGCACAGAGCAAGTACTAGTACTCCACTTTCATAGATAAAGAAGTAAAATCTTAGAAATTACCTGCCCAATGTCATGTATGTAGGAAAGGAAAGCTGGATTCTGATTCATATTTGCTGGCTCCAAAGCACTTTTGTAAATACTTCACTATCCTGTGCTTACATGTAAATGTACCATTTCTCTTAGGGGTCTTGAAATACTGAACCAAAGAATGGTGTAGGGGAAGGGCAGTTTAGAAATACCTGGAAATTTGGTTGTTTGAAGGAAGCCCACTCTCAGATGGTAGGAGATCAAGCTAACAGAATAGCTGAGAATATTTTCTGAGGCCCCAGAATATAAAAACGGTCTAGGGGGGAAAATTTGGGACACAGAGTGAAAATAGCCTGCCTCTGAAGACCAGCTTCATTTCTTCCCCTCTGGGTGTTAATGAAAGAGCCTTTAACTTTGCCAGGCCTCAGTTACTAATTTCTAAAACAACTGCTGCTACTATTACTACGGATCTTACTGCTACTATGACCACCACCACCACCACATCAGTTACTGAGAACTGAACTAGATGCCAAGAAATATGGTAAACACTTCATATACATTATCTTTTTAAACACAAAATGTACTATTAATCCAGTTTTACATATAAGAAAACTGAGGCTCAAAGAGGCTAAGTAATTTGTATGTGAACATGCTTTACACTATGTAAAACACCTTATTAGTAGATATCACTATTATTAAGAACCTATCAGCCGGAGAGGAAGAATTGGCCTTTTATCTTTCTAAGATGCACAGTTGTCTTTCTGTTTAATGGTTTTTTAAAAATCCCCCTGTGACAAGCTCCAGAGGACAAATAATTTATTTCTTGTGGTGTATGGCTCTCTAAATGAATTAATTGATAGGCATCCCATTGTCAGTCTCAGGGATGTGGAAATAAAACAGACATGAGATGTTTTTTACCAAACTAATTTGTGCTTTAAACACATAAATAATAAATATATATATATTAAAGTAAATGTGTATTTACCGTCTCTCCTGCTCCACTTTGAATTCAAGAACCCGTGTCTTTGTTGGGTCACTGCACTGTCAATTGAGAAGTTTGGTTTTGTTTCTTTGAGTGTTAGTAAGTGGCATTAAATGGTAAATATTGCCGGGGGAAAGAAAGGAGAAAAACAGCTCTTCCAATCCATCCCTGTTTCCATTCAATTAAAGGAGGGTAGAAAGAATACTTAAGATAATTGTAATAAGTCTAATAGAATAGCAGGAGCCACTCTTTTCCTTTCAGTAGGCCATTAGCTCAGAACTATTTTCAGAGTAATACTAAGATGATATTTGCCTCTTCACTGTGTTGGCACTTGTATTGATAAGGCAAAAACAGTGGAGTCTTAGCAAAAATTAAGACCATGAAAACAAACTGCACTAGGAATAATTCTCTTCTTCATTACTGTTTACTTGCAGGGGGAAAAACCATTTTCGTTTAAGAAAGTCCTTGGTGAAGTAGTAAAAATATTAATTTTATTAAATCTCAACCTTGAGTACAAGTCTTGTCCTTGACTGTACTTACAAGTTTTGTCCTCCCCAAAGCATATGGCGTCAAGGCTGGGCCTAACCCAGTCTCATGACCTTGTGAATCCAGTCCACAAACACAGAGACACGCGTGAAGACGGCTGGCCAGCGCGACCTTGCGCATACTCGGTTGGGGATTCTAATTCCTTTCAGGACCCAGCAGTTGTGGGTAAAGCAGGCAAGTAGGCCCCCGTAGTCACCCTGGCAGGTAGGAGAACTGATGAGGGCCCCGGGCCACAGCCATGACTAGCCTGCTTCATGATAAAATAGTTCATTTCTAGCCCCCCATACCCTTCCAGGGCTGGCCCAGGGCCCTGCTACCAACCTCACAGGCCCCCACAGGGGCCAACAGTCCCTCAGTGCACATCTCGCTCTCCCGCACATGTCCTCGGTGCTTGATGTTACACTCCTGGTTGGAGATGACGTTCAGCAAGGCCACATTTAGGACTGTGTCATTACCCGTACCTGCAGTGAGGGGAATGGGGAGAAGGAGACGGTCCTGGAGGAAGATCCAGGGCTGGGCCTCCTGGCCACCAGCAGTCCTGTGCACTATGCTCTTACCTTTGGTCTCACCCCAGCCTGCAATCTCACACTTGGTCCCTGGAGGCACCACATACCATTCAGGCGGCAGGCAGATCAGGGCCACACGCTGGTTCAGGGTCACAGATCTTTAACAAGAATGGGGGCACTCAGGGTCTGAGGCCACAAGGCTCAGCCCCACCTCACATCCTCCCAGGTTGTCCACATACCTCTCCAGCTTGAGCAGGACAAGCTGGGAGCCTGAGGGCCCACACAGCATCTTGGCTACTGGGACCCGCTGTAGGCCTGGCTCTCCATGTTGTGGGTTCTGGGTGCCCAACCATACCTCATAGCCCGTGAGAGGCATATGGCTGGGTGAGAAGCTCTGCTAGGTCATTTGTGACTCTCAGTCCGTTGCCCCAAGGCTCACTTGTTAGCTTGCCTGGGGAAAGGGGAAGGTGGGATGAGACTGGGTCCCCAAACACAAGGGAGGCTCACCAGGAGGAGAAGCACTGCCGGCAGTCAGTATCCACTGCTCCTTCACTAGAGACCCCCCGCAGAAATGCTGGCCCTGCCTAGAGGAGTGGGGAATTAGGACAGGGAACAGACTCCTGGGAGAGATGCTAGACCTGCCATCTTCTGGCTAGGACCTCTGGGGGCAGGGATAGATTCCCAGCCCCCAGTGGCATAACCACAGAGGACACAACCTCAGCTCCTCTCTGTGGGAGACAGGCCGTTGTGCCTCACCGATTCCGCAAGCTGACTGTCCAGGGTGAGTTGCCCGGATGGCCCCCAGCCACGCGCAGCTTGGAACGACGCTGATCCAGCCGATCCACCCTCTTGCCACACTTCTCAAACTGCACCTGGTCTGTAGGATGGGGTGGGCTGGATGAAACCCAGACTGTGTGGATGTCGTGGGCTAAAGGGCCTGACCCATAACTGGCCCAACTCCTAACCTGGGGGGGTCCAGGATTGATGGCGGCTGGTCATCAGCTGAAAGACAAAGTTCACTGGGGTTAAGGGAGCCAGCCTTTGGTGGTGAGGGCTGAGGCAGGGTCATGGGGCAAGCGTCACTAGTGCTCACCGCAGCGTCGCAGGGCACAGTAGTCGAATGGGGTCCTTGGGTCCATCGTGTAGCACCAGGGCCCATGGCTATCCCCATCTGGGTCTGGCAGAAGTTCTCCTCCAGTTGTGCATGCGGTTCGGAGGTAAACGTGAACCGAGGCGGGAGCGGGAGCGAAATCGTGGCAGGGTAGTCTCAACCATTTCCAAGCTCTGGTCCCAGACATCAAAGCATGCCGCCCCAGGGTTAGGGCCCTGGCGGGGCCAGGAGCACCAGGGACTCACTGCGGCTTGTGCGGCGTCTCAGCGGACCAGCGCTGGCACTGGACACCCTTGCGGGTCTTGCTGACCGTGCCGCGGTACTGCTCCCCCGCGCCGTGGTAGCAGTCTGCGGCGGGTGCGGGCAGCCATCAGGCCGAGACCTCGCCCCGGCCCTCCGGTTCCAGGCTTCCAGCCCCGGCTCTGTAGCCCCCAAGCTTGGGCCTCACCCTGGGGCCGCACGTCGTCTGTACAACACCGGATCTGGTAGCAAAAGCCCACGCGCATGCCGGGCCGCAGTGTGAAGCACCAGGGCGCCTCTGAGCCGTCGGGGTTCCGGCAGAAGTTCTCCCGAAGGTCTCTAAGCAGGCGCTGCACTCAGCCCTAGCCCGCCAGCCTCCAGCCCTAAGCCCGTGACTACCCTCCTCCCGTCTCACCCGCAGCAGCACGTCCCAACGCCCGCCCCCCCGCCCACCTCACTTGCACGCGTATTTTTCTGGCGTAAATCGGTGCTGATGCGGGATTTGCGCGTCCCAACGCTGGCAAGGTACGCCCGCGGTGGTGGTATTGGCTGTGCCCCGGTAGCCCTCACCCTTCCCGCGGAAGCAGCTGACACTTGTGGCCTCTTGGCGGGGCTGTGCCTCGGACCCTTAGATGGACCGAGATAGGTCGGGCCCCGAGCGACAGCTGAGATCCCTCTGGGGCTGGGACCAAACCCGCCTTTCCCAGGTGTACGGTACTCCACGGGATATGCTCTCAGGTCACGCCCAGCCCCTCTTACCTCCCCGGCCAAGCCACGCCCCTCCCCAAGGTTCCCAGGTACCCTCCCAGGCCTGGTCCCCGCCGCCTACCGCAGCGGGGGAGGTCACAGAATTCTCGCTCGATCTGCGGATCCGTAGTGTAGCATCATGGCCGCTCGGAGCCGTCAGGATTCCGGCAATAGTTGTCGTCCAGACCTTGGTCGAGGAACCTGGGGGCGGTAATGGGGCGTGAAGAAGACCCTGGGACTCTGGCTTATCTGGCCCCGCCCAGTTGCCCTACACGGAGCCCTGCCCCTGGAGTCCTGGACCTTCCCTAGCCCGGCCCCCAGGGCGCCGATACCGCCTACGCGTACTTGCCCGGCTCGAAGGGGTGCTGGTGCGGGTGCTGAAGATCCCAGCGCTGGCACTCGCGCCCTGACTCGGTGCGGTCTACCGCGCCGCGGTATTCCTCGCCATTGCACCAGACACACGCGGCTGGAGACAAAGAGCCAGTGGGTTCGTGGATGGGCGTGGGCTTGTCCCTCCACTCTCCCAGCTTGACCCGGCGCCGCTTACCCACCCGGCAGGATTTGATGCCGCAGCTCTGGAAGCGCACGGCAGGGTCTGTTGTGTGGCACCAAGGACCTCCGGGGTCGCCATCAGGGTTACGGCAGAAGTTCTCTTCCAGGCCATTCCGGAGCGTGGGCATGTACCTGAGGGCCCAGAGCATCACTATAGTGTGTGCTGGGGGAAGGTCCCAGGCCAGGACGGAGGGAAGGTGTTTGTCTCACTGGTGATCATTCGGGAACTTGTGGCTCCAAGCCTGGCAGGACAGGCCACCCACGGTCGTGGCCATGGTGCCCCGGTACCCAACCCCATTGTTCATGATGCAGGTCCGTATGTAGTCTGGGAGCAAGAGACAGAAGATCAACTTGGGCTGAGGTCCCCTGTCTCCCACCCTGCCCCTCTCCACCCCCACTCGCCTTTCTCCTGGAAGAGGTCATAGCGCCCAGAATGCCGCAGCCTCGTGTGGGGCGAGTGTTGAGTCCATGGCAGCAGTTGGCAACCATGGCTGCTCACATTGTAGTGGAACGCCCTGGAGAGAAGAAGGCACAAGGTAACGCCACGGCCCAGGCTCCCCTGCCCCCAGTCTTATCTATGCCCAGTGGCCACTCACCGGCAGTCCATTAAGGGCCCACAGCGACCAGCACACTCTTCAGCATCTGCCACATCCTCCTGCCAAGGCCTGGGCACCACCGCTTGTAGCGGCGCTGTAGCTCTGTGCCCCGGAGCACCTAGAAGTCATTCAATGGCGAGCGCTGCCCTGCAGAGTGGGTGCAGGTCAGGTGGGCATACATGTCAGTAATGTGTATTGGCATGTCCACAGTTTGTTCATTCAGGGGATCAAAGCTACAAGGCTTCTGGGATGGACCCTGTATGCACTTTCAAGGGCCAGTCTAGCCCCCCTGCACAGATACTTGTCAAAAAATTTCCCCTGGGAAGCAGGCCCAGACTTGGTAGTTATCACCGGTGCCTCTGTGTAATGGCCCAGGCACCGGGCTCAGATCTAACACATACGCTCTGTGAGAGCAGTGGGTGATGGAGCTTGCCCCATCTCATCTCTCAAATGAGAATGCTAAGGCTCAGAGCCATCACATTACCCAGCCAGGGGCCCTGGCTAGGCATTCAGATTCCAAATCTGGGCTCTCACCTGCACAAAGGCATACGCTAGGTTAGAGGGGTAGATCAGGCTCAGGAGGGGTCACTGCCTGCTGTGTGCGTGCATCTGTGTGGTCCTAACACTGCTTCAGTGCTAGAGCAGACGTGCTAATAGAGGCCTAAGTGGGCCGTGTCTATGTGTTCCTAGGGCTTCCCAGCTGTGCTCAAGAGGCCAAGGTCACTGCCCCATGCCCACTGAGCCTCTGGCTCCCTGACTTTTTTCTCATCCCAGAATAGGAGAATGGGGCCAAGCCCCTCCTGAAGGCAGATGGGGATCAAGGTTGGGGGCACTCACCAGGGACCCCTAAGCATTGAGTCAGAAGCAGCAGGAGTGGGAGCCACCCCATCCTTCTGGCTGGAGGCTGCACTGTGACCCACCACAGCCCCATCCGGGAAGTTGCAAAACCTGTCCCTACGGGATTGGGTGGCTCTGGCTCCGCACGTCAGCTCAGGGCCTGCTGGACCCTGACCTGAGACCTGGTGACAGGAGCCATGAGGGGCCAGGCCTCAGGTCCCACAGGTCAGTTGCAAGGGCCTAGCACAGCTAGCCCCCTGAGAGGCCTCCCTACTTAGTGGTCAGGTGTTAGGAAGGTTTGGTGGGGACACTTGAGGTGCCCTGGGGTTGGGGTGAAACCCCTCTGCAGCCTAGTCAGCCCAAGGGCATAGTGAAAGTGACAGCTGCCAGAGGTCTGGGTTCCAGCCCCTGGCTGACATTAAACTTTTCTGAATTTCGGTTTTTCCCTGTAAATTGGGGAAAATTACTTGCCCCAGCTTCAACACTGCCTCCCCTCCACTCTTTTGCTGCTGCCTTATCAGGCCCCAGCTGTAGGCAGGTCAGCCCACGCCCGGCGGCAGAGCCCAGAGAGGCTCGCTCATCTCAGCCGCCAGAAGTGTCATCCCAGGGAAGGTGAGCGAAGCTGTCCACTAGGACTAAATAGGGGTGGAGGTAACAGGTAGCAGGGACTCTGGCAGGAACCGCCTTTCAGACGTTTTCAGGACCGTCTGAGCGGGGCCTCCAAGTATGGGTAGGAGACAGGCGGCCTAGGGATTCCGGTTAGCACGTCGCGTTCTGCCGCAGCAGGGCTGGGAGCATCCCCAGGGCAGGCGGAGGTCGGAGGTGGTGAGGCCTTTCGGCGAAGCTGAGGCCTGGAACAACCCGGTGGGAAGCCACGGAGGGGGTCCCCTCGCGGAGGCTGGGCGCGGGCCGGTGCGCGTGCGCGGCTGGAGGCTCAGCGCGCGAGCGTGCGCGTGATTTGGCCCTGAACGGACGCCGTAGCCGAGAGGTTGGGCGGATGTTGTGAACCGGGTCGCGGCGGCCGAGGCTCGGGGTGAGTGACGGGCGGCAGGGCTCTGAGCCTGGCGAGTTCCGGCTGGCTATTCCCTTCGCGGTCCAGTTTAGTCCAGTGCGAGGGCACCTGCAGCGCCGGGATCTGAGTGCGAAACTCCGAGCGGAAGCTGGTCTGGCAGGTCCTCTGGAGCTTGGGGCCAGGCGGGGGCGACTTGGGGGAGCCATCCTTGGGCTCCCAGACGGAGTAGGTTCAGTTCTGAGCCCGGATACCCCGGCGAGGTTGGACGGGATAGCCGTGACGGGGAGTCCCCGGGCGGGGACAAGGTCCGCCTCTCACCTGGGTCCTCAGCAACTGACACCAGGAGTGGGTGTCTGGAAGGTCTGCTCATCAAATGAATGACTGCATTTAATCAGATCTTCAACTACTCTGGTAGTGAAGGGGCACCGATCATGGAGGCCCACCGAGGGCCCGAGGTCCGGAAAATCACCTTCCCGAGGAGCAGGCGTGGTGCAGACCCACAGGGGTTTGTGGCGGGAGTAGAGGGTCTGTTTGGGGCGAGATAAGAGACTGAACGGCAGAGTAGGGAGTGCTGGCTAAGGCAGTGCTGCAGAGCGAAACTCTAGACCTGCGCTGTCTAATAGAACTTTATATGATGGTGGGAATGTTCTACCTTTGTGCTGTCCAATAGAGTAACCGTTAGCCACATGTGGTCATTGAACTCTTGAAATGTGGCTGAGGCAACTGAGAAATCGAATTGTTAATTTTTAAAACTTTAAATTTAAGTAACCTCACGTGGATGACGGCTGCTGTGTTGGACAGCACAGCTACACATCAGTGAGGCCAGCACCAGGGACTCAGTGCAGGTTTTGGAGCAGCTGCAGCAGCAACATGATGTGAGGGATAGATGCACTAGGAGGACCAATGGAGTTTGCCATGAGGGCTGGGCAAGGGTGGTGCTTGGATGAGGTGGGAGGCCACATGTGTCAGTGGGAACAGTGAAACTATCAGGACCATGGATCAAAGAAGGGAGGAACCCAGGGCTGAGGAAAGAGGCTCCAGCCTTGTGGGGAGTAAGTGGGACTTATGGCTAGAGATGACCAGACCAGTGGTGGTCTGCACTTGGGGGAATGTGTAGGATTGTCGCTTCTGGTTGTGAGCTGGACTCAGTATGGCTTACAACCGAGATGAATACAGGGGCTCTGCCCCTAGGACACCTCACTTTGGACATTTTGGTCTGATTTCCACAGAGCTGAGACATTTTGTTATGGTTTGGCAAAAATATATCTGGTACCTGCTCTCTGCCCAGCCCTGTGCTGGGCACAGGGACACTGGAGAACAAGAAGTGGTCCCTGTTACATGGGCCTAGACCCTGGCTACCCTGCCTGTGTAGGAAGCTGGGAGCCCCTGCATTCCCCTGTCCTATGTGTTAGTGTGCATGCCCCTGGCCTCACCTGCTCCCAAGACTTCCCGCCATGGCAGGACTGAGGTCAGGTGTGGGGGCCCCTGGCTGGCCCTGAGTAGACAGGCTCTGTGTCTGCCTCAGCCTCCAGGACCACTGGCTGCCCATGAGAGACGAAGGATGGCATCCAAGGGGGCCGGCGTGTCTTTCTCCCGCAAGAGCTGTAGGCTGACCTCAGATGCTGAGAAATCCAGGGTCACAGGTAAGGGCTGGCAGAGAAGGAAGGAGGCTCCTCTTGTTGGGAGGAGAAGGAAGGGACAAAGGCCTCAGGCCTTGCTGCACCTGTGGCTGGCCTAGGACCAGAAGTCTCTGGGGCCAGCAGGGGCCAGGAGCTGCACTCATCATGTGGCCCTTTTCTCCCTTCTGACTTGTGGCTCAGGCATTGTGCAGGAGAAGCTGCTGAATGACTACCTGAACCGCATCTTTCCTCTTCTGACCATGCACCCCCAGCAGCCACCGGCAGGTATGGCTGGGTGGGCGGCCCCTCCTCACTCTGCTGGGCCAGAGCAGAATAAGGAGGCTGCAGTTGTAGGGAAAGGGAGCCTGGGCTCTGGACAGATAGGCTTAGGCTCTGTTCTCACTGTGCTCCTGGCTGCGAGATCTCTGGCCAGAGAGTCTGCCTTCCGTACTCTGCTTCTTCCTGTCTCCAGGCAGTGCTAGTTCCTTGTGAGAGTCAGGGAGCAGAGGTCAGGGAGCGGGTGCACATTCATGCCCAGCTAGCACCTGGCACCTACTCCACACCCAGCATCTGCCCCTGCATGTACCTGCCCTCACCTTGGCCCCAGCCTGGCCCCTTGTAGCTTCTGACTGACCTTGTAAAGAACAAACTCCTCCAGGGCCTTTTCTTTACAAGTTTAATACTTTTGAGTGTAGTCAGTGTAAAAGTTACAAGTACATTTTAGCAGAAACTTAGAGGGCCAGGCACAGTGGTTCACACCTGTAATCGCAGCACTTTGGGAGGCCAAGGTGGGTAGATTGCTTGAGTCCAGGAGTTCAAGACCAGCCTGAGCAACATGGCCAGACCCCATCTCTACAATAAAATACAGAAATTACCTGGGCATGGTGGTGTGCACCTGTAGTCCCAGCTGTTAGGGAGGCTGATGTGGGAGGATCACTTGAGCCTAGGAGGTTGAGGCTGCAGTGAGCTGGCCTCTGCATGCCACTGCACTCTAGCCTGGGTGACAGAGCAAGACCCTGTCTCTAAAAAAAGAAGGAAAAGCACCTGCTATCTTGTTATTTTAACATGACTATTCAAATGCGATTCTTTTCTGTTTTCTTTCTTTGTGTTACATTTTTAATTTTTAATTTTTGTGGGTATGTAGCAGGTATATGTATTTATAGGGTATATGAGATACTTTGACACAGGCATGCAATGCGTAATAATCACATCATGGTAAATGGGGTATCCATCCCCTCAAGCATTTATCTTTTGTGTTATAAACAATCTAGTTATACTCTTTTAGTTATTTTTAAATGTACAATTATTATTTACTACAGTCACTCTGTTCTGCTACCAGACAGGTCTTATTAATTCGATTTTTTTGTACGCATTAGCCATCCCCATCTCCCCACAAGCCCTACACTACCGTTCCAAGCCTGTGGTAACCATCCAGTACTTTGCCTCTATGAGTTCAATTGTTTTAATTTTTAGCTCTCACAAATAAGTGATAACATGCAGTGTTTGTCTTTTTCTGCCTGGCTCATTTCACTTAACATAATGACCTCCAGTTCCATCCATGTTGTTGCAAATTACAGGATCTCATTCTTTTTTATGGCTGAATAGTACTCTGTTGTGTATCTGTACCGTGTTTTCTTTATTTATTCATCTGTTGATGGACACTTAGATTGTTTCCAAATCTTGGCTATTGTGAACAGTGCTGCAACAAACATGGGAATGCAGATATCTCTTCGATATACTGATTTCCCTTCTTTGAGGTATATAGCTCTTCGATATACTGATTTCCCTTCTTTCAGGTATATACCCAGCAGTGGGATTGCTGGATCATATGGTAGCTCAATTTTTAGTTTAGTTTTTTCTTTTTGAAAAATTTTTTTTTTTTTTTGAGACAGAGTCTTGCTCTGTTGCACAGGCTGGAGCGCAGGGGCGCAATCTCAGCTCACTGCAAGCTCCGCCTCCCAGGTTCACGCAATTCTTGGGCCTCAGCCTCCCAAGTAGCTGGGACTACAGGCGCCCGCCACCAGGTCCAGCTAATTTTTTGTCTTTTTAGTAGAGACGGGGTTTCACCGTGTTAGCAAGGATGGTCTTGATCTCCTGAGCTCGTGATCCACCCGCCTCGGCCTCCCAAAGTGCTGGGATTACAGGCGTGAGCCAGTGTGCCTGGCCTTTTTTTTTTTTTTTTTTTTTTTTTTTGAGATGGAGTTTTGCTCTTGTTGCCCAGGCTGGAGTGCAGTGGCATGATCTTGGCTCACTGCAACCTCTGCCTCCCGAGTTCTAGCAATTCTCCTGCCTCAGCCTCCCGTGTAGCTGGGATTATAGGCACACACCACCACGCCCAGTTAATTTTGGTATTTTTAGTACAGATGGGGTTTCGCTGTGTTGGCCAGGCTGGTCTCGAACTCCTAGCCTCAGGTCATCCTGCCACCTCGACGTCCCAAAGTGCTGAGATTACAGGCATGAGCCACCACACCTGATCAATTTTTAGTTTTTTCAGGAACCTCCAAACTGTTCTCGATAGTGATTGCACTATTATAATTTACATTTCCACTAACAGCGTACAGGGGTTCCACAACCTCGCCAGCATTTGTTGTTGCCTGTCTTTTGGATAAAAGCCATTTTAACTGGGGTGAGATGATATCTCATTGTAGTTTTGATTTGCATTTCTCTGATGACCAGTGACGTTGAATACCTTTCCATATGCCTGTTTGCTATTTGTATGTCTTCTTTTGAGAAATGTCTGTTCGTATCTTTTGCCCATCTTTTGATGGAATTATTAGTATTTTTCCTATATAGTTGTTTGCGTTCTTTATATATTCTGGTTATTAATCCCTTGTCAGATGGGTAGTTTACAAATATTTTCTCCCATTTGTGGGCTGTCTCTTCACTTTGTTGATCGTTTACTTTGCTATGCAGAAGCTTTTTAACTTCATGTCTGTTTATCTTATAATGTATGTAGTTCAGATTATGCTGTATAGAAAACTTTAAAAAAATTTGTCACCTTCAGTTCTTTTCTTAAAACATTTTTATTGAGCTACGATTAATATACAATAAACTACACACACTTAAAGTGTACAATTTGATAAGTGTTAACATATAGATAAAACCCGTGAAACCATCAGTACCATCAAGGTAATGGACATGTCCCTCACTTCCAGAAGTTTGCATCCTATTTTTATTATCAAATGTTATCCCGTGAGTATTTTTCCACATTATCAATGTATCTTACTGAGCATCTTTAGGGCCAGGGGGTCTGCTGTGGCCCATACAAGTGCCCTAGTTTGGAAGGACTTTTGCCTTTGTAAACAATGCTGTGAGGATGCCCAGGGCTGGAGTCGTGTGGCTAGAGTGTTTGAACTGCAGTCACTTTTAAGACTGTTGCCAGATTACTTCTTCAAAGGATCAAGTAGGTTCTCCCTCCCTGCAGTGAGGCACGGTTGTCCCTGTCTCTCACCCCCTTATCAGCCTTAGCTGTTCTGTCTTTTACGACTTCTGCTCTTTAGGCAGGTCCAAAAGGCAGCATCATTACCTGTTCTATTTAAGCAATTGTGGTGGTCAGAAAGTGCCTGCTTGCAGAGAGTTCCTGCCCACCCCCACCCCATACTCAGTCCTGGCCTGTTCTCAGAGCCATCTGATCCCTACCTCATGTGATACCAGAGATGGTCCTGCTGCTGCTGCTGCTGCTGCTGCTGTGGCCGCCAGGAGAGACAGCAGGTGGTAGGGCCGTCAGTCAGTGGTTGTGGGGATTCAGGGCCCTGAACTGGGACCTAGGAGATCCAAAAAGGTCAGGGAAGTTGCTGGTCTTGGCCAAATGGGCCGTGCTGTAGGCACTCAGTGGTGGCTGTCTCAGGCCGACTGCCCACAGATATGTGCAGTCTGCTCTCAGGATCAGGCACACGACTTTGGGGGTCAGGTACAAGAGTAGCCGCTCCAAGTGTGGGCTTGTTAAGAACTGTTTTCTTTTGAGGCAGGGTCTCGCTATGTCCCAGTCATAGCTCACTGCAACCTCAAAGTTCCAGGCTCAAGGAATCCTCCCACCTCAGCCTCCCACATAGCTGGGACCACAAGCACATGCCACACACCCAGCTAAATTTTTTTTTTTTTTAAGAGGCAGGGTCTTACTGTGTCACCCAGGCTGGTCTCAAACCCCTGGGCTCAAGTGATTCTCCCACCTCAGCCTCCCAAAGTGCTGAGACTACAGGTGTGAGCCACCATGGTTGGCCTGTAACTGCTTTTGAGAAAGGCTCCTTTATCCTTGGTCCACTGGGGTATTCAGAGATGGGGTTGGCTTTAGCCTTCTATGCTACTAGCTGAGCACCCCGACTGCATAGCCACCACCTGGCCTTGGCCTGGGACAGAGCAGCAGTGGGGAGGGGCCTTTGTGCATCTCTGCTCCTACAGCTCAGGGCTGGGAGTGGCTTACACTGGGGGAATATGTGATCCCTGAGCCTGGGTAGTGGCTACTTTGTCAGGGTGCTTTGTGCCACCTTCGTCCCCTTCCAGAGCTTTCTGTCTGTGTGGATGAGTAGGGTAGGAACTGGCATGAAAGGTGGAAGAGCAGGTGGTGGCAGCCTGTGGGCAGCCAGGTGTGTAATGGGCCTCTGTTCTGCCTGAGTCCTGCTGGTTACCACCACCTCACTCCCTGCTATTCTTAGCAGCTGAGCTCAGGACAGCACTGACTGGCATTAGACAGTACCCTTTTCCCTCTAGGCCTGTGTGTTGAGAGGATGAGGGGGCCACCCAGACAGATTTTTCCCAACTCCTTTGGCTCGGGTAGGTGGGCCATGTGCTCTGCTGACCATTTATGGACTGGCGGGTACAGGACAGAGCCATCCAGCAGCTCAGAGGGCTGAGCCTTTCATACTTCCAGGACATGTCCCATTCAACACAGACTCCCCTGGCTGGGTGGTGGCGAGACTGGAATCTGCCCCAAAGGAACCACAGGCCTAGGGGCAAGGGTTGGACTAGGTGGCCTTGGTACTGACCACTTTGGGAACCAGCATTTCTCCCATCCTTCTTCTTCCAGACATCATCAGCCCAGCCACCTTTGAGAGCGGACAGGTTATGTGGTATGCAGACAGCACTTGTTATTCCCTGGGCTCTTCACAGCATCTCTAACATAAGTCATTATTCTGTTTTTACAGATGAAGGAATTAAGACTTAGAGAGGGCTACTTTTTTTTTTGAGACGGAGTCTTGCTCTGTCACCCAGACTAGAGTGCAGTGGTGCGATCATGGCTCACTGCAACCTCCGCCTCCCAGGTTCAAGCAATTCTCCTGCCTCCGCCTCCCAAGTAGCTGGTATTACAGGCACATGCCACCACGCCCAGCTACTTTTTGTATTTTTAGTAGAGTCGCGATTTCACCATGTTGGCCAGGCTGGTCTTGAACTACTGACCTCATGATCTGCCCGCCTCAGCCTCCCAAAGTGCTGGGATTACAGGCGTGAGCCACCGCACCCGGCCACATACTTTTTTTTTTTTTTTTTTTTGAGACAGAGTCTTACTCTTGTTGCCCGGGCTGAAGTACAATGACACGATCTCGGCTTACTACAACCTCTGCCCCACCAAGGTTCAAGCGATTCTCCTGCCTCTGCCTCCCGAGTAGCTGGGATTATACGAATGTGCCACCACACCCAGCTAATTTTTGTGTTTTTAGTAGGGATGGGGTTTCACCATGTGGCCAGGCTCGTCCCGAACTCCTGACCTCAGGTGATCTGCCCGCCTCGGCCTCCCAAAGTGCTGGGATTACGGGCATGGGCCACCACACCCGGTCTGGACTGGTTATACTTTTGAGTTTAGTGGAGAATTCAGCCTTCTGACCTCCTGCATGCCAGAGTCTAGGACTAGGCACAGCCTTTTTTCTGGAGTCTAGGCAGCCCCCCTGTGAGCTCAGGGGAATGGATGGGATTTAGTGTCATCTGGCTGATTTCAAGGACTTACTTTTAGTTAGTAATCTTTTCTTTTCTTTATGGCTCACTGCAGCCTTGGCCTCCTGGTCTGAAGCAATCCTCCTACCTCAGGTCCTGTGCAGTTGGGACCACGGGTCCATGCCACCAGGCTTGCTGATTTTTTTATTTCTCGTAGAGTCGAGTTCTCACTTTGTTGCCCAGACGGGTCTAGAATTCCTGTGCCCCAGTGATCCTCCTGCCTTGGCCTCCCAAGGTGCTGGGATTACAGGCATGAGAAACTACACCTGGTTTAATAATCTTTTCTTAATATCATCAAATAGCCAGCGTCTAAATTTTCCATATGTCTCATAAATGCCACAGATAGGCCAGGTGCAGTGGCTCACACCTATAATCCCAGTACTTCGGGAGGCCAAGGCGGGCAGATCATCTGAGGTCTGGAGTTCGGGACCAGCCTGGCCAACATGGTGAAACCCCCATCTCTACTAAAAATACAAAAATTATCCAGGTGTGGTGACACATGCCTGTAATCCCAGCTACTGGGGAGGCTGAGGCACCAGACTCGCTTGAACCCAGGAGGCAGAGGTTTCAGTGAGTCGAGATCACACCACTGCACTCCAGCCTGGGTGACAGAGTGAAACTCTGTCTCAAAATAAACAAATAAATAAAAAGTCACAGATAGTCTTGCTTTAGTTTTTTCTTTACAATTTGTTTGAATCCGGATCCATAGACATTCACAAAGTGCGAATGGTTGCTTTGTTTTGTTTGTTTGTTTGTTTGTTTGTTTGAGATGGAGTCTCGCTTTGTTGCCCAGGCTGGAGTGCAGTGGCAGGATCTTGGCTCACTACAACCTCTGCCTCCTGGGTTCAGCAATTCTATGGCTTCAGCCTCTTGAGTAGCTGGGATTACAGGAGTGCGCCACCACGCCCAGCTAACTTTTGTATTTTTAGTAGACATGGGAGCTTCACCATGTTGGCCAGGCTGGTCTTGACCTCAGGTGAGCCACCTACCTTGGTCTCCCAAAGTGCTGGGATTACAAGAGTGAGCCACCGTGCCCGGCCCATGCTTTGTCTTTGAAGTCCTTTTTAACTTATTTGTTCAGGAAACTGGGCTAGTTGTCCTTGGAGATTCTCATGGTCTGGATTTTGCTGGTTGCATCCTTATGGTGTCAATTAACATGTTTCTTTATCCCATGTATTTCCTGTAAATTGGATGTTGGATGTAAAGCTAGGTCAGATTCAGGCTCTTCTGCTTGCTTTTTCGTTTGATCAAGACTCCATAAGTAGAATGTGTTCTTCCATCAGGATGTCCCTATGCCAGCTGTCTCTCTTTTCAAGATCCAACCCACTCATTAGAGGCTGCAAAACTGTGAGCTTCTCATTTAGTCACTCCTGTGTATATTAATTAGAATTCTATAATGAGGCACTTTCCCTCCTTACTATTGGATAACCAGTGGTACAGTTCATTCAGGAAAGGAAAGGAAAGGATTTAACCTGTATTATGGACTTAAAATACTTTTTTTTTGAGCCAGTCTCTCTCTGTCGCCCAGGCTGGAGTGCAGTGGCACAATCACAACTCATGTTAGGCTTGACCTCCCAGGCTCAAGTGATCCTCCCACCTCAGCCTCCCAAATAGCTGGGACTATAAGTGTTCACCACTATACCCAGCTAATTTTTTTTTTTTTTGAGACAGGGTCTTGCTATGTCTCAAGAAATGGGCCACCACGCCTGGCCTTAAAATACATTTTAATTTTTTAAAATACAAATAATTTTTAATGTATTTTAAGGCCAGGCGTCGTGGCTCATGCCTGTAATCCCAGCACTTTGGGAGGCTGAGGCGGGTGGATCACCTGAGCTCAGGAGTTCAAGACCAACCTGGCCAGCATGGTGAATCCCCGTCTCTTCTAAAAATACAAAAATTAGCTGGGTGTTGTGACGTACATCTGTAATTCCAGTTACTCGGGAGGCTGAGGCAGGAGAATCGCTTGAACCGGAGAGGCGGACGTTGCAGTGAGCCGAGGTCAAACCAGCGCACTCCAGCCTGGGCAACAGAGCGAGACTCCATCTGAAAAAGAAACAAAAACAAAAAAAAATTTTGTAAGTAGCCTTTCAAATTTTTATATTTTACTTTTGATTAAGTCACCTATTCACATTTCAAAAGGGTACACAGTAAAATGGCTCCCTCCCACCTCTGACCCCAGATATTCCCATTCCTTCCTTGGAGGCAAGCAGCATCATCAGCTTCTTTTTCTTTTTATATATACAATTATTTTCTTTCTTTTTTTTTTTTTTTGGCCACCAAGTTACCGTAAGAAGCATTGTCAGTTTCTTTTTCTTTTTTCTTTTTTTTTTTTTTGAGATGGAGTCTCGCTGTGCTGCGAGTCTCCAGGCTGGAGTGCAGTGGCACGATCTTGGCTCACTGCAACCTCTGCCTCCCGGGTTCAAGTGATTCTCCCACCTCCGCCTCCCAAGTAGCTGGGATTACAGGAATGAGCCACCACACCCGGCTAATTTTTGTATTTTTAATAGAGGCGGGATTTCGCCATATTGGCCAGGCTGGACTTGAACTCCTGACCTCAGGTGACCCTCCCGCCTCGGCCTCCCACAGTGCTGGGATTACAGGCATGAGCCACCGTGCCTGGCCTATCAGTTTCTTAAGTGACCTTCCAGGGTTATTTTATATGAGCAAATCAGATCACACATGCACACACACACACACACACACACACACACACACTTTTTTGTATATACGCCTGGTAAAATTTCATCTTCACAGTTCTTGAAGATGCTTTTTTCACCTACTAGTTATAACTGGGAGGTGGCTCTGGATCAGGCCAGGAAGAACTTCTCCACTGGTTTTTCTTGGCCACAGTTCTCCACTTAAAGGATGTACCATCATGTACTTAGTAGCAGTCCCCTTTTGATAGACATTTAGGTTGTCACCAGGATATCTTACATGAGCAATGCTGCAGTGAACCTCCTTGTCCACAAGCCATCTCCTCTGTGCTGGGGTATATCTGTAGGATCCATTCTTAGAGGAGGAGCCGGTGGGGAAGGTCCTATGCCTGCATAGTTTTCGAAGATCTCCCTCAGTGCCCTCCATTGTGATTGTACTCACCCTCCCACCAGCTGTGTAGGGGAAGGCCTGTTGCCCCAGAGCCTCTCTTTGTGTATTATGTGTCCCTTTTTTTTTTCCCAATCTGATAGTGGACAAATGGCATCCCAGTGTAGGGTTGTTTTTTTTTTCTTCTTCCTCTTTAGTTTTTGAGATGGACTCTCACTATGTTTCCCATGCTGGCCTCAAATTCCTGGGCTCAAGCATTCCTGCCTCAGCTTCCCGCATAGCTGGGACTGCAGGTGCATGCCACCGCACCCAGCCCAGTGTAGTTTTATTTATTTTTTATTTATTTATTTTTTTGAGACGCAGTCTGGCTGTGTCGCCCAGACTGGAGTGCAGTGGCATGATCTCAGCTTACTGCAACCTCCTCCCGCTAGGTTCAAGCAATTCTCCTGCCTCAGCCTCCCAAGTAGCTAGGAATACAGGAGTGCACCACCACACCTGGCTAATTTTTTGTATTTTTGGTAGAGATGGGGTTTCACCATGTTGGCCAGGCTGGTCTCAAACTCCTGACCTCAGGTGATCTGCCCGCCTCGGCCTCCCAAAGTGCTGGGATTATAGGTGTGGGCCGCCATACCCAGCCCCAGACTAGTTTTAATTTGTAGTTGGGAGTGAGCCCCATCCCATCCCCATCCTGTGTTCTCTTCCCAAGGGACCCGCTGCAGCTGGGAGGGGAGCTGTCCAGGAGGCCGGCCTGGGAATGAGCACAGGCCTGCGGCTGGCAGAGAGCCGGGTCGAGCCAGCCCTGGAGAAGCAGGCCCAGCTGGAGGAGCAGCTGCGGGACAAGGTGCTCCACGAGAAGGACCTGTCCCAGCAGCAGATGCAAAGCGACCTGGACAAGGCTGACCTCAGTGCCAGGAGGGTCCCTGGTGGGTGCTGCATGAGGCAGGCGTCACTGCAGAAGGTAAAACTGGAGAGTTGGGGAGAAGGGAGCATCTGTTCACTAGGAGCAGGGCCTTCCTCTGTGAGCTCAGCCAGCCTTCCCAGGCACCCCACTGAGGTTCCGAAGGCAGTTGCCCAGTGTTTATCATAAACAGCTTAGCCTCCTATGACAGAACTTGTGGCCGGGTGCTGTGGCTCACACCTGTAATCCCAGCACTTTGGGAGGCCAAGGTGGGAGATTACCTGAGGTCAGGAGCTCAAGACCAGCCTGCCCAATAGGCGAAACCCTGTCTCTACTAAAAATACAAAACTTAGTCGGGTGTGGTGGTGTGTGCCTCTAATCCCAGATACGAGGGAGGCTGAGACAGGAGAATCGCTTGAACCCAGGATGTGGAGGTTGCAGTGAGCCAAGATCACATCACTGTATTCCGGCCTGGACGACACAGCGAAACTCTGTCTCAAAAGAAAACCACAAAAAAACAACTTGTGCCCCTTACTCCTGCCACCTGGATAAGTCCTCCAGTGCTTTCCCATGAGATAAAGCTGGTGGGAACCTCATTCCCATTTCACAGATGAGAAGTGTGAGGTCTGGAGAGGAGCCACAACTTGTTTAAGGTCACACAGCCAGGGAGGTGGATGTTAGGGTCCCTGCCTCGGGTTTGGAGAAGCATGGTGGACACAGAGCTAGTGGATTTGAGAGGCTGGGGTGGTCCCGTATTCACCTCTGTTGCTCCCCCAACTCCAGAGTGACAGAGCTGGGCCTGGCAGTGAAGCGTCTTCAGAAGCAGAATCTGGAGAAGGATCAGGTCGACAAGGACCTCACCGAGAAGCTTGAGGCCCTGGTGAGCTTCAGCTGCCCCTGAGATGGGGCAGGGTGGGATGGGGTACCGGCCAGATCCATGGACACAGGCTTAGGGCTGGGCTGCCTGGGCCACCCCCAGCATCCCACTCACACTCAGGTTCAGCCCACACAGGTGTGCAGGCTTTGTGGGAAGCACACTCACTTCCTCCATCCCATTTCTCCCTCCCAGCAGCCCTGTAGAGTAATCCTAATGACACGGATGGGAAACTGAGGCCCAAGAGGGGAAATGCTTGTCCAGTCTCAGAGCCAGTAAGCAGGAGAGTTGGGACTTGAACTCCCATCCACGCTCTCCAGGTCCAGATGCTGCCTTTGGAATCCCAACTGTCCACCCCCACCAGTGGGACACTCACTCCCCCAGGGTCCAGCCTGGTTTAGTCACCCCTCTGTGTGGGGCCTGGCCTGGGTTCTAGGTCCAGCTCTCCTGCAATCGACTGTGTGACCTGGGGCAGAACCCAGCTCTTCTCTGGGCCTGGTCTGTTCATTGAGGGCCTCGGGCCTGCTGTGGGGTCTACCAGGTGGCTGGCCTATGGACGTGGCTTCAGAGGCCACCTGATCAGTGGTGGGCCAGGGAGGGAGGGAAAGGGGAGGTTTCAGGTAAGACAGAACCCCGACCACTCTTTGTCTCCCTCACCGCACTCCAGGAATCCCTGCGGCTACAGGAGCAGGCGGCCCTGGAGACAGAGGACGGAGAGGGGCTACAGCGGAGCCTAAGGGACCTGGCACAGGTGTGAGCCCAGAAAGGCGGGAAGACAGGGCCCTGCCAGGCAGTCCTGGGCTCCCCCGCCTCGCCTTTCGGTGGCTTCGGATTGAACTGCAGATGGGTGGGGCCCTGGGACCCAGGCTGTAGCTGCTCAGCACCCCTGCTAGCTCACCCGGCCTCTGCCCTGGGGAGCCCCCAGTCTCAGAGGGGAGGCACGGCCCTCTCGGAGCCCACCTGTGAGCAATGCCAAATGATGTCTTCGCAATAAATGGGATGCCTCAGCGGCGAGCTGAGGACTGAGCTAGTGGAGGAGGTGAAATCAGAAGGCTTCTTGTAAGCGGGAGCATTTGGGATGAGGCGGCCCCCAGCCTCCCCTGGTCGTTTTTGCCAGCTAACCCCGAAGTTCCTAACTCTGCGGCCTCCTGCTTCCCTCCCTTACCCTCAGGCCGTCCTGTCTGACGCTGAGAGCGGCAGCCTGCGTCCAACAGCGTCCGACCGCAGCCTGCGGGGGCTCTCGGGCCAGCGGACCCCGTCTCCACCGCGGCGCTCCTCGCCGGGCCGAGGCCGTTCGCCCCGCAGAGGCCCCTCCCCGGCCTGCTCAGACGACTCCACGCTCGCTTGCCCTGATTCTCTCCGCCCTGCACTTTTGCCAGCTGAAGGTCCAGGTAGGAAGGGGCTTGAGTTTTCTGGGCGCAGCCAGAGGCCCAGGGGGAGGGGCTCGCGCCCTCCAGGTCGGGGTGGGGGCGTGTCTGGGGGAGGAGTCTGAGCGCCCTGGGGTGCAGCCAGAGCCCTGAGAAATAGTGTCTGAGGGTGTCAGGACCCCCAAGGAGGTGGCCGAGGGCTCTGCGCTGAAGCCAGCCCAGAAGTGGGGGTGCTTGGGCAGCTGGGGGTGGGTGCTTGGGCAGCCGGTGGAGGGAGGAGGCTGCGGCAGTGTTAGGGTCCTGGTAGAGAGGGAGACAGGTCCCTGGTCATACAGAGCCAGGACCCTGGGAAAAGGTCTAGCAAGGGAAATCACAGCCTAGGATGAGAGCTTGGGAACTAGGGGCAGAGCCAGGGTAGGGAGGAGTGTGAGAGTGGAACCAGGATGCAAGGGGGAGGAGCCTCGGAGCCCTGGGGGTGGGATCAGAACCCAGGAGACGAGTGTGCCTGGGAGTTTGTCTGGCATCCCGGGGGCTTTGATAGGAGTTGTCCGGGACCCCAGGGAGATGAGGGTTCAGAGGGTGGTGAGGGCACATAGGAGGGGAGTGGAAGCCTGGCTCTCAGGCCTAGGCCCCTATCCTGCCCCAGGGCAGGTCCAGGCCCTGGACCCCGCCTAGCGTAGGCTAGTGTGTATCCCTGGAACCAGAAGAGAGTAGGTGGGCTCTGGAGGCCTCAAAGGACCCCCGCTAGACTCTGTGATCCCCACGCCCCAGAACATGCGTGGGCGCTATGAGGCAAGCCAGGACCTGCTGGGCACCCTGCGGAAGCAGCTTAGCGACAGCGAGAGTGAGCGGCGGGCCCTAGAGGAACACCTGCGTGGCGCCGTCGGTCTTGTCCCGCAGGCACTGGCCAACATGGCGAAACCCCATCTCTACTAAAAATAAAAAAAATTGCCCAGGCACAGTGGCTAACGCCTGTAATCCCAGCACTTTGGGAGGCCGAGGCGTGCAGATCACTTGAGGTCAGGAATTTGAGACCAGCCTGGCCAACATGGTGAAACCCCACTTCTAAATAAAAATGCAAAAATTAGCTGGGCGTGGTGATAGGCGCTTGTAATCCCAGCTACTCGGGAGGCTGAGGCAGGAGAATCGCTTGAACTCTGGAGGTGGAGATTGCAGCAAGCTGTGTGGAGTGCAGTGAGATTGTGTCACTGCACTCCAGCCTAGGCAAGAGTGAGACTGTGTGTAAAAACAAAAAAATTGCTGGACGCGGTGGCCCACGCCTGTAATCCCAACACTTTGGGAGGCCGAGGCGGGTGGATCACGAGGTCAGGAGATTGAGACCAACCTGGCTAACAGGGTGAAACCCCATCTGTACTAAAAATATAAAAAATTAGCCGGGCATCGTGGCGAGTGCCTGTAGTTCCGGCTACTCGGGAGGCTGAGGCAGGAGAATGGCATGAACTCGGGAGGCAGAGGTTGCAGTGAGCCGAGATGGCACCACTGCACTCCAGCCTGCGTGACAAAGCGAGACTCCGTCTCAAAAAAAAAAAAAAAAAAAAAAAAATTAGCCAGGCGTGGTGGCGGGCGCCTGTATTCCCAGATACTCGGGAGGCTGAGGCAAGAGAATGGCGTGAACCCAGAAGGCGGAGCTTGCAGTGAGGAGAGATCGTGCCACTGCACTCCAGCCTGAGCAACAGAGCGAGACTCAATCTCAAAAAAAAAAAAAAAAAAAAAAAAAAATCACGTCTTGAAGTTTTTTTGCACCTACCACCAGTGGGGAAAGTGGCAGCTCACAGCAAGTCTTTGGGGTCCTAGTTGTTCCCTTCTCCTCCCTCCCCTGCCGTGGCCACCATGTGCCTGTGTAGCAGGAAGCTGTGGGATCTGCAGACTCAGCTCTATCAGGCTTCCCAGAATTGAGGGGCATGGGGTGTTCTAGGGGACATTTCCTGGTCACATGGCCTAGCAGAACTGGTGGCACAATTGCCTGTGTGTCCCAGGAGCCTAGCCTGGCCTCTTCTACGTGGTAGAGTGCTTAGAGATCACGCCAGCACCTCCATCCACTCTAAGTGGGCGGGCTGGGGAGAAGGAAAGCCAGGTTCTTCTGCTGGAGTGTGTGAGTGAAATGAGTCTGCTATGGGCAGGGTCAGGGAAGGCTTCCTGGAGGCAGGTGCCTTGGAAGACGGGAGGATGTAGCTCATGGCTAGAGGAGCAGCCAGCCACCTTCCCTGGAGAGAGCAGCCCCAGCATCCCCTCTGCTCCCGCTCCCCTTGTCCTGAAGGGAGAAGAGCAACCTGGCCCACAGCCTGCAGGTGGCCCAGCAGCAGGCCGAGGAGCTGCCGCAGGAGCGGGAGAAGCTGCAGGTTGCCCAGGAGGAGCTGCAGCGCCAGCGGGACCGGCTGGAGGAAGAGCAGGAAGAGGCGGTGCAGAATGGCGCACGGGTTCGCCGGGAGCTTGAGCGCAGGTTAGCAGCATCTCACCTCCCTGCCAGGACCCTTCAAATGTGCCTCAGGTCCCCTGACAGTGCCCCCATGGGGTTAGGTGACACCCACTGGGTCCTGGGCCTCCTACCGTCTGGACCCCTCTGATGTCGGGTTTTCTAACCAGACCCATTTCAGGAAACTGGGGCTCAGGGAGGTATAGTCACTTACCTGGAGTCAGAGAACTAGTTAAAAGGTAGAACTTGGATGATAATAACAAGAATAATTAAAATAACAGTAGTAATATTAGCAGTAGTATTTTAAAAATTTAGTTAGAAGAATAATAATATCCTTACTAATTTCACTAAGTGCCAGATACCATTTTAAGCAATTCAGTTCTCTCATTTAACTCCATGATAACTCTGTGACATAGAAGCTGTTATCTCCATTTTGTGGATGGTAAACTGAGGCACAGAGAAGCCATGTCACTTGCCCCAGGTCACACAGTTAGCAGAAGAGCCAGGATTTGAACCCAGACATTCTGCCTTCAGAGTTAACCTCTTCACCACTGCGCTGCTTACCTCTCAGGGACGTGATCGCTGATGATGTTTAGTAGACTGTGGTGGAGCATGTTATTCTTGTTTCTGAAGGTCCTTGGGGAGATGTGTCAGGCACTATTTTAAGCACATGTGAAGTTTGTATCCTTAAAACAGGCTGGGCACGGTGGCTCACGCCTGTAATCCCAGCACTTTGGGAGGCCGAGGCAGGCGAATCGCCTGAGGTCAGGAGTTCAAGACCAGCCTGACCAACATGGGGAAACCCCGTCTCTACTAAAACTACAAAAATTAGTCAGGTGTGGTGGTGAGCACCTGTAATCCCAGCTACTAGGGAGGCTGAGGCAGGAGAATTGCTTGAACCTGGGAGGCAGAGGTTGCAGTCAGCCAGGATCGCACCACTGTACTCCAGACTGGGCGACAGAGCAAGACTCTGTCTCAAAAAAACAAACAATGTCACGAGGCAAGTGTTACCTCATTTTGCAGATGTGAAAACGGAGGCCCAGGGTCATGGAGCTAAGCGGTAGTGGGCTTGGTTGCCCTGTGGCTCAGGCTGTTTCTCTCCAAACTCCTGCCTCAGGCCTGGTCCCCGGCCCAGCATCTTGCTGGCTACAGGAGGTTCGGGCAGGAAAGTGACATGGGCCACCCACCCACCCTTTGTCCCACAGCCATAGACAACTAGAGCAGCTGGAAGGGAAGCGCTCAGTCCTGGCCAAGGAGCTGGTGGAGGTGAGGGAGGCGCTGAGCCGCGCCACGCTGCAACGGGACATGCTGCAGGCCGAGAAGACCGAGGTGGCCGAGGCGCTGACCAAGGTGGGTCCCTGTCTGCTGCACAACCACAAACCTACCTCTGACCCCCAGCCCCAAGCCTTGTCACTCTGGCACAGACTGGTCCCAGTGTCAGGCAGACCTCTGAGCCTGGTCACAGACTGACCCCTTCCTTCTGGATACAGGCTGATCTTTGTCACAGGCCACAGACCTCTGGACCTCTGGTCCCAGCCATAAGTGGACTGACCTCTCTTTATGGCTGTATCCCTGCTGTTCTGGATGCTCCTGGGGGCAGTGCCTATAGCTCAGGGTCATCCTGAGATTCAGCTCCTGGAGTCTGAGAGTTGTGGCCACAGCGCAGAGGGTCCTTGGCGGGGGGGCCTGCGCTGTCCGCTGCAGCCTGGGCTCTGAGCAGTGCTATCCCTAGACCTTACTCAGGGGATCCTCTGAACTCTGGCCCTGCCCTGCAGCTTGAGCTATTTTTGCACAGCTTTGCGGTGCATGGCTTTTAAATGGCTCCATAAGCAGCAGGCTTTCTGCGGTGATTTTTTTTTCCATCTCACACCGTATCCCCTCCTTGTCTCCCCTCCCCTGTCTCCGAGGGTCCATCTCTCTGGGTCTCTTCTTGTCTCTCCTCACCTCCTCCCGACCTTTCTGCCCTTCCTCATCTCTTGGGGCCTGACCCTGCAGGCTGAGGCTGGCCGCATGGAGCTCGAGCTCTCCGTGACCAAGCTGAGGGCAGAGGAGGCCTCCCTGCAGGACTCCCTGTCCAAGCTGAGCGCCCTCAACGAGAGCCTTGCTCAGGACAAGTTGGATCTGAACTGCCTTGTCACCCAGGTACACTGTGCACCTGCGGGCCCACCTACCTTGCCCACCCGTCCTCCCCACTCAGTGAGGCACCCTGGGCCCGGCCCTGCACCGGTCTTGGCCCCTGCCTCCCTTTCTGTCTCTGGTTCTCTGTCTATCTCCGTCTGTCTGTCTGTCCTCTCTAGGAGTCAAAGCACCGACGCTCCATGGGCCCTCCTCATCTCCCCATCCCCAGTGTCCCACACACCCAAGGGGACTGTCCCTCATTCCCTGGGAGCCTCCCCTGGGCTATCGTGGCTGGTGGGTGGGTGGAGGAGGCGTCCTGGTCCTGGGAGGGACGCCCTGCTCATGAGGCCCCACTCCTTTCCGGCCCACAGCTGGAGGAAGAAAAGGCCACGCTGCAGGGCCGGCAGCGGCAGGCGGAGCAGGAGGCCACAGTGGCGCCGGCAGAGCAGGAGTGGCTGGAGGAGCTGTGGTTGGAGCAGGAGGTGGCACGGCAGGGCCTGGAGGGCTCCCTATGAGTGGCGGAGCAGGCCCAGGAGGCGCTGGAGCAACAGCTCCCCACACTGCACCATGAGCTCAGTTGGCTGCAGGAGCAGCTAGCACAGGTAGGCCAAACTGTGTGTGGGGTGGTCTGGAGAGCATGTGGGGCAGGCCAGGCTCGCAGCCTCCTGCATCCAGTCCTGGGTTAAGTCACAGGCACTGGAGCCTGCTTCTGGGTTAAATCCAGTCCCACTTCTCCTAGCTGGGGACCTTGGACAAGCTGCCCAACCTCCCATACCTCAGTTGCCCCATTTATAACATGGGGATAGCCGGGCGCAGTGGCTCACGCCTATAATCCCAGCAGTTGGGGAAGCCGAGGCGGGTGGATCACCTGAGGTCCGGAGATCAAGACCATCCTGGCTAACACGGTGAAACCCTATCTCTACAAAAAATTAGCTGGGTGTGGTGGCACGCGACTGTAGTCCCAGCTACTCAGGAGGCTGAGGCAGGAGAATCGCTTGAACCCAGGAGGCAGAGGTTGCAGTGAGCCAAGATCGTGCCACTGCACTGCAGCCTGGGCAACAGAGCAAGACTCCGTCTCAATAATAATAATAATAATGATACAGATTAATAATAGGTGGAGACTTTTTAGAATTGGAATCTTAGACTTTTGGGAACATCACATCTCGAAGAGACCTTAATGTTTCAGGGATCCAGGGACCTTCATGCAAGGTCCATCCTGGAGGGCCTGGGTTTCTGGGAGGTGCCTCTAGAGGATGGGGTAGGGAGTGCAGGAAGCAGGGTGCAAGTCTCCACCTTGAGGCCTGCTGAGCAGCTGCATTTGGGTCTGGTTTATATATTCAGCTTCTCTGCTTAGAGTAATACAAGGGTTCTGTTACTTCCAAAGCTGAGTGAGGACCCTCATTTTTCTTTTCTTTTTTTTTTGACAGTCTTGCTCTGTTGCCCAGGCTGGAGTGCAGTGGCACGATCTGGGCTCACTGCAACCTCTGCCTCCGGGGTTTAAGCTGTTCGCCTGCCTCAGCGTCCCAAGTAGCAGGGACTACAGGCGTGCACCACCATGCCCGGCTAATTTTTGTATTTTTAGTAGAGACAGGGTTTCACCACGTTGGCCAGGCTGGTCTTGAACTCTTGACCTCAAGTGATCCACCTGCCAAAGTGCTGGGATTATAGGCGTGAGCCACCGTGTCCGGCCGGGCCCTGGTTTTTGTACACACGTGCATTGCAGATCTAGAGAAGGTCATGACTTGCCCAAGTACATATAGCACATCAGGGCAGACCCTGGGCTCGAACCCAGGCCTTCTGCCAGGACTGGGTTAGGCCCAGAGTTGGGGTGCTGCACGATGAACAAGCTGGGGGATGCTGGGAGTGCTACTCAGTCTCTGGGTGGGAGCCAGCTCTCCTGGCAGCTGAGCAGGCGGGAGCAGGAGCTGGAGCAGGCCCGGTGGGAGGCCCAGTGACAGGTGGAGATGCTGGGGCAAGTGGCCCGGGAGAAGGAGGCGCTAGCCAAGGAGCACGCTGGCCTGGCTGTGCAGCTGGCGGCCTGCGGAGCGTGAAGGCAGGACCGTGTCAGAGGAGGCCACACACCTGCAGTAAGGCCTTGGGCTCTGCCCAACCCGCCCTGGGCGGTCCTCCTGGGGCCACGCCATGAACAGCCTCACCCAGGCACGGGACCCCAGGGGCAGTTACTAAGGAGTCTGGCTTGCCAACTCGTCCTAGCTGTGGGCTCAGGCTTCCCCAGGGAGTGTGGGCCTGGCCAGGCAGGTAGATTGGCACTTGGCCCATGCCTGGCCACTCCCTGAGATCCACAGTTTCCTGGGGCCAGGGAGGCTGAGTCCCAGGGCCTCACGCACTGTATGTGCTGCAGCTTGGAGAAGGAAGCCCTGGAGGGCAGCCTGTTTGAGGTGCAATGGCAGCTGGCCCAGCTTGAGGCCCGCCGGGAGCAGCTGGAAGCCGAGGGGCAGGCCCTGCTGCTGGCCAAGGAGACCCTGACTGGTACGAGTGGCTGGGGACTTGGGGGGAACACCAGGTTCCAGCCCAGACTGCAACCTCCCAATGTCTGTAGTCTCACAGAAGTTGGGAGCACTGGAGTAGGAGTGTGGCTGGCCTGGGTTCCAGTCCTGTGCCACCACTTAGATCTCACCTTCCCTTGAGCAAGCCCCTTTCCTCTCTGGGCTGCAGATTCCTCAGCTGATTATTGGAGGTGGCAATGCCCACCTTCTAAGCCTGTTGCCAGGATGACATGGGAAAAGCGTGTAAGGCCGTGGCACGGTGCCTGGCTGAGTCAACAGTAACTGCTGTTCATCGGTCATCAGGCCTGTTAGTCTGAGTTCTCTGTGGTTTTCAGATGACTCTCTTGGCCCCAGAATCCGAGCCCCACTTCCCTGCACCGTTCCCCATCGAATCTCTGAACTCAGGGCTTCTTTCTGCTCATCTAACATTAACTAAGCACCTACTTGGGTCATGGAAATTAATTTTCCTGTCCATGTACACCTGAGCCAGACAGAACCAGGAAGGGAAATGCTGGTGGGTTTCCAACCCGGGAGATGGTTTTTAGATGATGGCTATACCATTTCCATTCCCTGTAGTCGTTTCCATTAATGCTGATAGTTAACGCTTGACAGGTATGTTCATGTCAGTCATTAAAGGAGATGCTTTATGTGTAGCTGTGCAGCTGTGGGAAGTTGCTGCTGATCTCCTCTGATCCTCCATTTCATCATCTGTTAAACGGGGATGAGGATAAACTACATAGGCATGTTATGAAGACAAAATGAGGTTATGTCTAAAATACTTAGCTGGGTGCTTGACGCATAGTAAGTGCTGAGTCAGTAATAGGGTTTTTGTTTGTTTGTTTGTTTTTGTTTGTTTGTTTTGAGATGGAGTTTCACTCTTGTTGCCCAGGCTGGAGTGCAATGGCGCGATTTTGGCTCACCTCAACCTCCGCCTCCCAGGTTCAAGCGATTCTCCTGCCTCAGCCTTCCAAGTAGCTGGGATTACAGGCACGCGCCACCATGCCTGGCTAATTTTGTATTTTTAGTAGAGACGGGGTTTCACCATGTTGGTCAAGCTGGTCTCGAACTCTCGACCTCAGGTGATCTGCCCACTTCGGCCTCCCAAAGTGCTGGGATTACAGGCATGAGCCACCGCGCCCAGCCTGTTTGATTTTTTGAGACAGAGTCTCACTCTTGTCGCCCAGGTTGGAGTGCAGTGGTGCGATCTGAGCTCACTGCAACTTCTGCCTCTTGGGTTCAAGCGATTCTCCTGCCTCAGCCTCCCAAGTAGCTAGGACTACATACGTCCGCCACCATGCCCAGCTAATTGTTGTATTTTTAGTAGAGACAGGGTTTCACCGTGTTGGCCAGGCTGGTCTTGAACTCCTTACCTAAGGTGATCCACCTGCCCCAGCTTCCCAAAGTGCTGGGATTACAGGAGTGAGCCATGGCACCTGGCCTAGGGTTGTTATATGTTTGACATCCGTCCCATTTGGGAGGCCTTCTCATCAGTCATTTTATGCCTTTAATGCCATTCTAGGTAGGCAGGAAAGGGGTCAGGGCCAGTGGGCCCATGTAGCAGATAGGGAAACTGAGGCCCAGAGAGGACAAGCCACTTCTTCAAGAGGACCCAAACTGGATGCCAGACAGGCCCTCTGCCTCTGGGATTTTGCCCATATGGCTCAACTGGCCTAAGTCTGCTGGCCCAAGGAAAAATTTCAACCCAACCCTGCCCTTTCCCCCATTCCTCTCGTGCAGGGGAGTTGGCGGGCCTGCGGCAGCAAATAATAGCTACGCAGGAGAAAGCCAGTCTAGACAAGGAGCTGATGGCCCAGAAGCTGGTGCAGGCTGAGCGGGAGGCCCAGGCCTCTCTGCGGGAGCAGTGGGCAGCCCACGAGGAGGACTTACAGTGACTCCAGCGTGAAAAGGTTCAGGCAGCTGGGGAGGGGTGGGCAGAAGTCTGAGCCAGTGTTTCATCATCGTTCTTGCTCTGCCTCGGTCTGTACATCTGTGAAATGGGACTCCCTCTCTGTTGTGGAGGCCCTGGGGACAGCTGGGAGGACTGGAGGGGTGGTGGGGAGGTTGTGGTCCTTATTAGACATTCAGATACCCAGGTCCCAAATCTGGTCCAGCCCTGGTAATCCTGATGCAGAGGGTCCACAACCACATTTGGGAAATGCTGACCTAATGTACAGCAGGAAAGCACTTTCATTTGCTAAGAAGTTTCCATATGAAGGGCCACGCAGACCTGAGCATGTAGAAAGGCAAGGGGCCAGGGAAGTTACTAGAACACTGACTCTGGGGTTATATTGCCTGGGTTTGAATCTAATCTTGGTCGCTTACTGGTGATGCTACCCAAGGTGTCTGTGCCTTCATTTCCCCACTTGTAGAAATAGGGATAGGATAGTGGAAGGTATTGAGGATGAGCTGAGACCATCTGCATAGAGGGCTTAACATAGTGACTGGTACTTAGCAAATGCTCCATGAGTTATGATTGCTGGCACTGGCATGCTCTCCAGAGTGGCCCTCAGGACAGGGGCCCTCAGCCACCAAATCCTAGACAGGACTTCCTCTGACAGAGGTGCAGGCTATGACTACATGGCTCCAGGGCATGCCACTCACCCTGCAGTCCCCGTGGCCTTGGGTGGTGGTTATCACGCTTCTCCATCAGGGGGCAGTAAAGCTCTTTCCGAAAGTGCTGGGATTCCAGGCATGAGCTATGGTGAAGCTCTTAAAGAAGGGGTGGCTTGGCCGGGCGTGCTGACTCATGCCTGTAATCCCAGCACTTTGGGAGGCTGAGGTGGGCGGATCACGAGGTCAGGAGATCGAGACCATCCTAGCTAACACAGTGAAACCCTATCTCTCCTAAAATCACAAAAAATTAGCTGGGCATGGTGGCACGCGCCTGTAGTCCCAGATACTTGGGAGGGTAAGGCAGAAGAATCGCTTCAACCTGGGAGGCAGAGGTTGCAGTGAGCCAAAATCACACCACTGCACTCCAGCCTGGGTGACAGAGCGAGACTCTGTCTAAAAAAAAAAAAAAAAAAAAAGAAGTGGCAGCTCTGTTTGCTTCTCACAGAGTTGCTAGGGACAACTGCTGAGGCAGGCACCTGCCCTCGGGCTCCCCGGGTGGGCTGCTATTTGCCTGTGGGCTCTGCCTGCCCGCCTGTCCAGTCCCCAGGGATCTGAACTGTGACCTCCCCCTTGCTCTTCTTGCCCTTTGCATTGCCTGGCTTGGCCTCATTAATGTCCCCAAATCTGTGTTCTTCTCTCCAGCTCCTCTGGCAACCCCTGACCCCCTTCATTCGTCACAGCCAGTCCTAACTCTCCTCCATCCCAACCCCAATCCCTCTTCCACAGCTGTCGGAACATCCCCTAAGCTAAAAATCAGATTGCTCCTTGTCACCTTGGCTCGAGTCCTCTCTCCCACTCCCCTCACTGTCCTTAGAATCCCCATGGCCCACACGGCCTGTCCTGGCCCAGCCACTGCCTGGGGCTCTGGCCCTGTGACTCACCGCGCCCTGTTTCCCTCTGCACCCTGCATCCTGTAGTCCTTTCCAGGGGCTGTGCTCTTGGCCTGGGGTGGTCTTTTCTCTCCTTACCTGGCTGACAGTTACTTGTCCCTCCGCAGAGGATCATGTTCGGACCTCCAGGCCAGCCCACTGCTGCTCCTTGGCACTTTCACGGCCCTGGCGTGTCCCCGTCATAGCCCTTATCAGTCCCTTGTATTTACCTGGTCACCCTCCATCTCTGAGGGTATGGGGGCCAGATGGCTCTTGCTGCCCTGATGTTTTGGGGGGTCTGCCTGGGCCCCTCCTGGTGTGTCACACGCGTCCGGTCCTGGCCCCCTAGGAGGCAGCATGGCGGGAGCTGGAGGCCGAGCGGGCCCAGCTGCAGAGTCAGCTGCAGCGTGAGCAGGAGGAGCTGCTGGCCCGGCGGAAGGCTGAGAAGGAACAGCTGAGTGAGGAGATTGCTGCCCTGCAGCAGGAGCATGACGAGGGCCTCCTCCTGGCCGAGAGCGAGAAGCAGCAGGTTCGTGAGCCCTGGCGTGGCCTCTGCTGCTCTCTGAGCTGCTCCAGTTCTGGGGCCGGGCCCTGCTCTGCCACTTGGCAGCTAGGAGCCCTGGGGCAGGCCACTGCCCTCTTGGGGGCCTCAGTTTCCTTACCTGCAGGAGGGGAGGATTAGAAGGGGGTTCGTGAGGCTTTGCTGTGCTCCATGCCTGGCACACAGTGAGCACTTACTGAGTGACAGTGACAGTCGTGACACCAGGAAAGCTGTTCCATATTCTCCCATGCCTCGTCCCACCCCACGCTGGGCATGGATCCTCATGGCTGCCTTCTGAGCAGTCCCCACGATGCCCACAGGCATCAGCTGACGTGTCCCCCCAAATAACAAATCCCTAACTTTCCTATAATGTAACGGAGACAGGGCAGACTGTGCCCATCTCCTCTCCTCACCAGCTGTGTACCTGGGCGAGTCACTTTACCTCCTTGAGCCTCAGTTTCCTCATCTGTAAGATGGGTAGAAAGAAAGACTCTGCAGTCAGGGTGCTGTGGCGGGTTAGTGAGCTCTATGAGTGGTATCCACGTCCAGGATTCTTGTGACTGCCGTTGTGCCCTTTTCCAGGGCTGCATGTCTGCCCTGGGTCCACCTGCAGTGGCACACTCAGGCCTCTAAGCCCCCAGTGGGCACATTTCCTAGGCAGCAAGAAGCCTGAGCATGCCCCCAGGACCAGCCCATCCCCCAAGCCCTTTGTCCCCTGCCTCTGCCCAGGCCTTGTCTCTGAAGGAGTCTGAGAAGATGGCGCTGTCAGAGAAGTTGATGGGTACACGGCACAGCCTGGCCACCATCTCCCTGGAGATGGAGCGGCAGAAACCAGATGCCCAGAGCCGGCAGGAGCAGGACCGGGTAGGCCTGCCGTCGTAGGGAGGCTTGCGGAGCAGGAGCGCCCTCTCTCCACCGAGCTATCCCGCGGTTTCCAGCATCCCATCTGGCGGACTCCTCTTCCTCTCTCTTCTCCTACTCTGGGTCTTCTATCCTGGTGTTCCTTGAATGCCTATCTTCCTTTTGTGCCTCGGAACCTCTCACGCCTGCCACAAGTTACTCTTTTCCTTGGTAGTTCTGAACTTTAAATAAGGTAATGCCTGTAAGAATGCCATAAATGCTCAATAATTGTCATCTGTTATTATTTTCATCAGTAACATCATCTGAATCATCAGTATTGTCTGCTTTTAACAGCTGCATTTTTCATTGTCCAAATATAGTCACATACATTTGACCATTTTATAATTATTGAATAATAAATTCGTTCTGCTATTTTACAATGAAAAATAATGCTGCAGAGAGCATTTTTGCACATGTATCGTGGCAGATGTAGGCCAGAGGCTCTTCTTTTATCCATCCTATGGCCAACCTATGAATGTATACACGTTTAATGAGATTTTGCCAGCAATCAAAGCCTTCAGGGAAAATGTCCCTAGCTCTTTACTACATCAGATCAAGGACTCTGGATAATTGGCATAACATCCTGGAATAGCTGAAACAGAGATATTATTCTCTGCTGTCCTCTGTTGTCTTTGTCTTTTCACGTCTTAATAAAAGTGCTGGTGACAAGAGTGTAACTATGTCAGTGTTCTCCTGCTGTCCTTGCCTGTGTGGGTCTTCTCCCAAACCCGACTTTCCTCCAGCGGCTTCACTGAAAAAGAGGAGGGGGCTGTGGGGGGTGGGTCGGGGAGCAGAGGAGGAAATAAACTGAATAGGGAGGAAGCTTCTCACAGGCCCGGAGAGGGTAAGGAAGGGAGTCAAAGACAGAATTTTCTTCAGCAAACAGTAAAAGGGGAAATCTGGGGATGCTAAGAGTTTTTAAACCCTTTGCTCCATCACATAAGTAATCCATGATTTTCTGTTCCACAAATCAGGACTCCTACTCCTCCCTCCCTCCCCATCCCCAATCCTGATTCCTGTTTACAAAGAATGTTGAAAAACAAGGAATTATGTATAACAGTTCCCAGTTTGCTCAGGAAATTCTCAGATTATAAAGAGACATTACAAATGAACAAGTGAAGAGAAGAACCTTGGTGGTTCCAACATAGTATGGCCATTGTTTTATACTCAAAATATAGAAAGACAACCTCAGAATAAGAAAACTTTTGGAATTGAATAAATCAAGTTTATCATTAAAATGCAAAGAAAAAAACTCTCCAAATGTTGCTGATCTTCTGTTTTAAACTACTGTTAGACCGGAGAAGCGGAGAGCAGGGGAATCCGCCAAAGAGTTTTGGATGAAAATTAATCAGCCCTGTCTACCGTAGTCACACCCCACTGCCCTTGAGACCCAATCCTTCGGAAGGAGTGTCCAAGAGGTATAAAGCAAAACGAAAAAACAGTTCGCAAATTCCAGAGTTCGTTTTCTCTCATTAAAAATATAAATATCAGGCTAACACATGTTGACACACAATAACAGGGACACAGAATCCCTCCTGGAAGACCGACGGGCCCACGGACCCCACGGGTGCCACGGTGGTGGACGAGGTTAAGTAACTTGGTTCAGGGTGTCTGGGCACACCTCTGCGTGAGACTCTGTCTCTGCGGCTCCTCTCATCTCTACGCCGATTCCTCCCCACAATCCTCCCTTTTCCTTGGGCCCCCGACGCCTCTCCGACCAACAGTCTCCCCAGCCCCGCAGCTTCTCTCTTTCAGACCTTTACTTCTTGATCCTCACTCCATAGTGAGATGTGGCCTTTCAGCAAATAAATTGTGCTCAGGGAGACTGAAAGAAAGGGGTAAACTAGGATTAGTGCTGCAGGGTCAGAGCTAATGACACAAGCTTCTCTCCTCAGGCCTATTCATTTGAGATGCATCTCAGGCACTTAGGCACAGCAGTGCTAAGTTAGTACCAATTATATACATGCACACATAAATATATAAAAGCATATAAATATTACATATGTAAATATAAATTGTACCAATAAAATCGACATCAAGCTTGTTTTTAATCATTCACTCAAAATACATTGAACAGCTACTGTGCAAAGTCTTGGGACTGCTTAGAAACTTAAGACAAAAATATTGGGCCTGTAGTCCCAGGTGAAGCCTAGGCAGGAGGATGGCTTGAATGAAGAAGTCCAAGTCCAGCCTGGGCAGCATAGTGAGACTCAGTCTTTTTTTTTTTTTTCTCTGAGATGGAGTCTCACTCTGTCGGCCAGGCTGGAGTGCAGTGGCACAATTTTGGCTCACTGCAACCTCCACCTCCCAGGTTCAAGCGATTCTCCTGCCTTAGCCTCCTGAGTAACTGGGATTACAGGCACGTGCCACCACACCTGGCTAATTTTGTATTTTTAGTAGAGATGGGGTTTCACCATGTTGGCCAGGCTGGTCTCGAACTCCTGACCTCAAGTGATCCACCCACCTTGGCCTCCCAAAGTGTTGGGATTACAGGCATGAGCCACCGTGCCCGGCCGAGACTCAGTCTTTAAAATAATGAAGTAAAATAAAAACATAAACCTCAAACAAAAAGACAAACTATGATTTCAATCATTGTGAAGCTCTTGATCTAGTAGATGATATATATATATATATATATATATATACCAAAAATACTATAATTTCAGAGAAGTGCTATAGAGTCTAATGTTTAACAACTTCTGGCATTTGACTGATGGTGTTTAAAGCTCTTCCCGCATTTTCCAGGGGTATAAATTGAGGCAAGTTATTTGGTATTTACTGCATTTTGGCTTCTTCATATGCAAGGGGGTTATGATAATAATACCTACCCCATGAGGACGGTATGAGGACTAAAGAAAATCGTGTATGTATAGCCTCGGCCAATGCCCATAGACACTGAGTACTCAACTAGGTGTTAGCTAGCAGATTTTAAATTTGCATTTATTCGTATAGTTTTTAAGGTAAAATTTACATTCATTGAAATGTTAACTGTATGTTTTTTGACAAATGAATACACTTATATAACTCATATCCCTATCAAGACAGAGACCATTTTTACCACCCAGAAATTTCTCTCATGTAACTTCCCAGTCAATCCCCTGCCAGAGGGAACCACTGCTATGATTTTTTCACCACAGATTAATTTTCCCCTTTCTAGAATTTCAAATAAATGGGAAGGTATGTGCTCTTTTGTGTCATTTATCTTCACAGACTTTGAAATAAAAAAGTTACAATTTTAAACCTTTTGGGCATTTAGTAAAAATCTCCTTCCCACCAGTAGCCACCAGTCACCAGTCTTCATTTCTCTCTCTCTCTCTCTCTCTTTTTGAGACAAGATCTTGCTCTGTCATCCAGGCTGGAGTGCAGTGGCATGATCATGGCTCACTGCAGCCTCAACCTTCTGAGCTCAAGCAATCCTCCCACCTCAGCCTCCCAAATAGCTGGGAGTACAGGCGCCCGCCACCACGCCTGGCTAATTTTGCTTGTATTTTATGTAGAGACAGGGTCTCACCAAGTTGCCCAGGTTAGTCTCAAACTCCTGAGCTCAAATGATCTGCGGGCCTTGGCCTCCCAAAGTGCTTGGATTACAGGTATGAGCCACCGTGCCTGGCTCAGTCTTCCTCTCTTAAAGCAACCAATGTTATTAGTTTTATGTGGGCCACCCCATGGCTTATCATTATTAATTCAGGTGTTTATACAAGGCTCTTTGAGAACTCAGTTTTAAAGGTTACCCAAAGCATCCTAAGACAACTCAGCCTAAAACGATATAAAATCAGTTTTAATATAACTGAAGTTTCTGCATTCTGACTCCAACTGTCAGATTGTGACATTTTCTCTTTCTCTGACTTTATGCCAAATTTACTTCAACTTCTAGCATCCATCATTCTCATTTATGAACAAATATGTATTTAACAAATGTGGAAATACAAATCATGAAGCAAACAAAACCAAACCCTGGGCTTACGTAGCCGATAGTAAAAAATTCACCAAAATAACCACCCGATTACAGTTTCATGCAATGTGATAGGAGTAAGGGACCACCATAGGGAGGTCAGAAGGTGCTTTTCAGAGGTGGAGACTACAGCTGTTCTCAGAAGAATAGGGGTTAGAAGAACCTTCCAGGCACAGAGCAAAGCATGAGCAAAAGCTCTGTGGAGGCCAGGAAGCTGGTAAATAGGGAATAAAAGAGGCCAGTTTGGCTGGAGCAGAGAGAGCAGAACGGAATTGGTCTGAGTAGTGAGAAGAGATGAAGAAGTGGGCAAGGCGCCTGGCCATTCGGGGCTTGGTTAGTTAGGAGGTTTTGTCTAAGAGAATGGGAAGGTGTTTAAGTGCTTTAGGCTGGGAAGTGACACGGTCACATTATATTTTGGAAAAGCCACTCTGCCTGTTGTGTTGAGATTAGAGAGGCGATAAAGGGGATATGGGTAAACCACAAGAAGACTAGGTCAGTAGTCCCTCGACCCTCACTCCCCAGGTGAAGGCAGCCTAGACTAGGGTGGTGATGGAGGAGATAGAAGAGGACAGATTCAAGGAAAATTTGGAAGGTAAAAACCAGTAGGATTTGCTGACGGATGGAGTATAGGAGGGGAGAGGTAGATTATCAGGGATGTATCTTAGTTTTCTTATACAAGATAGATTCAGTTGCAATGAAATTGTTAATTGAAATTGACTTTAAATAATGGCATGACCTAAAGTTATGCAAACATTTGCCTTAGATAAAATATCAAGTTTTCAAAGTTTTTAGCTGGGTGGACGGCATGGCTTTACTTCCTATTTCTTGGTATTCTAATCCTGTTGAAAAAAAAAGTTTTTCTTTTTCTCAAAGGCTTATTTCAGTGGAAGCCCATCTGCAAAATCTGTTAATAAATTTAAATTAGAAAATAACTACAAGTGCCATTGACACGTTGGTTATTCTTTTTGAGAGTGACCTAAGGCCACCTCTGGGAGAGCTGGGGGCTCTTCTGAAGCCTGCCCGACTGCACCGCGTGCCCGTGCCTGGAAGTCAGACTCGGGGCGGTGCGGCAGCGCGAGGCCTGCAGTCCTAAGCGCGGGGTCGCTCCAGCCCCAGAGGGGGTGTGTCTCCTGCCTCTTCAACCTGGCAGGGGCTGTTCAAGTGGCCGGGGAAACCAGCGATTTGGAGGGTCGAGGGCTGGTGCTTTGAAAGACAGGCGGAGGGGAGAGAGGGATTTCCCCGTCCCCGCTGCACTCGGTCCTTCCCCTGGGTTACTCCTTTTCTCCGCCTGCGCGGCCCCTAACCTGCTCCAACCCGTTGTGCAGAAGAGGCCGCCGGGTCCCTTTAAGGCCCCGCCGCGCCTGCGCCTTGGGTTATCCTGACACGCCCATCGGGATCCTGAGGAGCCAGTGGGCTGCAGGCGCAGGCGCAGGCGCAGGCGAGGGGCTGGGTGGCGGTTGAGACAGCGGCGGTACTGGGAGGCGTAGGTGAGGGTCGCGAGGCTGCCCGAGCTTCTGAGCGAGCGCGGTGCTTTTGGGAACGCGGGACGGGCGATCTGCGGCGCCAGGAGCTGGGCCGAGGCGCGGCGGCGCGGCTGCCGGCTGCCCTGTGAATGGGAAGTTACGCGAAGTCCACCCAGCGTTTCTGAGGTGAGGGCGCCGCGCCAGGCTGGGCGGGCGGTGAATCCGGGACCCGCGGGCGCACAGCTGGGTCGAGGCGCGGCCGTGGCAAGTTTTGTTGCGCGAGCGCGGGGGCGGGTGGGGGGTGTGGGGGGTCGTGCACCGCCGGGGCCTGAGTTCCCCGCGCTGGATTCTTCGCCTGCCGCTGCCGCCCGCAGCCCAACTCTCGTGGGCGCTGGGGAAGAAACTCGCTGGCGGGTGTTCTGTGGCATCCCAGGGGGTGGAGGGACGGAGCAGCTTCGGGGGCACGTCCTCCTATATCCTGTAGAGGACACTGACCCCGCACCCCACCCTCCAGGCCAGAAATCCGTTCCCTCTGCGGACCTGAGAGGCGAGCGCGCTCGCGCCCCTGACTTGCAAAGTTGGGGTCTTTACTGGCCTCCGGGCTTCTGCTCCTGGCGGTGTCTCCAGGCTGGTGATGGGCAAGCCAGGTGTGCCAGCTCCAGGATGCACATGAGCAGCATTTGTAGCCATCACTGAATCACCTCCTGACTAGCGGGGCAAGCCTCAAATGAACCGCAGGATTTCGGGTAGATTGGATTGTGGGGTTGCTGTTTGCACTCCAAAGAGTTGCTGTGATTTCCCTGTGTCTGGCTGGCTGGCTGGCTTCTTAGATCATCTCATGTGGCGTCCTTTCAGCGGAGAGTTAACCAAGACGTTTGGCCTGGCTTCCTTGTTTTCCTCCTATCTTTTGCTTAGAGCTGCTTTCGAAAAGAAGTCTTTTCTGGCAGTGGTATCTTTTCTTTGGGTTACAGTGTTGTTCATCCTTTCTTTGCCAAAAGAATGAATCCCAGTGCTTCAGGAAGTTAAAGAAAAGATCTGCTGGTAGTGTTCTGAGCTGATATGCGTTAGTAGCTTTTTGTTTTTAAATTCTATTGGTAAAATTTCACTAGTGAACCAGAAGCTACTTTTTCTATTCTGAAATGCTAGCTTTAAGATTTCTGAGAACTTTGCGTCAAAGAAATCTTGGAAAAGTTACTGAAGTATACAGAAGTTCACAATTTTACATGTGCAGGTGGCCCGGGCGCAGTGATCACACCTGTAATCCCAGCACTTTGGGACGCCAAGGTGGGTAGATCACTTGAGCCCAGGATTTCCAGACCAGCCTGGGCAATATGGCAAAACCCTTTCTCTACTAAAAATACAAAAGTTAGCTGTGTGTGGTGGCGTGTGCCTGTAGTCCCAGCTACCCGGTAGGCTGAGTTGGGAGGATCACCAGAGCCCGGGAGGTTGAGATTGCAGTGAGCCGTGATCATGGCAGTGCACTCCGACCTGGATGGCAGAGTGAGACCCTGTCTCAAAAAAAAAAAAAAAAAAGTAATGAATTTTTACCAAGTGAACCACCACAGATCAAGAAATTGAACATTACTAGTCTGGGGTATATTTGTAGGGGTGGCATTGTTGGTTTTAGAGGTATATGAATGATAAAACTTTAGTATTACATATTGTTGAACATTTTCCCAAAGTAGTTGTACCATTTAGCAGGGATATGCTGGTTACCCCACATCCTCGCTGATACCTGTCAGTTAAAAATTATTTTGCCATTCTAGTAGGGGTGCAGTAATATATCAGTGTGGTTTCATTGAGATTGAGTATCTTTTATTGCCATTTATATGTCCTCTTTTGTGACGTGCCTGTTAAATCTTTTTATCCAGTTTTCATTGATATGCTTGTTTTCCTGTTGATTTGTAATACTTTATTCTGGATATGCCTCCTTTCTAGGATTTATATGTATTGCATTTCCCTTTTTTCAATCTGTAGCTTGCGTTTTCACTCTTTTATGGTGTTTTTTCATGAAGGGAGATTCTCTTTTTTTTTTTTTCTTTTTGAGACAGGATCTCACTCCATCGCCCAGGCTGGAGTGCAGTGGCACAATCACAGCTCACTGCAACCTTGACCTCACAAGGCTCAGGTGATCCCCCTGCCTCAGCCCCCAAGTAGCTGGGACCTACAGGGGAGTACCACCACACTCAGCTGTTTTCTGTATTTTTAGTAGAGATGGGTTTTGCCACGTTGCATAGGCTGGTCTGGAATTCCTAGGCTCAAGTGATACACCTGCCTCGGCCTCCCAAAGGGTTGGGATTACAGGCATGAGCCACTGCACCCAGCCTGAGATTCTTCATTTTAATGAAATTATACTTTATCAATCTTTTCCTTTATGGTTACTGCTTTTTGTGTCCTGTTTAAGAAATCAATGCCTAACCTAAGAGTATGAACACATTTTTCTGTATTAACCTTATAACGATTTTATTTTAGTTTTTGCTTTTTTTTTTTTTCAGACAGGGCCTCAGTCTATTATTGCCCAGGCTAGAGTGTGGTGGCAGGATCTCAGCTCACTCAACCTCCATCTCCTGGCTCAAGTGATCCTCCCACCTCAGCCTCCTGAGTAGCTGCGACTATAGGCATGTGCCACCATGCCTGGCTAATTTTCATATTTTTTGTAGAGATGGGGATTCAACATGTTTCCCAGGTTGGTCTCGAACTCCTGGGCTCAAGTAATCTGCCCGCTTCAGCCTCCCAGAGTGCTGGAATTACAGGTGTGAGCCACCCCACCTGGCTATGATTCACTTTTTACTACATGGATGTGTCTGCTTGATCCAGCACCATTTATTGAAAAGACCATCCTTTTCCTTCCGCACCATGTGGCACTTTTTTTCATAAATCGAATGACTGTATGGTCATCTGATTTATGAAATTAGTGTGGGTCTGTTTCTGTTTCTGGACCAACTTGGGTAACATAGTGAGATCCCATCTCTACAACAAATAAAAATAATAAATAAATGAATAAAATTTAAAAAATAAGTGCGTAGAGCAGATGGAGTCATAGGTGATAATTTATAAATGATTGCCAGTTTCTTGGCTACATATGGGTGTTGGTAATTCAGATGTGTTGGGTGTTCAGGCAAAACGTATTAAGTGAATTATATGGTGTTCAGAATGATTGCTAGATGTTCATTGTGACTTGAATTAGATGTTATTTGAGCCTCACAGAGCTACAGTTTTGACTCTTTTATTTATTTGTCTTTTTAAAATTTTTACAATCTTCCTGTCAAGGCAGTAACTCTTTTATACTTAATTGTTCTTAAGTATACTTAATTACCAGAAAAGCTTTATGGATCATACCTAAATAAGTGTTAAGCCATTTAAGGGGCTCACGTGATGTGATATAAACAATAGTATTCTACATAATAGTTTTAGGACTACATCAAATAATTTTTTTTTTTTCTTGAGACAGTGTCTCGCTCTGTCACCCAGGCTGGAGTGCAGTGGTATGATCATGGCTCTCTGCAGCCTTGATCTCTCAGGCTCAAGCACTCCTCCCACCTCAGCCTCCTTAGTAGCTGGGTCTACAGGCATGCACCACTGTGCCCGGCTAATTTTCTCCTTTTTGTAGACAGGGTTTTCCTGTAGTGCCCAGACTGGTTTCAAACTCCTGGGCTGAAATGATCCTCCCACCTTGGCATCCCAAAGTGCTGGGATCACAGGCATGAGCCATCACACCTGGCCATTTTAGTTTTAATAATTTTTATATTTTTCTAATTTAAAAGATGTACTAAAATCTCTTACAGCTATTATTTATGAATATAGTATTCATTGTTGTTATTATGATGATTTTGTATGTGTTTAATCTGATTTTCAATATAAGCTCCTGGCAATTAGAGATTTTGTCTCTTTGATTCACCAGTGTATTCTCAGTACTTGACCTTGCCTGGCATGAAACAGATATTGAATAAATATTTCTTAAATGAATGAATGAATGAACATACTAATACCATATTCAACAACCTCCGAGTATCACAGTTTTCACCATCTAACAAATAAAATAGCTTGTATAGAGTAGAGTCACAGTCAACCTGCCATAAAAGGACATGTCAATGAAAAATAAACCTTCGTATGTGTAGCTGCTAAGATTTTGGGGCTTTTGTTACCGTAGCATAACCTAGCGAAAGCTCAGAGAGACAGCATGTACAATATACGTGTACAGATAGACCAGCTAGACCAGTAGATGAGATTCCAAAGATACCTTAATAAGCATTAACTAACGACACCCACACTCTCTTAATTCCCTAACAGAAATAATGGAATTCTTGTTCACTAAGATCTGCCTCAAATATTACTTACTTTGTGAAAACTTCCCTGGCTACTCTAGTATTTAGTCAGGACTCTTTATTTTTTTCCCCCCAGGCTGGAGTACAGTGGTGCCATCATAGCTCACTAACCGCTAACTGAAGGCTCAAGGAATCCTCCTGCCTCAGCCTCCCAAGTAGCTGAGACTACAAGTGTGCACCACCATGCTCAGCTTATTTTTCCTTTTTTCTTTTCCCAGACGGGGTCTTACTATGTTGCCCAGGCTGGTCAGGACTGTTGATTACATATGACAGAAACCCAACCACCTCTAGTTCCCACCACCTTTCAACCTGCTCTTCCCTGGGTCTTACCAGTCTCTGTAAATGGCAGCTCCATCCTTCAAGTTACCGAAGCCCTAAATCTCAACGTTAACCTTGATTTCTCTCTTTTATCTCACAGGCAATCTGAAGGCAAATCCTGTTTAGACCCAGGCGAAGGTTCCCGGTGACCCGGGCTCTCACCAGCCAATTGTCCCTTGCCGTCCTCCTGAGGGTGCCTGGAGCTTAAGCACTGTGTGCTCTTGGCCTCCACACTGGGGATGCCGCTGACTCCCACTGTCCAGGGCTTCCAGTGGATTCTCCGAGGCCCTGATGTAGAAACTTCCCCATTGGGTGCACCAAGAGCAGCCTCACATGGTGTGGGCTGACATCAAGAGCTGCCAGATCCAACAGGTAAAAATCCCGAGGCATTGCCAGCTCAGTGGGGTCAGAGAGTCCTCTTTGTATTATGACTCAGATGTGAAGGGAAGATGTCAAGGTCCCTAAACATCACAGGGCCTTGCTTGGCATGCAACAGATATTAAATAAATATTTGTTAAATGAATGAACAAATATCCACAGCATGTGCTGCCCATGAGCTGCAGTGCCGTGGTCAGGTAGAAGTGATTTTACTTCAGGAGAGGACAGTGTTCTCTCCAGGACTTTTCCTTACTAGCTAGATCTGCATCCCTCTCCTCACTCTTCCCCTCTCCCCCCCCGTTCTCTGCCCCCATTTCTCTCTGTTTCCACCCTACTGTCCCCTTTCACCTGCTTTCTGCTCTTCAGCTTTGGTGGCTCACCCCCTCCCTGTCCACCTGCATCCCCCAGGCTAAGGCTCCTACACTGTCCTGGGTGGGGAGATGTGTCTGGTTTTAGGCAGTGCCCTCTGGATGTGTCCAGGATGGGGAAACATGGCTCAGTTGCCAGTATAATGGGTTAAAAGTGGCCACTTTTGAAGGCCTTTCCCATCTCCCATTCCAGAATCCTGTAGACTTAGAATTTATGGGCCACAGTGGAATTCTTGGTTCCCCAGGACCTTGTGGTGGACGTCTTCTTTCACTGAGCATTCATGGGGTGACTATGAGGTAGTAGGCCCTGCTCTGGGCTAGAGGCCCCACAATGAGTAAATCTCAGGTCACTACCCCATGGAACCCACTACTGCAGGCATTGAGAGGGGGAGAAAGAAAGGGGCATGGCCTGTTTGTGTTCTTCTCATGTGGTCACCCACAGGTCCTGGGGGAGTAGGAGCCAGTGCAAGGAGAGAAGTCCATTGAGAAAGGCAAATGGATGACATCAGACCCAGGGGCTGAGGTCCCCAACTGCAGCTGGGTAGCTTCTGGAGTGGACAAGGAGCAACAGGGAAGTTCGTGGCCTGGTGTTCTGGGATCCACTGTCTCATCTCATTCTTGTGGGCACCAGAACGTATCCAAAGACAAGACTCAGTGTCTCTGGCAACAGTGAGCCAGAGATAGAATGTGTTTCAGAGGAGGAGGAAGGGGTTGTTGTACCCCATGGAAACAGTATATTGTTTTACAGTAGCGTGTCTTTCTCTAATAACTACTTAGCGTGTTCCTGTTAATGGAAAATATTGGTGGTGTAAGTTTCCCCACTGTTCTCATCTTCATGTAAATTTGTTCATTTCCTTCCTTCCTTCCTTCCTTCCTTCCTTCCCTACTTCCCTCCAACTCTCTTTCTCTCTCTTTTTATTCTTTCCCTCCTTCCCACCCGCCCTCCATCCCTCCCTTCCTTCCTCCTTCCCTCCTTCCCTCCCTTCTTTCCTTTCTTCCTTTCTTCTTTTCTTCTTCTTTCTCTCTCATGCTCTCTCTTTTTCTTTCCTTTTCATTCTCTCTACTTTTTTGAAGAGATCACACTGTACTGAAACCTACATTATTTTCCAAAATCTCTGGATCTGCTTCTGTCTTGCAGGCAGAGAGCTCATCCAGTAGCCCTTAGCTCTTCCCAGCCCCCTCCTTTGATTTGTGGGTGCCACTGCAGCAGCTGCTGAGTCTCAGTGGTTTCTAGTCTTCACCAAGTTCTGCCCACCCAGATGGTTTTTACCTGTCCTCACCAGAAACCTGCACTGTCTAGATTGCTGAGGCTGCTTCTCCTTAACCGATCTGCTATCTGTATTCCAGGGGCACCCCAGGGTTAGAGGTAAATGGCACAGGCCTTGAAATCTCCAACTGCTCTGACTCCAGGTTGGTGCACTTCAATGCCAAGTACTAACCACACAATTACAGGATGCCACCAAAACCTTGATATGGGGCTGCTGCATCCTAATTAAAAAAAAAGTTAATAGACATTATTTTTTAGAACAGTTCTAGGTTTACAGAAAACTTGAGTGGATAATACAGAGAGTTCTCCTAGGCTCCCCTGTCCTCCAGCACACAATTTTCCCTACTAGTATGTTGTATTAGTGTGGTCCATTCATTACAATTGATGAACCACTGTTGATATGTCATTATCAACTAAAGTCCATAGTTTACATTGGAGTTCATTCTTTGAGTTTCACAGATTATGGGTTTTGGCAATTACATAATGTCCTAAATCCCCAATACAGCGTCATGCGAAAGAGTTTCACTGCTGAAAATTCCCTGTGCTTCACCATTTCACGCATCCTCCTCTCCTCCACCCCTGACAACCACTCACCATTTTACTACTTCTATCTTTTTGACTTTCCAAGAATGTCCTAGAGTTGGAGTGGTACAGTATGTGGGTTTCCAGACTGGCTTCTTTCTAGCATTATGTACTTTAAGTTCCTTCATGTCTTTTCATGGCTTGATAACTTGTTTTTTAAAATCAGTGAATCAGATTTCCTTGTATGGCTACAACAGTTTGTTTATTCTTTCGCTTGGTGAAAGACATCTTGGGCACTTCCAAGTTTTGGCAATGATGAATAAAATTGCTGTAAGTATTTCTGTGCAGGATTGTGAGTGAACTTAAGTTTTCCAAAGTGACTGTACCCTTTTGATTTCCACTAGCGATGGAAAGTTCTCGTTGCTCCTCATCTTTGACAGCATTTGGTGTGTTCACCTTTTTGAATTTTAGCCATTCTAAACAGCTTATCTGCCCCTACTGTGGAATGATGTGACAGACATAGAATAACACTTACAGTGATTCTAGTTCAAAATGAGGCAACATGGAAGGGATAAAGAAGTCACTGACCCAAAATAGTTTGGAAATGGAGCTGGGCAAAATCCAGCAGAAGTTTCTTAATTAGGATCGACAGCCTGGGACCGGCCCGCCGTCCTGTGGGTCTTTGCCTCTGGGCTGTCTGCTGTGCATTTCTTGGAACCATTATTATTTATCTTTTTTTCTCGCACTTTTTTGGGTATGGCTTCTATCGCACTCCAAATGTTTTTGAGATTCATCCATGTTGTTCTGTGTGTCACCAGTTTGTTCCTTTAGCCATTCCATGGAATGAGTGTATCACAGTTTATTGATCCATTCTTGTATTGACAGATACTTGAATGTTTTCAGTTTTTTGTATTATGAATAAAACTGCTATGAACATTCTTGTATAAGTGATTTTCTGGACATACGTTTTAGTTTCTCTTGGATAAATGCTTAGGAATTACTGAGTCATAGAATAGGTAGTTGTTTGTTTCTGTAAGAATATGCCAGATATTTTTTCCCAAAGTGCATATGCTGTTGTACCTTCCAACCATTAGTGTACGAAGGTGAGAAAGTTTTTGCTCCTTCCAAAGAGGCCTCTCTATATACATGTAATTTTTTCTAACTGGAGATAGGCTGGTGACTTCAGGGACATGAGCATGGGATACAGGACACCTGTCATGACCACCACCATGAAATTGGGATTCAGGAAGGAGGCTAGTCATATAAGGAATCTTGTGACCAGTATGAGCTTCTGTCAGGCCACACAGGGCACTCAAGTGAACAGGGCATATGGGGTCCTGGGGTCATGGTGAGAAAGTGTCTCATTGGTAAAACCTTTTCCCTTGGGGAGGTAAATAAATTCTTGGTTCCTTCTTGGTAGCCCTTGAAGATAAGGATGGTCAAACAAAATAATATTATATCTGCAGAAAGTCAGATCTTGGTAAGATTTACTAGTTGGGAATCCAATGTTAATGCCAAGAAGCAGCTGCCAGTTGGGATCAAATGTGAGCCTATGGATCAAGGTGCGTACTCAAACACAGAGAGCTTTTTGAAAGATGCTACCAGCAGTTTTTCCAGGGCAGAGATGGGTCCTTTATTTTTCTCTCTAATCTAGCCCATATGCTTAGCTGAGAAGGTTTCTTCATATCACTTTAAATGATGATGTCCTTGTACAACAATTTTCGAAACATTCTTTAGATAAGAATTTTATGGGCATCCTTTATTGCATTAGGCTTAAATTTCATGCATCTTAAGGTTTTATTGCAAAGTGTTGCCTTGTTTCCTTTTTAAGATGATACAATTTGTAACACGCAAGTTTGCTGTCTGTCCCCTCCCTTTATGTACATATAAAATGAGCAAACATGTGGCCATGAAACAGATGGTCATAGAATTGGTTCAGTGGTTGTGAGTTCAGCAACCCAAGAGAGTCTTATCTGAAATACCACCAGGAATGCCTGGACACAGTAGACAAAAGTTGTTCAACTGGACGCCTTAGGATACACGCTACCAAAAACAAAGTAGCCAAAAAGGAACCAGAATAACAGAATATCAGAGCCAGAGGAACATTTGGAGGTAATTCAGTACCTCCTCCTTTTCAACCTACAGGAGAGATAGTGGAACAGAAGCAGAAATGGGCCTGCCTGCTGTGCCCAAAATTCATTGGAGATTGTTGTGGTGAAGAATTTCATTTATGATGAAGGAGAAATAAACCCTGTCAGCTTAAATTCAGGCAGGTTTATTGAAAAGGTGAAGAAGCGTCTTGCAGAAGCAAAGCATGGCTGAGGCTTGTGGGCTCTGTCTGGGAAAATGAGCAGCTGACAGTGGCTGATGCTGCCCCTGACTCTGGGGCCATGTGGTCTCTTGTTCCCTGAGAGCATCTCTTCTATTCTCTTGCATCTTCCCTCAGCCTGGCAGTCTCTGTGTACTCTGCAACACATAATTGAGCAAGGCTGTGCCAGCCCCAGTGCCACCTGGCACTTTAGGTCAAATTAGAAAGGCATGAAATAAAGTGGCCCTTTATAATACAGCTGTTGGAACAACAGTTGGAAGTACAATATCTTGACTCCTTATTTAGTGCTTTATGCTGAACTTTCTTTTCTGAATATGAGCACAGACTTCGGAATATTAATGTCACCTAGCGTTCTTAGCTAGTATTCTCCTTTTGTTTTCCCATAACATCCCCTCCTTCTTCCCACAGATCCACTGTCCACTCATTTCCATCCTGTCTCATGCCTCTCGGTGCTCGTCCCTCCTAGAATGCATCCCTGGCTCCCCTGCGTGCACACTTCTAGTTAGGTTTAGCAATGGAGGGCCCCCGATGGATCCTGGAAGTGAGAGGAAGGTGAGGTCCGTATTTCTTCCCTGTCCCTCCCTGCTCTGGCACTGAGTATCTGGCAATAGCTGCATCTGTCTATTACTTCAGTGGCCACTCTTCCACAGCCCCAGTTCTCAGTGGGTCCCATAGCATTATTTACCTTTGTTCCTTTAGCTCCCATCAAGATCCAGAGACATTCTCCTCACCAAGGCGTTAAGAAATGCACAGGTGAGGGGAACAGCGGCATGCGTTTAAAAGTCCTGTGGCGCCCATCCTCTGCAGGCTGGAGGTCATGGCGGGAGCTGCTGCATGGATTTGCCCTCCCTGCTGTCAGTGAGAACAACAGGGTTCTGGAAGAGTAGAGGACAGGCCGTGGGACTTGGCCATCTAGAGACAAGGCGGGAGGGATTTCCCTGAGAGGCAGGGATATGTGGTGGTTACTAATCATTCGAATCATTGTGAGGTGTCTGGGAATGTAATGGATGGGACATCTACTAAGAAATCAACTTACGTTACACTTAGAAAAGCTCTAGTTCTGAGGACAGAGACCTGATGGAGTCACCATAGTGGGAATTTATGACCTGGCATCCAGTTCAGATACCTGGAGCTTCTTGACTGAGGGGAGATTGGATCCCTTGAGGAAGAGTGAAGCCTTCAATGCTGCCACAAGTGTATGCTGTAAATCTTCCTTCAGGCCTTCCCCAGAAGGCCCTGAAGCCATTTATGTGGGTGACTGAAGAAAGGGAAATACTCAGAGCTTCTGTGGCTTGTTGGATGCTGGCTCTGAAGAATGCTAAACTGAGGGCCCTGCGGTGGCCATGAAAATGCACTACTTGCATCTCCAGCTGCAGGAGGCCTAACGAATCAGCAGCCTCAGCTGCTACCCTCCGAATGGAGGACTTGATGACATTTCCCCTGGATCTGCACTAGCCCGTGAGGAGGAAAGCCTCCTATCAAGTCCTCCCAACAGAACACCCATGATGACTCATGAGGATGTTGAAGGTGTTTTCCTGTGGCAACTGTGAGTGTCTTTCTTCAAAGTCTGTTTTGTTCCTGCACATTAACTGATTTATATAAAATAAGAGAATAAATGCCTAGACTCCCATGAGTCTATCTTTTACTGATAAACTCTAGTTCTGAGGACAGAAGCCTGATGGAGTCAGTATAGGGGGAATTTATAACCTGGCATCCAGTTCAGAGACTTGGAGCTTCTCGACTGAGGGGAGATCGGGTCCCTTTGGGGAAGAAAGAAGCCTTCAATGTTGTCACAAGTGTATCCTGGAAATCTTCCTCTAAGCCTTCCTAGAGGGACCTGATAACATGACTTATGATACAGTGACCCCAAATTCAGGGTGTTCTTGTCTACTGTCAAGAATGCAATATCTTATTCCTCTGAATTGAACGTAGTACCAATATTTGTGTGTAGCTATGCACCTTAATAGACCATAGCTAATTAGATGAGGAACGGTAGACCCAATTCAACCATACAGGCATCAACCATATCAGCATACAGGCATCCCTCTCCCACCGTTTCCTTCTTGTCCCCACTCCAAAGCCTTCTCCATTTTATTTGTATTAATTTTCTATTGCTGCATACTAAATTACTGCAAGCATTAGCGGCGTAAAATAAGAATGATTTATTTTCTTGCAGTGTCCACAGATCAGAAGTTCAGGCCTGGATTCTCTGGGTCTTCTTCTCAGGGCCTCACAGGCTGAAATTAGGCTGGGTTTCTTTCTGGAGGTTCTGGGGAAGAACTTCCTCTCAAGTTTCCTCAGGTTGTCAGCTGAGTTCAGTTCCTTGTGACTGTAGGACTGAGATCTCTGTTTTCTTGCTGGCTGTCAGCCAGGGGCCTCTCGCTGCTCGTAGAGGCCTCCCATGTTCCCACTGCATGCTTCCTCCAGCCAGCAGAGGAGGATCGCCCTGCATGGAAACCCTCCTGCACTTCACATCTCTCCAGGAAGTCCTCAGTCCCTCCAAGGAACTCACGTTCACTAGGTCAAGCTCATCAGATAATCTGTCTATCTTAAATTGGACCGATTTGGGATCTCGATTACATCTGTTAACTTGTTTTTGCCATAAATTGTAACACAATCACAGGAGTGACATCTCCTCAGTAGCTTTGTCTACACTCAGGAGGAAGTGATTATATAAGAGCAAAGATCACTGGGGGTCATCTTAGGATTCTGTCTACCATAATATTATAAAGACACAGTAATTAAAAGAGTATAACAGATTTCTGCTTCTGTCTGTTAGAATAAATCATATCAGACTAACCCTGCCTCCATAAACAAACGTAAAATTGTTTTCAGCAGTGTACAACAGGCAGTCCAAGAGAAAACTTAAGGGGGAAGCCCCATGATTTCCTAGTTGTTTGGGGAGAATTTCTCAGCAGCTGCATAGTGAGCTAGAGTCCACTCAGGGCAGGGCAGCTCACTGAGCTGAGAAGGCAGAGATCAGAGTTCAAGACGGCTGAAGCAACTGCAATCTGCAGGGCAGGGCACCAGTGAGGAGACAGCTGATCAAAGGTGCAGCTCTCAAAGTCTATGTGGGGTTCCATGTGCATACTTATCAAGGAGTGGACTCTACCTGCACAAGGAAAAGACTAACAGATTTAACAGAGGGGTGGCTGCTATGAAATTGAGTTTGGACCAGAGGTACTTGAGGTGGAGGAGGGTTGGGGAATGTATGATGGAGTTTCTGCCATCCATGGTGGGAAGAACTGATGCACACCTCATTAGCACCCAGGTATCCAACTGAGACACTAGAATGGATGTGCTTTAGGAATAAGTGTCACACTTTTCAATAAGGCCTATTGTAGACCAACCTGCTAAAGCCTAAAAGCAAACCCTGACAAATTCACAAAGGGGTGGATTGGTGATTGAGTCCTGCCAAATTAGAGGGTCTTGGGAAATGCTGTGGGCTTTCCATGAATCCGTTGTAATAAAACATAAACCAGTCCACATAAGTCCAAAGTGATCAGACAGTAATTTTACTGCCCACTAGAACAAAATTAATTCACACAATCAATGACACATGTTAGCCAGGTCGATATTTAAGCAAAATACATCTAAGAACAGCTAACAAATAACTCTTCTCAAACTCACATAGAGCATTCAGCAAGATAGACCACATGTGCTGAGCCATCGTTAGTATTTTCTGTCCTTTCTCTTTGACTCGTGTATAGTGTGCTCAAACTCTTAAAATTATACACTTTAATGATTATACACTTTCATGCATCTCAATTGCATGTAAGTTATATTTCAATATATTTGTTAAAAGTTTATAATTAAAAAAACTGTCCTAGCTTGATTCAAGAAATCTTTTTTATATTTAAGAAAATGTAATTTATGTATTATCAGGGCAAAAGAGAAAAACCATATGATTACCTTGTCATACACAGTAAAAGCATTTGGCACAATTGAAAACTTTTTTCATGATTTATAAAAACAAACCCCAGAAAACTCTCAGCATGATAAGAAGAGAAGGCAACACTTTCAACCCTATTAAGGGTAGATTTGAAAAAAACTCAGAGGTAACATTATATTAAATGGCATAGGATTGAATGCTTTTCTATTAAATCAGAGAAAAAAGTAGAATATCTGTTGTTATTCTTTCAATTCAGCATTATACTAGAGATCTAAATCAATGCAATAAAGTAAGAAAAATAAATAAAAGTATTGAAAAGATTGAAAAGAAAGAATTGAAGCTGTCTTTATTCACAGATAATGACTGTGTATGTTAATAATCCTAGAAATCTATAAAAATCTGCCAAAAGTAATTAGTGAGTTTGGTAATGTTGCAGAATATAAGCTCAATAGAAGTAGTCTTTTGTATTTCTGTGTATTAGCAATGAGCATTTGGAAAATGAAATAAAAATACAATTTCATTTCAAGTAACATCTAAATACATGTTGTGCTTAGAAATAAATTCAACAGGCTGGATCCGGTGGCTCACGTGTGTGTGTGTGTGTGTGTGTGTGTGTGTGTGTGTGTGTGTGTGTGTGTGTATTCACCTTTTTGAAGATTATCTATCGTTATCTCCAAACAGGGAACATTAAGAGAACATTAAAAGAAACCACAATATAGGAGATATATTTATTTCCAACAAAGGGGTTTTTTAGAGTGTATTTGTATATATATATGTATGTATATATATATAAGTTTAATAAGATAAACAGCACAATGAAACAATTTCTCAAAAGACTTGAATAGGTACTTAAGAAAAGAAGATACATGAATGGTCAATTAGCATAGGAAAAGATGCTCTACAGTTTAGCCATCAGGAACATCAATCAATACAACAATGAGATACCAGTACATATCCTGTACATATGAGATACCAGTACATATCCGGTGCCTGGGATTACAGGCACCGGCCACCATGCCTGGCTAATTTTTTGTATTTTCAGTAGAGGCAGGGTTTTACCATGTTGGCCAGGCTGGTCTTGAACGCCTGACCTCAGGTGATCTGCCCGCCTCAGCCTTGCAAAGTCTTGGGATTACAGGCATGAGCCACCAGGCCCAGCCAAAATGATTCCATTTTTATGAAGCACATGATCAAGCAAAATGAATCTATGGTGGCTGCTAAGTTTAAATATTGGTCCCCTCCAAATCACATGTTCAAATGTGGTCCCCAGTGTTGGAGGTGGGGGTAAATGGGAGGTGTTTGGGTCATGGGAGTGGATCCCTCATGAATAGATGAATCCCCACCCTGGGAGAAGGTAGTGAGTGAATTCTCACTCTCTTAGTTCCTGTAGGAGCTGGTTATTAAAAAGTGCCTCTCACCTTTCCTTGCTCTCTTTTGCTTCCTCTCTCGCCATATGATCTCTGCACACCCTGGTTCCTTTTCACCTTCTGCTGCAAGTGGAAGCAGCCTCAGGCCCTCATTAGGAGCAGATGCGGGGGCCATGCTTCTTGTACAGCCTGCAGAACTATGAGCAAAAGGCACCTCTTGTCTTGATAACTTACCCAGCCTCTGGTATTCCTTTCCAGCAACACAAAGGGGCTAAGGCAGTGTCAACATTCAGAATATAGTCTTCATTTGGGGGATGAGTATTGACTGGCAAGGACCACATCAGAACTTTGTGGCATGGGGGAAAATGTTCTCTGTCTTTAACTGGGTGTTACTTTACAATTATAATTATATTAAAATTTATTAAGCTGTGCCTTTAGGTTTTTTTGCAGTATACTCTACGCAAATTTTACCTCAGTGAAGAACTGTTAGCATACAACAGACAGATAACAAACACTCAAAAATGTGAAAATTGACAGAAAATAGGTAACAAATATTTAGCATATAAATAAGAGGGATCCGTTGAGAAGAAACCAAAAGCAACGGAATAGAACAAAGACAAAAAAGTATAATAAAAAGAGTTTTAAATTTCAAAGTTTGAAACGATATTAAAGTGGCACACTGTTTCCTTGGGAAAATCAAGTGAGAACCACAACTGTGAGACTAATTCCAGCAAAAGTATGTAAATCAGTTTGATCTAATGGTACAAGGTTAGCTTTGAAGGCCAAAAGGAACGGATATCTAATTCTTACTCCTCTCCTCACTAGTTTTGTGACCTAGGGAAATTTTGCAATCTTTCTGAGTTTGTTTTCTCATCAGGAACAGGATAATACCTAAGTAACAGGATAGTTGACAGATTTAAATATGATCGCATGGCGGTGGACATGAGCCGTAATTAGTTGTTAAGAATATATTGACACTGAACTCTCCTTTATCCATGTTAAAATTGTAGATAAACAACAATTGACAAAGAATAGACAAAATGTTCTAACATAAATATTCTTCCCTTGTTTCTAGAAAGAAGTCACACATACGGTAAAAATAATTAGAGAGGACCTAGTTCATATTGAACAATCTTCCCCAAAGCCTGAAACAGGTCTTCTTTCTAACACCAGAGATATCTTGAGTGAGTCCAACCCCTGCAGTCCCCTCTGTCTGGAATAGATGGAGGAAGTTTGCTCCAGCCTTAGAAGAGCATGGGCTGGCAAGCGTTCTCAGAGAGGTCTCGACTTCAACTCTAAAGGGCCTGAGGAATATGTGCAACTGGGTCGGGTTAAGGCCAAGCTGAATCACATGACCAGGGCTCTCACCAGCGCCAAAGTCAGTGGAAGGATATCAGTCCCCAGAGCTCTGTCACAGGCCATGGATGCTCCATGGAGGGGTGGTGAGCATATGAATAACAATCAGGAGAAACATCGGTAATGGACAGGAGGCATCAATAAACAATGTCCACCCTCCTCTAAAACCCAGGAAAGTTCTCATTCAAAAGACGATGTCTTGAAGGAAACCTAGGTACAAATCTTTGTGATTTTGGATTAGACATTTTTTAAGTAGGCACAAACAACGGAAAAATAGATAAATGGACTTCATTAAAATAAAAAACTTGTATGCTTCAAAGGACACTGTCAAGGAAGTGAAAAGATAATCCACATAATGGGAGAACTATTTCCAAATTGTATGTTTGACACAGGTCTAGTACCTAGAGTATATAAGGAATTCATATAACTGAGCAATAAACGACAACCACATTTAACAATGGGGAAAAAAAGCTGTGAGTAGAGGTTTCTCTAAAGGAAACACACAAATGGCCAAGAAGCACATGCAAAGATGTTCAATGTTTTTCGTCATTAGGAAAATGTAAATTTAAACCAAAATGAGATACCACTTCACACCCAGCAGTACGACTTAAGAAAACAATAAAGACAACACATGTTTCAAAAGTGATGGAGAATATGGAATTCTCATATATTACTATTGGGAATCTAAAATGATGTAGCTACTGAAGTTAGTAAACAGTGTGTGAGTTCCTCAAAAAGTGAAACATAAAGTGACATATGATGCAGCAATTGCACTCCTAGGTTTATAACCAAGAAAATGAAAAACAGATGTTCACTCAAAAACCTGTACAAAGCTGTTCACAGCAGCATTATTCCTAATAGTTAAAAAGTGGAAACATCTTAAACCACCATGAGTTGATGAATAAACAAAATGTGGTATAACCATATAGTGGAATATTATCTGGCCATAAAAAGTTGAAGTACTGACGCAGGCTAGAAAGGATGAAACTTGAGAACAATATTCTAAGAAGCAGATAGAAAATACCACACTTTGTTATTCCATATAGAGGAAGTGCCCAGAACAAGTACATCAATATATAGAGAAGGTAGATTAGTGGTTGTCAGAGAGCGCAAGAAGGGGGGAATTGGAGAGTGTCTGCCCATAGGTACAGGCATGCTTTTTGGCATTATGAAAATATTCTGGAATTAGGTAGTGGCGATGGTTGCGAAAGTTTTGGAATATGGTAAAAGACACTGAAATGTATGCTTAAAAATGGTGAATTTTGTGATGTATAAATTCTACTGTAGAAATAATAATAACAACAAAAGTAATAAAGCAAGGTGTCTTTCCACATCTCCATGTCCAGTATTTTCATTTAAAAAAAAAGAAAGTAAAAGCATTTCAGGGCCAGGTTCAGTGGCTAACTTCTGTAATCCCAGCACTTTTGGAGGCCTAGGTGGGAGGATCGCTTGAGGCCAGAAGTTCAAAACCAGCCTGAGCAACATAGCAAGACCTTGTCTCTATGAAAAATATAAAATTAGCCAGAAATGGTGATGTGTGCCTAGAGTTCCAACTACTTGGAAAGCTGAGGCAGGAGGATCGCTTGAGCCCAGAAGTTCAAGATTGCCGTGATCTATAATCACCAGTGCACTCCACCCTGGGTGACAGAATAAGACCCTGTCTCAAAAAAAAAAAAAAAAAAAAGCATCTCACTTTAATAGTAAGTGGCCAAAATATGATGCTGGCTGCATGTTGTGAGGAAATGTGTTAGATGAAAGAAGTCAAATTCCAGAAGATTTCCTTTTTCTCAGAAATGAGGTATAGGGGAGAGAAGCACTGGTCCACCTGAGATCTGGCTCCAGGACTTACAACAAGGGGAACTTGGGCAAGTTACAGACTCTGTGTGCCTCAGTTTCTTCATCAGCAAAACAGAAAGAATCATCCCATAAACTGTAAGGTCAATGCTGTCAGTGAGTCCCCAAATTGACTGCACATCTGAGTCATGTTAACAAACACATTCCAGGCCCCACCTGAGCCCTCTGAATCAGAATCCCTGCAAGGAGGACAATGAACTTGTATTTGCACTGACTTTCCCAGCTGTTTCTTACTTTGATCAAGTTGGGGGTGGGACCCATTGAGCTGCATCACATCATTCCAAAGCCAAAACACAACAGCAGAACAAGAATATTTTCAATGCGGTCTCTAAAGCGGAGGAGAAACTGTTGAGGGAACCTAGAAGTAAAGGACATCTGGCTTGCTGGGCTCCATTTAAACTTTGAGTATAGCAGAGACACGAGCCCTTCGGGACACATGCCTGTCGCAGTGACACTCCAACTTCGGAAGAGTGGAAGCCCTGATTCCAAATTCAAGCATGCTTTGAGTAGAAATTAAGTTTGCCTCTTTTTGCACAGGAAGATGGCCAATCTTTCCTAAGCTGCTCACCTTACAAGAAAACGAATCGTACTGCTAAGAATTCAAACTTCAGCAGTCATGGGTAAGTAAGGAAGTCTTATAAATCTATTTTAGCCACCTAACAAGAAACTAGAAATTTAGCAAGTTCTTTCACATTCAGGACAGTTGTGTTGACTAGATCAGAGGCACTGAGACATGAAGAACAGACCCCTAAAAAGGGAAAGTGTTCCTTTCAGTTTGAGGACATCACTGGAATATTAGGGAAGTGGAAACACAGCTGCCCACTCTACAGTATGGGTTGCCTTTGTGTCCGGAATGTGCCTAATGTCCTGATCTCTGTGCCCTTTTCAGGGAGCCTTGGGAGGAGCCCGAATCACTGATGGAATTGGACAGTGCATGGAGATGGTTCAGCAGGACAAGGGTAAGTGCAGGGGCAAGTCCAGGTCATACTGAGAGACAACGAGTGGCGCTGACAGAGACAGACAAAGATAAAATCAAAAGTTTGTGCTTCATCTTCAAAAACTCAAACTAATAACAAACTTGGCCTTATGAGAAATAATAAGTATTTTTCTATTTACATGAGAATTTAATCTCAAAACAGGAATCAGAAACATATTAAGTCCAGGGCATAAAACCTAAACCACTGCTCATATTTATTCTTTCTAAATAGAGCAAAGTGTAAAATCTTCTCCATAAAATGCACATTGTGCTTATGAAAAGGCCAAAGTCTTAGTGAGAATCATTGGTATTCCATAGAAGAGTGAATTAAACACAGCCAAGGGAAGACCCAAGTCTCATACTTCTCTTGTATATTCCAGAGTTCCAGGGGAATTCCAGGTGATAGAGGTGATCTCCCATACTGTTAAAGCAAGGTTGCAGACACTTGGGGATTTTGGTCCCAGTACTCTAGGAGGTCACACCTCTGTCCTGCAAAATACTACAGGAATGTATACTCTTCCTATGACTCATTCTGGTCATTCTTCCAGCATCACAAAAACCAAAAAAAAAAAAATGGAAATATGTCCAAATACATGATTTGCTATCCCTCCTCTTCAGGTTTCTTACCTGTTACTTACGGATAATAGCATTACCACAGGATTATGATGAAGATACAATGTCCAAATATAAGCTCAGTTTTGAGCAAAATGCCTTGTACGAATTGGTCAATGAACAACTAGTAAATAATTATGTGAATATTTACTGAATTATATGGATCCTATGAATAATTACTGAATAATTCATGTGATTGCTTTTATTGGCAGTGCTGAAAACTCATCCCCGTGTGACCTCAAGTAAGCCATGTAACTCTGTGAACCTGCAGTTTTATCATTTTTAAAATAAAGAAACATGACAGATTTTCATTATGACACAGAATGTCAGGTCTCCCAGATGCCAGAAAATACATTTACTTAAAGCCATTGATACGTCTTAAAGCGGTTTCCTTACAGTGTCATTGGAGGACAGTGTGGAGTGCAGAGAGACATGCTTTGAAATGGGATTGATCCAGTGCTCCTTCCTTCACTACCACATGAATGCTGGGCAGCCCAGGGTCAACCCACCGCACCCTCAACTCAGGCAAGTCCAGCAGCCAATCTTAGGAGACCTGGGCTACAGAACAGTCTCCCAAGTTCCAGGCTCACAAAACCTAGGTGGGGATGAAAGCTGAGAAAGCGAGGAGGTGGTTCAGGGGATCACTCTTTCCTACTCATTCCTCTCATCTCAAACTCACCTTCTACTGCAACACTGAGGATCACCAACCAACCGTGACCATAACCTTGATCTTGCCATGTTCTGTTAGTGGAATGCAACCCAAAATCAATGGTGTTAGGTCATCTGAACAAAATATGTATCAAACCATATTGCATAAGAACCGCTCATGGCCCTGTTCTTTTCAGTATATGGGAAAACAAAATGGAAACAACAAAATAGCATCAGGTTTATGAAACTTCCCAAGATAGATGGTCACACATGTTTTCAGGAGATCTCTATATAAATGATTTTGATCACTTGATACCTTGAAAAGAGCTCTTGTGACACTAGAATGACATCCATAAGTGACAAGTATAAAATGTAGCGCTCAGTGACATCAAAAACCAAATCAACCCACATAGAGGAAGAGCTCTGGACATAGGGATGTCAAACTGGTCTAGAGTGTAATGAAAAGCAAAGATGGTGGCCCAGTGAGAAAAAAGAAATCAACATAACAATGGGAAACAGCAAGAAGAATACTGAGACAGGAAAGACAACATTTTTTACAAATGAATTATTCATTCACTTTCTAGTGGATACAGACAAAACTGCAGAAGACCCAGAGGAAATCAGGGCAGGCTAAAAGTTTGATATCTTACACCTGTGGAAAAGCCTTAAGCTCTGTTTTAACTGAGAGCAGGTGGGGTGACTTCATGACTACCATTAAGAAAATACAACCTGTTGGGAAACTGTTTCTGCCTTGATGATGTTGTACAGACAAGAGATAAACAGTGAGGAATATGCTTAGATGTATTGGGAAAGACACGGGTCTGTGGCATCATCACAAGGGTACACGAATACTGAGAGTGAATGCTGAAGGAATGATCCCCATTGGTGGTGACCCTCAGGTGAGACTAGGGTGCCTGTATTTCAGCAAAGCCTGGGCAATTGGAATGCAGGGCTCCTAAGATTCCATGACACCCCCACCTTCTAATTCTGTTATTGCAACTGCAGACGGTTACCTGGCACGCTGGCCACAGTCTACCTCACTCTTATCAGAGTCTGAGCTACTGGCAGTGCTTTCAGCTCTGAGTTCAGGCACCTCGAACCTTGTTTTTGTGGTGAAGGATCCTAAAGTGCTGTGGGGAGTGATCACATTTTTCACAACAGTAAGTTAAGAATTTCAGTTACTGACATCCCTCAGTCCTGATGAAACCTATTTGATTTCACCAGTTTTTAACCCATCATATGTTTGGGTTTCTTCTCCCCAGTCCCTGGCTCCACCTCTTCTGCCACAAACGTCAGCATGGTGGTATCAGCCGGCCCTTGGTCCAGCGAGAAGGCAGAGACGAACATTCTAGAAATGAATGAGAAATTGCGCCCCCAGCTGGCAGAGAAGAAACAGCAGTTCAGAAACCTCAAAGAGAAATGTTTTGTAACTCAACTGGCCGGCTTCCTGGCCAACCGACAGAAGAAATACAGTAAGATCTATAGGCTCACCATCATGAAAGTGATGAATGATGTCCTGTCTTCTCTCTGAGACACTAAATGCTCTCTCCATCAAAAATAATTTCATCCTTCCTGTACTTCTAGGAAAACAGAAATGGGTATTTTAACATTTTGTTAAAGTTGGAAGACAGAGATACCAAAGTATTTAGCAACTTTCCATGTTTGCAATCAGGTGGGGGTGGGACTAGAGTTAAACTCACAGTTATTGATTTCTAACACAGACACAGAACGACCTGTTTTCTCCAAGAGGCTCAATCATGTTTTCAAGAATCCTCTCTGTACCATATAAGATCCTGCAGACAAATAATATCTAGTCTGTTGTTCTAAATGTCTGAGACTAGTGAACTTTTATTCAGTTCAAGTTTCTGTTGAGGCCCAACAGGCAAAGCTCTGTTCTAGTGACTCTGAGGGGAACTTGGTGATAGTAGCCAGTACCTGCTCTGAGGGACTTCAAGAGGAGTCTGCTCCTAATAGAACCTGTGCTATCTATAAGTGACAGCATCAAGAGCAGGGAGTAGGGGCCGTGCAACGTGGCTCACTCCTGTAATCTCAGCACTTTGGGAGGCTGAGGCGGGCAGAGCACGAGGTGAGGAGTTTGAGACTAGCCTGGGCAACATGGAGAAACCCCATCTCCACTAAAAATACAAAAAGTAGATGGGCGTCGTGGCGGGCAACTGTAATCACCACTAATCGGGAGGCTGAGGCAGAAGAATCCTTTGAACCCAGCAGGCAGATGTTGCAGTGAGCCAAGATTGCACTATTGCACTCCAGCATGGGTGACAGGGCAAGACTCGTCAAAAAACAAACAAACAAAAAGATAAATCAAACAAAAATAAAAATAAAAAGCAGAGAGTACCTTGGTGAGAGTGAAGTCCTGCTTCCTGGTGCACAGGCTCTTGTTCCTAAAGAGGAAGAAAGATCACACCCGAGAATGTGTGGAAGCAGCAGTGCAGTGTGCAAAGCAGGGACCCTCAGCCTGTCTCCTGGGCTCCATCCAAGTTGCTTGTCTTGTCTGTCCCTCAGTTTCCTCATCTGTTCAGAGGGTACTACAATAATACCTACCTCTGTAAATTGCTGCAATGAATTACATGAGGTATTTCCTGTCAATCTCCTTGAACATTAATTGGCACAGTGTAAACACTATCTATTAGTTCTTCATTCTGATGTTTCTAAATTAACACAAACTAATCTTATGCTGTTTCTAAATTAACACAACTAATCTAAATCTTGATGCTGCCTGTCATACTAATAAAGTATTTGGGCATATTTCCTTCATGGCCTTATTGTCTTCTGTCTCACACTTTATGCTTCAGATATGATTCTTAAAACCATATCTGAATATATGATTTAAAAATGAAATGTTTTAAAGTCCTTGACATATTTGTCCTTGAAATACCCAGTAAAAGGGAAACCATCAGTCCCATAGTCCTAGGGGCCTTCCCGACTGTACAAGAAATCACTACTTCATGCCCCAGTGCAGTGTTTCAGAGGAGAGGCTGCCAGGCTTGGGAAAGTGGCCCCGCATTCAGAGTCAGACCTCAGGGGCTGTGAGTTCTGAGTCCACTTCGTTGTGGTTGAATCATCTTGTCAACTTCCTTGATGTGCCTTGAGTTTCTCTTTCTTCGTCTTTAAATTTTGGAGGATAAGATGCCAGAAAGTCAGGAGACTGAAGAGTAAAGATGTGGAAATCCCTGCCTAGAGCCTGGTACTGGGGACAGTTTTGTCCTTGGGATGGACCTGGCTCCTGCCCTGTAGGCAGTGACCACAGCAGCATGTCCAGCCTTCCACTGAGGCAGGTGTGTCTGTCTTTTCTCAGAGTATGAAGAGTGTAAAGACCTCATAAAATTTATGCTGAGGAATGAGCGACAGTTCAAGGAGGAGAAGCTTGCAGAGCAGCTCAAGCAAGCTGAGGAGCTCAGGTGAGGGGACCCCGTTGGGGGAGGCAGGCGGGTAGGTGTGTAGATCTCTGAAGTACAGCAGCTCGGCGGGGAGAAGTAAGAATGAAGCTGGGCCAGGGGAAGGGCAGAAATTGCCATGGCAGGCTCATGACACACAAATATTTATCAGAGAACAAGGATAATAATAAGTTATGTGTTGCAGTTGTTTCTTAGAGCCTTGTTTTCTCTTTTTCAAACAAGTAATTGTTGATGTGAAATTTGCATAACACAAAATTCACCAAAGGAGTGGGAACCACACAGCAGCATTCAGTATACTCAAAATGGTGTGCCATCACCACCCCACTTACCCTTAGTGAGAATCACCTTCTGACTGACTGCGTCTTCTCATTCTTTCACTCAATCAATGTTGCCTTCTCGACCCTGTCACTCTTTTCTTCTTTCATCTTTTCAATTCACGCCATCTGCACCTGGCCTCATTTCTGTACATGGCTTTGTATCTAGTGGCCGCAAGATGCACTATGTGTATTTTCACATGGAAATGTCCATGGCCAGAGTGAGGAACTGAAAGGATGTCTTTTTGAAACGGAATTAGGAAGACACCTACTTTTGTTTACAGAAGGGAAAGATGAATGGAACATCATCGAGGATCTTGCAGGAGCCCTCTCTGATACAGAGGAAGCCTGTAAACCATTTTCTATTCTTTCTCTTAGCCACAGACATTCCTTCCAACATGTGCTGACCTTCTGCTTGGAGGTCTCCTTGAGGACATTGTCTCAGAAATCTCTGTTGCAATATTTGAGCGGATCACTCAACCCTTTCCACTCTTAAATTTTCTCTACCGTCTCACCTTAGGCAATATAAAGTCCTGGTTCACTCTCAGGAACGAGAGCTGACCCAGTTAAGGGAGAAGTTACGGGAAGGGAGAGATGCCTCCCGCTCATTGAATCAGCATCTCCAGGCCCTCCTCACTCCGGATGAGCCAGACAAGTCCCAGGGGCAGGACCTGCAAGAACAGCTGGCTGAGGGGTGTAGACTGGCACAGCAACTTTTCCAAAAGCTCAGCCCAGGTAAGGTGGCCATAGGCCCTGATGACCCAAAACCCCAGGCTTATGAGAGACTCCAGACCTCCATACTTTCACAATGACAGTTGTATCAGTGGGGTTATTTTCTGCTACACATATGTGGCCATGATATGACCAGGACTTCCTGGGTAAGAACAGAGATGGGAAACCCATGGGGTTGGAGGTCACAGTATTGCAAGTGTCCCTCCTTCCTTGATGGAAGGTGGTCTTTGGAGCAAGAGGCAGCATCTGTCTAGTTTTAAAGGACAGGAAGGAGGCTGTGATGGGAGGTCGCTTGTTGGAGTGAAAAGAGCTCTGGGCTAAGAATGAAGGTTCCCAGGCTGTCTTTTTGGCAATGTTCTTAGTAACTGTCGGTGAGTGAGTGATTTATCTTTCCAGAGTTTCTCTCTCTCCATCTGCAAAGGCAGACAAATTGTCTCTTGCAAGGGTCTGAAGCATCCAAATATGGGAACACTTACGAATGCTTTTCAAAATGAGATGCAGCCCCTCTCCGTGTGGTGTTGGAGAAGGCACTTGATGTGGGGGCATTTGGTGGTAGGAAGTGCTTCAGACTGGAGCACTCCCCATGGATAGAATGTCCCTGTATAACACAGCAGAAGCCACTTGGAGGGCCTGTGCAGTCTCATGACGCATAGAGGACTGTGGGACAAGTTTGTCCTCTCCTAAGAGAAAGAATGAGGTTTGAAATGCGAACTGTGACAGGACACCAAACCTGTTCCTGGGAATCAGATCTGTGGCAGGATGGGGGAGACAGCTGCCAAAGTCCAGAGAGAGGCTGCACAAGCCTCCAGTGATATGGGAAGCAAAAGGTCTTTTCAATATTTGGCCACATCTTGATGGTGGCCCTCCAGATCAGAAATGCATTGCCCGATGGACCAGGAAACCATGCCAGGGCATTTTGTGAAAGACAAAACATGACAGTTTTCAGTACAATGCTGAACCACACATAGATGTTCATGTCTCTGTGCACATTGGGCTGACTGTGCTTGGAGAATGGGAAGTGGGAAATATCTGAACGAACATTTTGTATTTACAGAAAATGACGAAGATGAGGATGAAGATGTTCAAGTTGAGGAGGCTGAGAAAGTACTGGAATCATCTGCCCCCAGGTAACACTGAATACTCAGGAGCAAGTAATGGGTGGTAACATATAAAAATGTCTAGGAGGCTCACCCTCTCTGGCATCTATGATGGGCCAAAAGCCCGCATTCGCTTGGCCACAGTATGTGAAATTCAACCCAGCTTAGACACAGGGTGCGGCAGCTGTCGTGTTTCTCTATGTGTGCCAAGTGTCATGTCTGTACCATACAGGGATAGCTGAGTCTTCATCCTCCTCAGCTCCTATCTGTCCAGTGCACTGAACACCAGCTGCTCTCTGGCTCCCATGGCAGCCATGTTCTGTTGCAGAGAGAAGAGGATTGCCTGTTCCCCCTTAAAGGGAACCTCCATTTTGCTTTCTGGGACCACTGTCTTAATGCCGCCTGTCAAAACCAGCTAGGACTCCCTGGGGTCCAATCCCTCTGTGTTTAATCTTCTGTCATCTCTGTCCCACCTGGCTCATCAGGGAGGTGCAGAAGGCTGAAGAAAGCAAAGTCCCTGAGGACTCACTGGAGGAATGTGCCATCACTTGTTCAAATAGCCACGGCCCTTGTGACTCCAACCAGCCTCACAAGAACATCAACATCACATTTGAGGAAGACAAAGTCAACTCAGCTCTGGTTGTAGACAGAGAATCCTCTCATGATGAATGTCAGGATGCTGTAAACATTCTCCCAGGTAGCCTCTATTTTCCTTGTGTCTCATACCTCTGTCTAGGCTATGGAAGATCAATTCTGAGGACAGGCTGTATATGCACATATTGTTTTAGTCAGAAACTAGGATGGAGCTAGGTGCTGTGACTCACACGTAGAATCACAGCACTTTGGAAGGCCCAAGTGGGAGGATGACTTGAGTTCAGGAGTTGAAGACCAGCCTGGACAATATGGTGAAACCCATCTTTACAAAGAATACAAAAAATTAGGCAGGTATGGTGCTGCGTGCCTATAGTCCCAACTGCTCAGGAGACTTAGGTGGGAGGATCGGCTGAGACGATCCTCCCACCCTGGTTCGCTCCTCTCAGGCTAGACTCTCTCTCTTTTTCATTGGCTTGTCTTAGCTATTAATAAGAAGTCTCGGCCGGGCGCGGTGGCTCACACATGTAATCCCAGCACTTTGGGAGGCCGGGGCGGGTAGATCACGAGGTCAGGAGATCGAGACCATCCTGGCTAACACGGTGAAACCCCGTCTCTACTAAAAATAGAAAAAAAAAATTAGCTGGGCGCAGTGTTGGGCGCCTGTAGTCCCAGCTACTTGGGAGGCTGAGGCAGGAGAGTTGCGTGAATCCGGGAGGGGAAGCTTGCAGTGAGCCGAAATTGTACCACTGCACTCCAGCCTGAGCGAAAGAGCGAGACTCCATCTCAAAAAAAAAAAAAAAAAAAAAAAAAAAAAAAAAGGTCTCTGCCAGGGGCGCCAGCTCACATCTTAATCCCAGCACTTTGGGAGGGCGAGGTGGGCGGATCACCTGAGGTCAGGAGTTCAAAACCAGCCTGGCCAACATGGCAAAACCCTATCTCTACTAAAAATACAAAAATTAGCTGGCATGGTGGTTGGCGCTTGTAATCCCAGCTACCTGGGAGGCTGAGAGATGAGAATCGCTTGAACCCGGGAGGCAGAGGTGGCAGTGAGCTGAGATTGTGACACTGCACTGCAGCCTGGGTGACAGAGTGAGACTCCGTCCCAAACAAAAAACAAAAAACCAAAAGATAAAAATATTAAAAAAGCAAAATGCAATCTTTTGTGCTACACAGAAACATTGGCCACTCATGGGGTAAAAATCTCAGGGCCCAGCCTTGCTTTATAGAAACTTATAAGCAAGAAAAGTGTAGAAGTGTTTATGTCCTGGTTTCAAGGTGACTGCATAGCTAAGACAAGTTGACTTAAAGGAGATCAAGACTGGAAATGACAAGAGTGAAACCAGGGAAACAACATTTTCAAATAAGTAGACAAGGCTGCCACTGACATCCCTCAGTGTGATTAAACCTATTTGATTTCACCAGTTTTTAACCCATCATGTGTTTGCCTTTCTTCTCCCCAGTCCCTGGCCCCACCTCTTCTGCCACAAACGTCAGCATGGTGGTATCAGCCGGCCCTTTGTCCAGCGAGAAGGCAGAGATGAACATTCTAGAAATCAACGAGAAATTGCATCCCCAGCTGGCAGAGAAGAAACAGCAGTTCAGAAACCTCAAAGAGAAATGTTTTGTAACTCAACTGGCTGGCTTCCTGGCCAACCAGCAGAACAAATACAGTAAGATCTATAGGCTCACCATCACGAAAGTGATGAATGATGTCCTGTCTTCTCTCTGAGAAACTAAGTGCTCTCTCCATCTAAAATAATGTCATCCTCCCCATACTTCTAGGAAAACAGAAATGGGTATTTTAACATTTTGTTAAAGTTGGAAGAGAGAGGTACCAAAGTATTTAGCAACTTTCCATGTTTGCAATCAGGTGGGGGTGGGACTAGAGTTAAACTGCCATTTATTGATTTCTGACACAGGCACAGAATGACCTGTTTTCTCCAAGAGGCTCAATCATGTTTTCAAGAATCCTCTCTGTACCATGTAAGATCCTGCAGACAAATAACATCTAGTCTGTTGTTCTAAATGTCTGAGACTAGTGAACTTTTATTCAGTTCAAGTTTCTGTTGAGGCCCAACAGGCAAAGCTCTGTTCTAGTGACTCTGAGGGAAACTTGGTGATAGTAGCCAGTACCCGCTCTGAGGGGCTTGAAGAGGAGTCTGCTCCTAATAGAACCTGTGCTATCTATAAGTGACAGCATCAAGAGCAGGGAGTAGGGGCCGTGCATGGTGGCTCACTCCTGTAATCCCAGCCCTTTGGGAGGCTGAGGCGGGCAGATCACGAGGTCAGGAGTTTGAGACCAGCCTGGGCAACATGGAGAAACCCCATCTCCACTAAAAATACAAAAAGTAGATGGGCATGGTGGCAGGTGACTGTAATCACCCCTGCTCAGGAGGCTGAGGCAGGAGAATCCTTTGAACCCAGGAGGCTGAGGTTGCAGTGAGCCATGATTTTGCCATTGCACTCCAGTCTGGGTGACAGGGCAAGACTGGTAAAAATAATAATAATAATAATAATGATAAATAAAAATAATAAGAAGCAGAGTGTAGCTTGGTGAGAGTGAAGTCCTGCTTCCTGGGGCACAGAGTCTTGTTCCTAAAGAGGAAGAAAGATCGCACCTGAGAATGTGTGGAGGTAGCAGTGCAGTGTACAGAGCAGGGACCGTAGGCCTGTCTCCTGGGCTCCATCCAAGTTGCTTGTCTTTTCTGTCCCTCAGTTTCCTCACCTGTTCAGAGGGTACTACAATAATACCTACCTCTGTAAATTGCTGCAGTGAATTACATGAGCTATTTCTTGTCAATCTCCTAGAACATTTATTGGCACACAGTAAACACTATCTATTAGTTCTTCATTCTGCTGTTTCTAAATTAACACAAACTTTATTAGCATTTGGGCATATTTCCTTCATGGCCTTATGGTGTTATGTGTCACACTTTATGCTTCAGATATGATTCTTAAAATCATAACAGAAGATATGATTTAAAAATCAAAGATTTTTAAAATCTTCCGCATACTTGTCTTTGAAATTCCCAGTAAAAGGGAAACCATCAGTCCCATAGTCCTAGGGGCCTTCCCGACTGTACAAGAAATCACTACTTCATGCCCCAGTGCAGTGTTTTAGAGGAGAGGCTGCAAGTCTTGGGAAAGTGGCCCTGCATTCAGAGTCAGACCTCAGGGACTGTGAATTCTGACTCCACTTCGTTGTGGTTGAATCATCTTGTCAACTTCCTTGATGTGCCCTTGAGGTTCTCTTTCTTCATCTCTAAATTTTGGAGGATCAGATGCCAGAAAGTCAGGAGACTGAAGAGTAAAGATGTGGAAATCCCTGTCTAGACCCTGGTACTGGGGAGAGTTTTGTCCTTGGGATGGACCTGGCTCCTGCCCTGTAGGCAATGACCACAGCAGCATGTCCAGCCTTCCACTGAGGCAGGCGTGTCTGTCTTTTCTCAGAATATGAAGAGTGCAAAGACCTCATAAAATCTATGCTGAGGAATGAGCGACAGTTCAAGGAGGAGAAGCTTGCAGAGCAGCTCAAGCAAGCTGAGGAGCTCAGGTGAGGGGACCCCATGGGGGCAGGCGGGGGAGCAGCTGTGTAAATCTCTGAAGTACAGCAGCTCGGTGGGGAGACGTAAGAGCTAAGCTGGGCCAGGGGAAGGGCAGGAATTGCCATGGCAGGCTCGCAACACACAAGTATTTATCAAGCAGAGAAGAAGGATAATAAAAATTTATGGGTTGCAGTTGTTTCTCAGAGCCTTGTTTTCTCTTTTTCAAACAAGTAATTGTTGATGTGAAATTTACATAACACAAAATTAACCAAAGGAGTGTGAACCACACAGCAGCATTCAGTATACTCAAAATGGTGTGCCATCACCACCCCACTTACCCTTAGTGAGAATCGCCTTCTGACTGACTGCGTCTTCTCATTCTTTCACTCAATCAATGTTGCCTTCTCGACCCTGTCATTCTTTTCTTCTTTCGTCTTTTCAATTCACCCCATCTGCACCTGGCCTCATTTCTGTACATGGCTTTGTATCTAGTGGCCGCAAGATGCACTATGTGTATTTTCACATGGAAATGTCCATGGCCAGAGTGAGGAACTGAAAGGATGTCTTTTTGAAACGGAATTAGGAAGACACCTACTTTTGTTTACAGAAGGGAAAGATGAATGGAACATCATCGAGGATCTTGCAGGAGCCCTCTCTGATACAGAGGAAGCCTGTAAACCATTTTCTATTCTTTCTCTTGGCCACAGTCATTCCTTTCAACATGTGCTGACCTTCTGCTTGGAGGTCTCCTTGAGGACATTGTCTCAGAAATCTCTGTTGCAATATTTGAACAGATCACTCAACCCTTTCCACTCTTAAATTTTCTCTACCATCTCACCTTAGGCAATATAAAGTCCTGGTTCACTCTCAGGAACGAGAGCTGACCCAGTTAAGGGAGAAGTTACGGGAAGGGAGAGATGCCTCCCGCTCATTGAGTCAGCATCTCCAGGCCCTCCTCACTCCGGATGAGCCAGACAAGTCCCAGGGGCAGGACCTGCAAGAACAGCTGGCTGAGGGGTGTAGACTGGCACAGCACCTTGTCCAAAAGCTCAGCCCAGGTAAGGTGGCCATAGGCCCTGATGACCCAAAACCCCAGGCTTATGAGAGGCTCCAGACCTCCATACTTTCACAATGACAGTTGTATCAGTGGGGTTTTTTTCTGCTACACATATGTGGCCATGACATGACCAGGACTTCCTGGGTAAGAACAGAGATGGGAAACCCATGGGGTTGGAGGTCACAGTATTGCAAGTGTCCCTCCTTCCTTGATGGAAGGTGGTCTTTGGAGCAAGAGGCAGCATCTGTCTAGTTTTAAAGGACAGGAAGGAGGCTGTGATGGGAGGTCGCTTGTTGGAGTGAAAAGAGCTCTGGGCTAAGAATGAAGGTTCCCAGGCTGTCTTTTTGGCAATGTTCTTAGTAACTGTCGGTGAGTGAGTGATTTATCTTTCCAGAGTTTCTCTCTCTCCATCTGCAAAGGCAGACAAATTGTCTCTTGCAAGGGTCTGAAGCATCCAAATATGGGAACACTTACGAATGCTTTTTAAAATGAGATGAAGCCCCTCTCCGTTTGGTGTTGGAGAAGGCACTTGGTGTAGGGGCATTTGGTGGTAGGAAGTGCTTCAGACTGGAGCACTCCCCGTGGATAGAATGTCCCTGAATAACACAGCAGAAGCCACATGGAGGGCCTGTGCAGTCTCATGACGCATAGAGGACTGTGGGACAAGTTTGTCCTCTCCTAAGAGAAAGAATGAGGTTTGAAATGCGAACTGTGACAGGACACCAAGCCTGTTCCTGGGAATCAGATCTGTGGCAGGATGGGGGAGACAGCTGCCAAAGTCCAGAGAGAGGCTGCACAAGCCTCCAGTGATATGGGAAGCAAAAGGTCTTTTCAATATTTGGCCACATCTTGATGGTGGCCCTCCAGATCAGAAATGCATTGCCCGATGGACCAGGAAACCATGCCAGGGCATTTTGTGAAAGATAAAACATGACAGTTTTCAGTACAATGCTGAACCATACATAGATGTTCATGTCTCTGTGCACATTGGGCTGACTGTGCTTGGAGAATGTGAAGTGGGAAATATCTGAACGAACATTTTGTATTTACAGAAAATGACGAAGATGAGGATGAAGATGTTCAAGTTGAGGAGGCTGAGAAAGTACTGGAATCATCTGCCCCCAGGTAACACTGAATACTCGGGAGCAGGTAATGGGTGGTAACATATGAAAATGTCTAGGAGGTACACCCTCTCTGGCATCTATGATGGGCCAAAAGCCCGCATTCGCTTGGCCACAGTATGTGAAATTCAACCCAGCTTAGACACAGGGTGCGGCAGCTGTCGTGTTTCTCTATGTGTGCCAAGTGTCATGTCTGTACCATACAGGGATAGCTGAGTCTTCATCCTCCTCAGCTCCTATCTGTCCAGTGCACTGAACACCAGCTGCTCTCTTCCTCTCTGGCTCCCATGGCAGCCATGTTCTGTTGCAGAGAGAAGAGGATTGCCTGTTCCCCCTTAAAGGGAACCTCCATTTTGCTTTCTGGGACCACTGTCTTAATGCCGCCTGTCAAAACCAGCTAGGACTCCCTGGGGTCCAATCCCTCTGTGTTTAATCTTCTGTCATCTCTGTCCCACCTGGCTCATCAGGGAGGTGCAGAAGGCTGAAGAAAGCAAAGTCCCTGAGGACTCACTGGAGGAATGTGCCATCACTTGTTCAAATAGCCACGGCCCTTGTGACTCCAACCAGCCTCACAAGAACATCAACATCACATTTGAGGAAGACAAAGTCAACTCAGCTCTGGTTGTAGACAGAGAATCCTCTCATGATGAATGTCAGGATGCTGTAAACATTCTCCCAGGTAGCCTCTATTTTCCTTGTGTCTCATACCTCTGTCTAGGCTATGGAAGATCAATTCTGAGGACAGGCTGTATACGCACATATTGTTTTAGTCAGAAACTAGGATGGAGCTAGGTGCTGTGACTCACACGTAGAATCACAGCACTTTGGAAGGCCCAAGTGGGAGGATGACTTGAGTTCAGGAGTTGAAGACCAGCCTGGACAATATGGTGAAACCCATCTTTACAAAGAATACAAAAAATTAGGCAGGTATGGTGCTGCGTGCCTATAGTCCCAACTGCTCAGGAGAATTAGGTGAGAGGATCGGCTGAGACGATCCTCCCACCCTGGTTCACTCCTCTCAGGCTAGACTCTCTCTCCTTTTCATTGGCTTGTCTTAGCTATTAATAAGAAGTCTCGGCCGGGCGCGGTGGCTCACACATGTAATCCCAGCACTTTGGGAGGCCGGGGCGGGTGGATCACGAGGTCAGGAGATCGAGACCATCCTGGCTAACACGGTGAAACCCCGTCGTTACTAAAAATACAAAAAAAAAAAAAATTAGCTGGGCACGGTGTTGGGCGCCTGTAGTCCCAGCTACTCGGGAGGCTGTGGCAGGAGAATGGCATGAACCCAGGAACCGGAGCCTGCAGTGAGCCTAGATTGTGCCACTGCACTCCAGCCTGGGAGACAGAGCGAGACTCCATCTCAAAAAAAAAAAAAAAAAATGTCTCTGACCAGGGGTGCTGGCTCACATCTTAATCCCAGCACTTTGGGAGGCCGAGGTGGGCGGATCACCTGAGGTCAGGAGTTCGAAACCAGCCTGTCCAAGATGGCGAAACCCCATCTCTACTAAAAATACAAAAATTAGCTGGCATGTTACTTGGCGCTTGTAATCCCAGATGTTTGGCAGGCTGAGGGATGAGAATCGCTTGAACCCGGGAGGCAGAGGTGGCAGTGAGCTGAGATTGTGCCTCTGCACTGCAGCCTGCGTGACAGAGTGAGACTCCGTCTCAAACAAAAAACAAAAAACCAAAAAAGAAAAAAATTAAAAAAGCAAAATGAAACCTTTTGTGCTACACAGAAACATTGGCCACTCATGGGGTAAAAATCTTAGGGCCAAGCCTTGCTTTATAGAAACTTATAAGCAAGAAAAGTGTAGAAGTGTTTATGTCTTGGTTTCAAGGTGACTGCATAGCTAAGACAAGTTGACTTAAAGGAGATCAAGACTGGAGATGACAAGAGTGAAACCAGGGAAACATCATCTTCAAATAAGTAGACAAGGCTGCCAGTGACATCCCTCAGTCCTGATTAAGCCTATTTGATTTCACCAGTTTTTAACCCATCATGTGTTTGCCTTTCTTCTCCCCAGTCCCTGGCCCCACCTCTTCTGCCACAAACGTCAGCATGGTGGTATCAGCCGGCCCTTTGTCCAGCGAGAAGGCAGAGATGAACATTCTAGAAATGAATGAGAAATTGCGCCCCCAGCTGGCAGAGAAGAAACAGCAGTTCAGAAACCTCAAAGAGAAATGTTTTGTAACTCAACTGGCCGGCTTCCTGGCCAACCAGCAGAACAAATACAGTAAGATCTATAGGCTCACCATCACGAAAGTGATGAACGAAGTCCTGTCTTCTCTCTGAGAAACTAAGTGCTCTCTCCATCTAAAATAATGTCATCCTCCCCATACTTCTAGGAAAACAGAAATGGGTATTTTAACATTTTGTTAAAGTTGGAAGACAGAGGTCCCAAAATATTTAGCAACTTTCCATGTTTGCAATCAGGTGGGGGTGGGACTAGAGTTAAACTGCCATTTATTGATTTCTGACACAGGCACAGAATGACCTGTTTTCTCCAAGAGGCTCAATCATGTTTTCAAGAATCCTCTCTGTACCATGTAAGATCCTGCAGACAAATAACATCTAGTCTGTTGTTCTAAATGTCTGAGACTAGTGAACTTTTATTCAGTTCAAGTTTCTGTTGAGGCCCAATATGCAAAGCTCTGTTCTAGTGACTCTGAGGGAAACTTGGTGATAGTAGCCAGTACCCGCTCTGAGGGGCTTCAAGAGGAGTCTGCTCCTAATAGAACCTGTGCTATCTATAAGTGACAGTATCAAGAGCAGGGAGTAGGGGCCGTGCATGGTGGCTCACTCCTGTAATCCCAGCCCTTTGGGAGGCTGAGGCGGGTAGAGCACGAGGTCAGGAGTTTGAGACCAGCCTGGGCAACATGGAGAAACCCCATCTCCACTAAAAATACAAAAAGTAGATGGGCATGGTGGCAGGTGACTGTAATCACCCCTGCTCAGGAGGCTGAGGCAGGAGAATCCTTTGAACCCAGGAGGCTGAGGTTGCAGTGAGCCAAGATTTTGCCATTGCACTCCAGCCTGGGCGACAGGGCAAGACTGTTAAAAAAATAATACTAATAATGATAAATAAAAATAAGAATAAGAAGCAGAATGTAGCTTGGTGAGAGTGAAGTCCTGCTTCCTGGGGCACAGAGTCTTGTTCCTAAAGAGGAAGAAAGATCGCACCTGAGAATGTGTGGAGATAGCAGTGCAGTGTACAGAGCAGAGACCGTGGGCCTGTCTCCTGGGCTCCATCCAAGTTGCTTGTCTTTTCTGTCCCTGTTTCCTCACCTGTTCAGAGGGTACTACAATAATACCTACCTCTGTAAATTGCTGCAGTGAATTACATGAGCTATTTCTTGTCAATCTCCTAGAACATTTATTGGCACACAGTAAACACTATCTATTAGTTCTTCATTCTGCTGTTTCTAAATTAACACAAACTTTATTAACATTTGGGCATATTTCCTTCATGGCCTTATGGTGTTATGTGTCACACTTTATGCTTCAGATATGATTCTTAAAATCATAACAGAAGATATGATTTAAAAATCAAAGATTTTTAAAATCTTTCGCATACTTGTCCTTGAAATTCCCAGTAAAAGGGAAACCATCAGTCCCATAGTCCTAGGGGCCTTCCCGACTGTACAAGAAATCACTACTTCATGCCCCAGTGCAGTGTTTTAGAGGAGAGGCTGCAAGTCTTGGGAAAGTGGCCCCGCATTCAGAGTCAGACCTCAGGGGCTGTGAATTCTGACTCCACTTCGTTGTGGTTGAATCATCTTGTCAACTTCCTTGATGTGCCCTTGAGGTTCTCTTTCTTCATCTCTAAATTTTGGAGGATCAGATGCCAGAAAGTCAGGAGACTGAAGAGTAAAGATGTGGAAATCCCTGTCTAGACCCTGGTACTGGGGAGAGTTTTGTCCTTGGGATGGACCTGGCTCCTGCCCTGTAGGCAATGACCACAGCAGCATGTCCAGCCTTCCACTGAGGCAGGCGTGTCTGTCTTTTCTCAGAATATGAAGAGTGCAAAGACCTCATAAAATCTATGCTGAGGAATGAGCGACAGTTCAAGGAGGAGAAGCTTGCAGAGCAGCTCAAGCAAGCTGAGGAGCTCAGGTGAGGGGACCCCATGGGGGCAGGCAGGGGGGCAGGTGTGTAAATCTCTGAAGTACAGCAGCTCAGTGGGGAGACTTAAGAACTAAGCTGGGCCAGGGGAAGGGCAGGAATTGCCATGGCAGGCTCGCTACACACAAATATTTATCAAACAGAGAAGAAGGATAATAAAAATTTATGGGTTGCAGTTGTTTCTCAGAGCCTTGTTTTCTCTTTTTCAAACAAGTAATTGTTGATGTGAAATTTACATAACACAAAATTAACCAAAGGAGTGTGAACCACACAGCAGCATTCAGTATAGTCAAAATGGTGTGCCATCACCACCCCACTTACCCTTAGTGAGAATCACCTTCTGACTGACTGCGTCTTCTCATTCTTTCACTCAATCAATGTTGCCTTCTCGACCCTGTCATTCTTTTCTTCTTTCATCTTTTCAATTCGCCCCATCTGCACCTGGCCTCATTTCTGTACATGGCTTTGTATCTAGTGGCCGCAAGATGCACTATGTGTATTTTCACATGGAAATGTCCATGGCCAGAGTGAGGAACTGAAAGGATGTCTTTTTGAAACGGAATTAGGAAGACACCTACTTTTGTTTACAGAAGGGAAAGATGAATGGAACATCATCGAGGATCTTGCAGGAGCCCTCTCTGATACAGAGGAAGCCTGTAAACCATTTTCTATTCTTTCTCTTAGCCACAGACATTCCTTCCAACATGTGCTGACCTTCTGCTTGGAGGTCTCCTTGAGGACATTGTCTCAGAAATCTCTGTTGCAATATTTGAGCGGATCACTCAACCCTTTCCACTCTTAAATTTTCTCTACCGTCTCACCTTAGGCAATATAAAGTCCTGGTTCACTCTCAGGAACGAGAGCTGACCCAGTTAAGGGAGAAGTTACGGGAAGGGAGAGATGCCTCCCGCTCATTGAGTCAGCATCTCCAGGCCCTCCTCACTCCGGATGAGCCAGACAAGTCCCAGGGGCAGGACCTCCAAGAACAGCTGGCTGAGGGGTGTAGACTGGCACAGCACCTTGTCCAAAAGCTCAGCCCAGGTAAGGTGGCCATAGGCCCTGATGACCCAAAACCCCAGGCTTATGAGAGACTCCAGACCTCCATACTTTCACAATGACAGTTGTATCAATGGTGTTTTTTTCCACTAAGCTTATGTGGCCATGACATGACCAGGACTTCCTGGGTAAGAACGGAGTTGGGAAACCCATGGGGTTGGAGGTCACAGTATTGCAAGTGTCCCTCCTCCCTTGATGGAAGGTGGTCTTTGGAGTAAGAGGCAGCATCTGTCTAGTTTTAAAGGACAGGAAGGAGGCTGCGATAGGAGCAGGCTTGTTAGAGTGAAAAGAGCTCTGGACTAAGAATGAAGGTTCCCAGGCTGTCTTTTCGGCAATGTTCTTAGTAACTGTCAGTGAGTGAATGACTTGTCTTTCCTGAGTTTCTCTCTCTCCATGGCAAATTGTCTCTTGCAAGGGTCTGAAGCATTCAAATGTGGGAACACTTAAAACTGCTTTCCAAAATGAGATGAAGCCCCTCGCCGTGTGATGTTGGAGAAGGCACTTTATGTGGTGGCGTTTCGTGGTAGGAAGTGCTTCAGACTGGAGCACTCCCCATGGATAGAATGTCCCTGAATAACACAGCAGAAGCCACTTGGAGGCTTGAAATCTTCTGATGCATAGAGGACTGTGGGACAAGTTTGTCTGCTTCTAAGAGAAAGAATTAGGTTTGAAATGCAAACTGTGACAGGACACCAAGCCTGTGCCTGGGAATCAGATCTGGCAGGATGGGGGAGACAGCTGCCAAAGTCCAGAGAGAGGCTGCACAAGCCTCCAGTGATAGGGGAAGCAAAAGGTCTTTTCAATATTTGGCCACATCTTGATGGTGGCCCTCCAGATCAGAAATGCATTGCCTGATGGATCAGGAAACCATGCCAGGGCATTCTGTTAAAGATAAAACATGAGAGTTTTCAGTTGAACGGTGACCCATGCCTAGATGTTCATGTCTCTGTTGCACATTGGGCTGACTGTGCTTGCAGACTGTGAAGTGGGAAATATCTGAACGAACACTTCTGTATTTACAGAAAATGACAACGATGACGATGAAGATGTTCAAGTTGAGGTGGCTGAGAAAGTGCAGAAATCGTCTGCCCCCAGGTAACACTGAATACTCAGGAACAATTAATGGATGGTAACATATGAAGAATATCTAGGAGGCACACCCTCTCTGGCATCTATGATGGGCCAAAAACCCGCATTCGCTTGGCCTCAGTATGTGAAATATAACCCAGCTTAGACACAGGGTGCGGCAGCTGTCATGTTTCTCTATGTGTGCCGAGTGTCATGTCTGCACCGTACAGGGATAGCTGAGTCTTCATCCTCCTCAGCTCCTATCTGTCCAGTGCAATGAACACCAGCTGCTCTCTTCCTCTCTGGTTCCCATGGCAGCCATGCTCTGTTGCAGAGAGAACAGGATTGCATGTACCCTCTTAATGGGAACCTCCAGTTTGCTTTCTGGGACCACTCTCTTAATGCCGCCTGTCAAAACCAGCTAGGACTCCCTGGGGTCCAATCCCTCTGTGTTTAATCTTCTGTCATCTCTGTCCCACCTGGCTCATCAGGGAGATGCCGAAGGCTGAAGAAAAGGAAGTCCCTGAGGACTCACTGGAGGAATGTGCCATCACTTGTTCAAATAGCCATGGCCCTTATGACTCCAACCAGCCACATAGGAAAACCAAAATCACATTTGAGGAAGACAAAGTCGACTCAACTCTCATTGGCTCATCCTCTCATGTTGAATGGGAGGATGCTGTACACATTATCCCAGGTAGCCTCTGTTTTCCTTGTGTCTCATACCTCTCTCTAGGCTGAGGAAGATAAACTCTGAAGACAGGCTCTATAAACACAAATTCATTTGAATAAAAAACTATGATGGGTTTCTAAACAGATATCAGGGAGTTTTTTTGTCCTTCTCAGCTAATGTCATGCCTTTGTCTGCCAGTCCCCAGTATCAAGTTACTCGACCCCAGGCAAGTGTGACAATCTCATAGTCACCTGAGTGCAGGAGGTGCACAGGCAGTATCTGTCAGGCCTCCTAGCTTCGATTCAGTATCTCTTGTCATCTGTGATTAAGTCATCTGTCCCTGAACAATGTCCATGGAGTTTCTATGCCTGTTTCAGGAAGCTGGCAGCCTTGCCTTTGTATTTGGAAATATTGTTCCCCAGGCTTCACTGCTCTCAGCTTTCATCCGGATCTCCTTTAAGTCAGCTTGCTTAGCTGCACAGTCACCCTGAAATCAGGATGGAAACTTTTCTTCTTTACTTTGCTGATATATTTCCATAAAGCAAGGCTGGACCCTGGTTCTCCACCCTGTCAATGCAATGGCTGATCCAATGTTTCTTTGTAGCATCGTGGATTTTTTTTTTTTTTTTTTTTTTTTTTTTTTGCGATGGAGTCTTCCTCTGTCACCCAGGCTAGAGTGCAGTTGCACCATCTTGGCTTGGTGCAACCTCTGCCTCCCAGATTCAAGTGATTCTCCTGCCTCAGCCTCCTGAGTTGCTGGGACCACAGGTGCACAACATCACATCTGGCTAATTTTTGTATTTTTAGTAGAGACAGGGTTTCCCCATATTGGCCAGGGTAGTCCTGAACTCATGACCTCAAATGATTCACCTGTCTTGGCCTCCCAAATCACAGATTCTTTTTAAAGCAAGAGTTGTTCAAATTTATCTATCAGTCGTGTTTCATGTATAGATGCCTCTAAACATTTAATGTCCATGTTATCTGGTGATATAAGTCCGTATTGCAGCAACACTCTTAGAAAATGGACCAATTTTTGGAGATTTTTTTGGGGAAAAAATTTTGTTTAACTTTGACTCAGGCAGGGAATATGGCATTATGGTCTACACGTAGAGGGAGATTTTGGCCTGTGGGTCTGGAAAGCAGGGTCATCTAATTCTCACCAAAGTTAATCTAGGGCACCCTAGAATATTCCTGTCAGAATCCTTATTCTTGCACTGAGAATAGTTATGTCCTTGTGCTATGACTGGACAGTGATTTGGTCATATGTGAAGTATGAATTGCTTAATGTGACCTGCTTCTCTGAATTTATTTACAGAAAATGAAAGTGATGATGAGGAAGAGGAAGAAAAAGGGCCAGTGTCTCCCAGGTAATGTTGTGGAATTGTTGGCTGTTAATTCAGTAGTGACATCTGGAGATTGTAGATTTAGGGAAAATGAGGAAGTGATGAATAGAACTATTTCTTCCATTCACCCAGCTACAAATTGTGCTGATTTACAATGTTGTATGTTATTTGTGGCACTTGTATTGGTTTTAATTTCATAGTCCTCTCAAGATAGGAACTTGCCATCAGATGAGCCAGGTGAACTAGCCAAACAGGGTTTTCTTGTTGATCTTTTCAAAAAACCAGCCCTGGATTCATTGATTTTTTGAAGGGTTTTTTGTGTCTCTATCTCCTTTAGTTCTGCTCTGATCTTAGTTACTTCTTGTCTTCTGCTAGCTTTTGAATTTGTTTGCTTTGCTTCTCTAGTTATTTTAATTGTGATGTTAGGGTGTCAATTTTAGATCTTTTCTGCTTTCTCTTGTGGGCATTTAGTGCTATAATTTTCCCTCTACACATTGCTTTAAATGTGTCCCAGAGATTCTGGTATGTTGTGTCTTTGTTCTCATTGGTTTCAAAGAACATCTTTATTTCTGCCTTCATTTTGTTATTTTCCCAGTAGTCATTCAGGAGCAGGTTGTTCAGTTTCCATGTAGTTGTGCGGTTTTGAGTGAGTTTCTTAATCCTGAGTTCTAATTTGATTGCACTGTGGTCTGACAGTTTGTTGTGGTTTCCATTCTTTTACATTTGCTGAGGAGTGCTTTACCTCCAACTATGTGGTCAATTTTGGAATAAGTGTGATGTGGTGCTGAGAAGAATGTATATTCTGTTGATTTGGGGTGGAGAGTTCTGTAGATGTCTTTTAGGTCTGCTTGGTGGAGAGCTGAGTTCAAGTCCTGGATATCCTTGTAAAGCTTCTGTCTCATTGATCTGTCTAATATTGACAGTGGGGTGTTAAAGTCTCCCATTATGATTGTGTGGAGTCTAAATCTCTTTGTAGGTCTCTCAGGACTTGCTTTATGAATCTGGGTGCTCCTGTATAGGGTGCATATATATTTAGGATAGTTAACTCTTCTTGTTGAATTGATCCCTTTACCATTATATAGTGGCCTTCTTTGTCTCTTTTGATCTTTGTTGGTTTAAAGTCTGTTTTATCAGAGACTAGGATTGCAACCCCTGCATTTTTTTGCTTTCCATTTGCTTGGTAGATCTTCCTCCATCCCTTTATTTTGAGCCTATGTGTGTCTCTGCATGTGAGATGGGTTTCCTGAGTACAGCACACTGATGGGTCTTGACTCTTTGTCCAATTTGCCATTCTGTGTTTTTTAACTGGGGCATTTAGCCCATTTACATTTAAGGTTAATATTGTTATGTGTGAATTTGAGCCTGTCGTTATGATGTTAGCTGGTTATTTCGCCCGTTAGTTGATGCAGTTTCTTCCTAGCGTCAATGGTCTTTACAGTTTGGCATGTTTTTGCAGTGGCTGGTACCGGTTGTTCCTTTCCATGTTTAGTGCTTCCTTTAGGAGCTCTTGTAAGGCAGGCCTGGTGGTGACAAAATCTCTCAGCATTTGCTTCTCTGTAAAGGATTTATTTCTCCTTCACTTATGAAGCTTTGTTTGGCTGGATATGAAATTCTGGGTTGAAAATTCTTTTCTTTAAGAATGTTGAAGATGCTGGAGAGGATGTGGAGAAATAGGAACACTTTTACACTGTTGGTGGGACTGTAAACTAGTTCAACGATTGTGGAAGGCAGTGTGGCAATTCCTCAGGGATCTAGAACTAGAAATACCATTTGACCCAGCCATCCCATTACTGGGTGTATACCCAAAGGATTATAAATCATGCTGCTGTAAAGACACATGCACACATATGTTTATTGCGGCACTATTCACAATAGCAAAGACTTGGAACCAAGCCAAATATCCAGCAATGATAGACTGGATTAAGAAAATGTGGCACGTATACACCATGGAATACTATGCAGCTATAAAAAATGATGAGTTCATGTCCTTTGTAGGGGCATGGATGAAGCTGGAAACCATCATTCTCAGCAAACTATCGCAAGGACAAAAAACCAAGTACCGCATGTTCTTACTCACAGGTGGAAATTGAACAATGAGAACACATGGACACAGGAAGGGGAACATCACACACTGGGGCCTGTTGTAGGGTGGGGGGAGGGAGGAGGGGTAGCATTAGGAGATATACCTAATGTTAAATGATGAGTTAATGGGTGAAGCACACCAATGTGGACATGTATACATATGTAACTAACCTGCACGTTGTGCACATGTACCCTAAGACTTAAAGTATTAAAAAATATATATACATATATATACATACACACAAAAAATAATAAAGGAAAACTATACATATGGAAAAAAAAAAGAATGTTGAATATTGCTCCCACTCTCTTCTGGCTTGTAGGGTTTGTGCCAAGAGATCTGCTGCTAGTCTGATGGGCTTCCCTTTGTGGGTAATCCGACCTTTCTCTCTGGCTGCACTTAGCATTTTTTCCTTCATTTCAACCTTGGTGAATCTGACAATTATGTGTTTTGGGGTTGCTCTTCTCGAGGAGTATCTTTATGGTGTTCTCTGTGTTTCCTGAATTTGAATGTTGGCCTTCCTTACAAGGTTGGGGAAGTCCTCCTGGATAATATCCTGAAGAATGTTTCCCAGCTTGGTTCCATTCTCCCCGTCACTTTCAGTGCACCAATCAAACGTAGATTTGGTCTTTCCACATAGTCCCATATTTATTGGAGGCTTGTTCATTTCTTTTTACTCTTTTTTCTCTAAACTTCTCTTCTCGCTTCATTTCACTAATTTGATCTTGAATCACTGATACCGTTTCTTGCACTTGATCGAATTGACTACTGAAGCTTGTGCATGCATCACGTAGTTCTCGTGCCATGGGTTTCAGCTCCATCAGGTCATTTAAGGTCTTCTCTACACTGTTCATTCTGGTTGGCCATTCGTCTAATCTTTTTTCAAGGTTTTTAGCTTCCTTGCGATGAGTTCGCACATCCTCCTTTAGCTCAGAGAAGTTTGTTATTACCGACTTTCTGAAGCCTACTTCTGTCAGCTCATCAAAGTCATTCTCCATCCTGCTTTGTTCCATTGCTGGCGAGGAGCTGTGATCCTTTGGAGGAGAAGGGATGTCAGGTTTTTGGAATTTTCAGCTTTTGTGCTCTGGTTTCTCCCCACCTTTGTGGTTTTATCTACCCTTGGTCTTTGATGATGGCGACCTACAGATGGGGTTTTGGGGTGGATGTCTTTTTTGTTGATGTTGATGCTATTCCTTTCTGTGTGTTAGTTTTCCTTCTAACAATCAGGTCCCTCAGCTTCAGGTCTGTTGGAGTTTGCTGGAAGTCCACTCCAGACCCTCAAACAGGGATTTCTTGGTGTTGCCTATTCTCTCCCATGTGTTTAAATCCAGGGAGAGATGTATATATGCTTTCTTCCTATTCGTTGGTAGTATGTTGGCTAGTATTTTTGCAAGAAAAGAAATTGAAAAGGTAAATATATTATATCAAAATATTGGGAAAATGGGGCCCTTAATACAGAAGATCTGTGTCTGCACTGCGTCAAGAACTCTCTTCACTTGAATGCTGCATGTAAAATTCAACCCAATTTATGCAAAGTAGTTGAAGCCCTGTGTCAGTTCTCTGTGCTGCAAGTCATGATGGTAGTTTACAGGGAGAGTCTGGGTGCCCTGAGTTGGCTCATCTGTGGCAAATGTACTGAGCACATGCTGCCCATTTTTGCTCTGTCCCCAGAGCAGTCACCCTCCGCCCTGTATTTAGAAGGATAGTTTTATTTCTCTTGAAGGAAAAATGCCTTTGGTTTCTGTGACCACTCCATTCTGTCTCCCATCAGATCATCTGGGAGGTTTTGTTGTCTAATGTCTGTTGGTTAAATCTTCTATCATCCCTGTCCTGCCTGGCTCATCAGGAATCTGCAGGAGTCTGAAGAGGAGGAAGTCCCCCAGGAGTCCTGGGATGAAGGTTATTCGACTCTCTCAATTCCTCCTGAAATGTTGGCCTCGTACCAGTCTTACAGCGGCACATTTCACTCATTAGAGGAACAGCAAGTCTGCATGGCTGTTGACATAGGCGGTGAGTACTCCATTGTGAAGGTGATAAAGCTCCAGTTCATGGCCCAGGTAGACCCCATAATCTTTGGGCCTTGTGCCCCTTGTTGGGCTGAGATTTGCCATCACTGTGGGCTGAACCTATATATCAATGTAGATTTCAATCACTCTGGAGTCGAGTCTGAAGCACAGGCATGGGTGGGTGAGTGAGCTTTGCTCTCTTCCTAGTCTCAGGCCATGCCCGTGCCAACCTGGACTGACTGTCACGACATTGAACTCAAGGCAGGTGTGGCAAGCTCACACCAAACTATGCAGTACATGACCAGGAGTTGTCTGTCAGATCAGCTCATCTGAATTAAATGTCTCTTGCCAGCTACAAAATTCCTTATGAGTTTTGTTCCCAAAGCATGTCTGTGTGGTTCTTTACCTGCCCGAGGCAAGTGTCACCCTTGTCTACCTCTCAGTGAAAGATGTGGCCCAGGTTTCACTGAATTTATTCCCATTTTCTGTGTCTTCTAAGTTCGCTTGCTTTAGCTCATCTGTCCGTCATGTTCCTGGTATGTTTTCTAGATAAATGGCTGACTTTTCACCCACAAAAGCCATAATAGCTGATGCTTCTGTGTAGAACCAAGTTTCATTTTGACTCAAGAGCTGGTACATTGCACCCCTTCATCAAATCTCTGTGTCCACAATCTCATAAACTATCAAATTCTGGGTATTTGATGAGAGAAAGCTTAATATTGAAGTATCTCTCCTATGAGGTGTTAGAACTATTTGCCTACAATTTATTGGAGAAAAAGTTGCTCATTTGTGTACACAAACCTAGGACAGAGCACATAGGGAAGATAACATTCCAAAACAGGGTAATTTTGCCCAAGGCTCATGAAAGAACCCAAGCCAGTTTTCTCAAGACTTGACCTCAGGCCTACTGGAATATTTCTCTCAAAGTCTCCTGTTCTCACACTGACCAGACTGATGTACCTGTGTTAGGATTGGACAGAGGAATGTTTCTGTGTGCAAGGAAGAACTGCTTAATGTAAGAGGCCCCATCTGAATTTATTTGCAGGACATCGGTGGGATCAAGTGAAAAAGGAGGACCAAGAGGCAACAGGTCCCAGGTGAGTCTGAGAAATTGTGGACAGTTAATTTGATGTTGACACCTGGAGATGCCAAGTCCAGGGAAAACAGTACATGCTGAAAATAATGATTTTGTCTTGTCAGACAAGTCTAAATTATGCCTACTACATTGCTTTTTGGTTCTCATTAGAGTAAATGTTTAGGTTTCCATTTATTCCTACCCTTATCATTTACTAACCTAGTGAAGGTTGACCATACCTCAAAAGCTGTATTCTCATGGTGGCTGCAGGGAAACTTGAGCACATTTTATGCAAAATTATTGAGGCCATGCTTCTCATGATCACTGTTCACTGTGTGTCCTGAGAGCACAAATAGAGAATGACCGTTGACTCCCTCATCAGTGTGTCACCTGGCCAATTCACTGAGCTCACTCTGTGTGTGTGTGTGTGTGTGTGTGTGTGTGTGTGTGTGTGTGTCTTTCTCTTCATCCTTTTCTACCTGGCCCTAGTCTATCCCAACATAAAGGCAATAATTTGTTACCTCATTAATGGATCTGTCCTTTTTCTTTTCAAACTCTTCCTTATGTTAGCCATGAAATCTAGCTGGGGCTGTGTGGTTTCTGATTCCCCCTGGCTTATTCTTTACTTTTTCCCACTGTTCCAGGCTCAGCAGGGAGCTGCTGGATGAGAAAGGGCCTGAAGTCTTGCAGGACTCACTGGATAGATGTTATTCAACTCCTTCAGGTTATCTTGAACTGACTGACTCATGCCAGCCCTACAGAAGTGCCTTTTACATATTGGAGCAACAGCGTGTTGGCTGGGCTCTTGACATGGATGGTGAGTACCTTTCTATGAAGGTGATAAGGATCCACTGAGTCTTCTGGTTAGGGTCATATTCCTACTGCAAATGGCCCTTACTGAGCTGAGAGATGTCATTGCCACAGGGAGGACCTATAGGCACATGTAGGTTGAATGAAACTCTAGTTCCACTTGGAAGCCCAGGCAAGGGATGGGTCAGTGAGCAGGGCTCTCTTCCTAGTCTCAGGCCATGCCTGTGGCACCCTAATCCTACTCTCAAGATGTTGGATCTGGGCAGATGTGACAAATTCACACAACTCTGATTTTGTCTCAATTTTGTAGATCTTGTAGATTTCATCCTTCACTCTAATTTCAGCGTCTAAAATCCTCGCTACCATGAAGAATCTGAGTATTTGATGAGACAGGGCTGAATATTGCAGTTTTTCTCCCAGCAACCATTTGGGGGCATTTGCTTTAAATCGATTGGAAAAATATGGCATAACCATTTGCACAAACTTGGGACAAATGATCTTGGGATAACGATCTACCAGAATAGGGAATTTTACCCACAGTTTCTGGGACAAAAACCCAGGAATCTCTATCATGATCAGCCTTCAGGCCTCCTGAAGAAGATCTCTCACAGTGTCCTATTCTCATGCTGAGGAGCCTGAAGTCCCTGTGTGAGGATTAGACAGTGGATTGTTATGTGTGTAGGAGAACCAGCTTAATATGTCTGTCCATGTCTGAACTTATTGCAGAAATTGAAAAGTACCAAGAAGTGGAAGAAGACCAAGACCCATCATGCCCCAGGTAACTTTGAGCAATTATGGATGCTTAATTCTGTGTTGACACCTGGAGATGCCAGGTCCAGGGAAAACAAGAGTATGTTCAATTTCATGTTTTCAACGAAGGTTGAATTACTCCTACTGACATTGCTGTTGGTTTTCCTTGCAGTAGATGTTTAGGTTTCCATTTCTTCCTCCCCTTATCATTTACTAACTTACTGTAGGTTGACCATACCTCAAAGGCTGTATGGCAACTGCATGGAATCTTAAGCAAGTTTATGGAAAATTATTGAGCCCACTCTTTTCATGATCACTGTTCTCTGTGTGTCCCGAGGGCACTAACTCAGAGTGTCCTTTGACCCCTTCATCAGTGTGTCACCCGGCCAATTCGCTGAGCTCACTTTCTCCTCTGTCTCTCTCTCCCTCTCCCTCTCCCTGTCTTTCTCTTTCATTCTTTTCTACCTGGCCCTGGTCTATCCCAACATAAAGGCAATAATTCATTACCTCATTAATGGATCTGCCCTTTTTCTGTTTAAACAGTTCCTTATGTTAGCCATGAAATGTAGCTGGGGCTGTGTGGTTTCTGATTCCCCCTGGCTTATTCTTTACTTTTTCCTACTTTTCCAGGCTCAGCAGGGAGCTGCTGGATGAGAAAGAGCCTGAAGTCTTGCAGGACTCACTGGATAGATGTTATTCGACTCCTTCAGGTTATCTTGAACTGCCTGACTTAGGCCAGCCCTACAGAAGTGCTGTTCACTCATTGGAGGAACAGTACCTTGGCTTGGCTCTTGACGTGGACAGTGAGTACCTTACTATGAAGGTGATAAGCCTCCACCTGGTCTTCCAGATAGGGGTGATATTCCTGTTCCCAGTGGCCCTTACTGACCCGAGAGATGTCATTGCCGCAGGCAGGACCTATGGGCGCATATAGGTTGTAATGAAACTGTAGTCTCCGCTGGAAGCCTAGACATGAAATGGGTCAGTGAGCAAGGCTCTATTCCTAGTCTCCAGCCATGCCTGTGGCAACCTGAGCCCGCTCTCAGCACATTGGACCCAGGCAGATGTAAAAAATTCACAGAACTATGATTTGGACTCAAGGGTTTGTAGATTTCCTCCCTCATTCTAATTTCAGTGTCTAAAATTCTTGCATCCATGAACGAGCTGGGCATTTGATGAGACAGGGCTGAATACTGCAGTTTTCCTCCTAGAAATCATCTGGGGCATTGTCTTTGAACTGATGGGAACAATAAGGCATAACTGTTTGCACAAACTTGGGATAAATGATTTTGGGATAACGATCTACCAGAATAGGGATATTTCACCCTTGGTTCTGAGATGCAAACCAAAGAATATCATGACCAGCTTTCAGGCCTCCTGAAGTATATCTCTCACATTGTCCTGTTCTCTTGCTGAGGAGCCTGAGATCCCTGTGTGGGGATTAGACAGTGGACTGTTACGGGTGTAGGTGAATTGGCTTATTTTGTCTGTCCCTGTCTGAATGTATTGCAGGAATTAAAAAGGACCAGGAAGAGGAAGAAGACCAAGGCCCACCATGCCCCAGGTAACTGAGCAATTGTGAACAGCTACTTCTGTGTTGACATCTGGAGACTCCTGGTTCAGGGAAAACAGGGCGGGCTGACATTATCGATTACATCTTTTCAACCGAGCCTGAATTATTCCTACTAACATTGCTGTTGGTTTTCATTGCAGTAGATATTTAGGTTTCCATTTCTTCCTCCCCTTATCATTTACTAACCTACTGTAGGTGGACCAGACTTCAAAAACTGTATTCTCATGGCGACTGCATGGAAACTTGAGCACATTTTATGGAAAATTATTGAGCACAGTCCTTTCCTGATCACTGTATGCTGTGTGTCCTGAGGGCACTAACTCAGAGTGTCCTGTTACTCCCTCATCAGTGTGTCACCTGGACAATTCACTGAGCTCATTCTCTGTGTGTGTGTGTGTGTGTGTGTGTGTGTGTGTGTGTGTGTGTGTGTCTATCTGTCTTTCTCTTTCATTCTTTTCCATTTGGCCCTGTTCTGTCCCAACATGAAGGCAATAATTTGTTACCTCATTAATGGATCTCTCCTTTTACTTTTTCAACCACTTCCTTATGCTACCCATGAAACCTAGTTGGGGCTCTGTTGTGTCTGATTTCCCCTGGCTTATTCTTTACTTTTTCCTCCTTTTCCAGGCTCAGCAGGGAGCTGCTGGAGGCAGTAGAGCCTGAAGTCTTGCAGGACTCACTGGATAGATGTTATTCAACTCCTTCCAGTTGTCTTGAACAGCCTGACTCCTGCCTGCCCTATGGAAGTTCCTTTTATGCATTGGAGGAAAAACATGTTGGCTTTTCTCTTGACGTGGGAGGTGAGTACCTTTCTATGAAGGTGATAAGGATCCACTGAGTCTTCCATATAAAGATCATATTCCTGCTCCAAGTGGCCATTACTGAGCTGAGAGATGTCATTGCTGCAGTGAGGACCTATAGGCACATGTAGGTTGAATGAAACTCTAGTTCTAACTGGAAGCCCAGACATGGGATGGGTCAGTGAGCATGGCTCTCTTCCTAGTCTCAGGCCATGCCTGTGGCACTCTGATTCTACTCTCATGACATTGGACCTGGGCAGATGTGACAAATTCAGAGAACTATGATTTTGACTCAAGGGTTTGTAGATTTCCTTTTTCACTCTAATTTCAGTGTCTAAAGTCCTCACAACCATGAACAATCTGAGTATTTGATGAGACAGGGCTAAATATTGCAGTTTTTCTCCTAGAAATCATTTGAGGGTATTTGCTTTAAATTGATTGGAAAAATATGGCATAACTGTTTGCACAAACTCGGGACAAATGATATTGGGATAACGATCTACTAGAATAGGGACATTTTACCCACAGTTTCTGGGAGAAAAACCGAGGAATTTCTATCATGACCAGCCTTCAGGCCTCCTGAAATATATCTCTCACAGTCTCCTATTCTTATGCTGAGGAGCCTGAGGTCCCTGTGTGAGGATTAGACAGTGGATTGTTATGTGTGTAGGGGAATCAGCTTAATGTGTCTGTCCATGTCTGAATTTATTGCAGAAATTGAAAAGAAGGGGAAGGGGAAGAAAAGAAGGGGAAGAAGATCAACGAAGAAAAGAAGGAGAAGGGGAAGAAAAGAAGGGGAAGAAGATCAAAACCCACCATGCCCCAGGTAACTTTCAGCAATTGTGGATGCTTAATTCTGTGTTAACACCTGGAGGCAACAGATTCAGGGAAACCAGAGTGTGTTTGATTTCATGTTTTCAACGAAGGCTGAATTACTCCTACTGTCATTGCTGTTGGTTTTCATTGCAGTAGATGTTTGGGTTTCCATTTCTTCCTCCCCTTATCATTTACTAACGTACCATAGGATGACCATACTTCAAAAGCTGTACTCTCGTGGCCACTGCATCGAATTTTGAGCATATTTTATGGAAAACTATTGAGCTCACTCTTTTCATGATCGCAGTTTGCTGTGTGTCATGAGGGCACTAACTCAGAGTGTCCTTTTACTCCCTTACCAGTATGTCACCTGGCCAATTCACTAGCTCACTTTCTCTCTGTCTCTGTCTCTGTCTCTGTCTCTCTGTCTTTCTCTTTCATTGTTTTCTACCTGGCCCTGTTCTATCCCAACATAAAGGCAATAATTTGTTACCTCATTAATGGATCTGTCCTTTTTCTTTTCAAACTCTTCCTTATGTTAGCCATGAAATCTAGCTGGGGCTGTGTGGTTTCTGATTTCCCCTGGCTTATTCTTTACTTTTTCCCACTGTTCCAGGCTCAGCAGGGAGCTGCTGGATGAGAAAGGGCCTGAAGTCTTGCAGGACTCACTGGATAGATGTTATTCAACTCCTTCAGGTTATCTTGAACTGACTGACTCATGCCAGCCCTACAGAAGTGCCTTTTACATATTGGAGCAACAGCGTGTTGGCTGGGCTCTTGACATGGATGGTGAGTACCTTTCTATGAAGGTGATAAGGATCCACTGAGTCTTCTGGTTAGGGTCATATTCCTACTGCAAATGGCCCTTACTGAGCTGAGAGATGTCATTGCCACAGGGAGGACCTATAGGCACATGTAGGTTGAATGAAACTCTAGTTCCACTTGGAAGCCCAGGCAAGGGATGGGTCAGTGAGCAGGGCTCTCTTCCTAGTCTCAGGCCATGCCTGTGGCACCCTAATCCTACTCTCAAGATGTTGGATCTGGGCAGATGTGACAAATTCACACAACTCTGATTTTGTCTCAATTTTGTAGATCTTGTAGATTTCATCCTTCACTCTAATTTCAGCATCTAAAATCCTCGCTACCATGAAGAATCTGAGTATTTGATGAGACAGGGCTGAATATTGCAGTTTTTCTCCCAGCAACCATTTGGGGGCATTTGCTTTAAATCGATTGGAAAAATATGGCATAACCATTTGCACAAACTTGGGACAAATGATCTTGGGATAACGATCTACCAGAATAGGGAATTTTACCCACAGTTTCTGGGACAAAAACCCAGGAATCTCTATCATGATCAGCCTTCAGGCCTCCTGAAGAAGATCTCTCACAGTGTCCTATTCTCATGCTGAGGAGCCTGAAGTCCCTGTGTGAGGATTAGACAGTGGATTGTTATGTGTGTAGGAGAACCAGCTTAATATGTCTGTCCATGTCTGAACTTATTGCAGAAATTGAAAAGTACCAAGAAGTGGAAGAAGACCAAGACCCATCATGCCCCAGGTAACTTTGAGCAATTATGGATGCTTAATTCTGTGTTGACACCTGGAGATGCCAGGTCCAGGGAAAACAAGAGTATGTTCAATTTCATGTTTTCAACGAAGGTTGAATTACTCCTACTGACATTGCTGTTGGTTTTCCTTGCAGTAGATGTTTAGGTTTCCATTTCTTCCTCCCCTTATCATTTACTAACTTACTGTAGGTTGACCATACCTCAAAGGCTGTATGGCAACTGCATGGAATCTTAAGCAAGTTTATGGAAAATTATTGAGCCCACTCTTTTCATGATCACTGTTCTCTGTGTGTCCCGAGGGCACTAACTCAGTGTCCTTTGACCCCTTCATCAGTGTGTCACCCGGCCAATTCGCTGAGCTCACTTTCTCCTCTGTCTCTCTCTCCCTCTCCCTCTCCCTGTCTTTCTCTTTCATTCTTTTCTACCTGGCCCTGGTCTATCCCAACATAAAGGCAATAATTCATTACCTCATTAATGGATCTGCCCTTTTTCTGTTTAAACAGTTCCTTATGTTAGCCATGAAATGTAGCTGGGGCTGTGTGGTTTCTGATTCCCCCTGGCTTATTCTTTACTTTTTCCTACTTTTCCAGGCTCAGCAGGGAGCTGCTGGATGAGAAAGAGCCTGAAGTCTTGCAGGACTCACTGGATAGATGTTATTCGACTCCTTCAGGTTATCTTGAACTGCCTGACTTAGGCCAGCCCTACAGAAGTGCTGTTCACTCATTGGAGGAACAGTACCTTGGCTTGGCTCTTGACGTGGACAGTGAGTACCTTACTATGAAGGTGATAAGCCTCCACCTGGTCTTCCAGATAAGGGTGATATTCCTGTTCCCAGTGGCCCTTACTGACCCGAGAGATGTCATTGCCGCAGGCAGGACCTATGGGCGCATATAGGTTGTAATGAAACTGTAGTCTCCGCTGGAAGCCTAGACATGAAATGGGTCAGTGAGCAAGGCTCTATTCCTAGTCTCCAGCCATGCCTGTGGCAACCTGAGCCCGCTCTCAGCACATTGGACCCAGGCAGATGTAAAAAATTCACAGAACTATGATTTGTACTCAAGGGTTTGTAGATTTCCTCCCTCATTCTAATTTCAGTGTCTAAAATTCTTGCATCCATGAACGAGCTGGGCATTTGATGAGACAGGGCTGAATGCTGCAGTTTTCCTCCTAGAAATCATCTGGGGCATTGTCTTTGAACTGATGGGAACAATAAGGCATAACTGTTTGCACAAACTTGGGATAAATGATTTTGGGATAACGATCTACCAGAATAGGGATATTTCGCCCTTGGTTCTGAGATGCAAACCAAAGAATATCATGACCAGCTTTCAGGCCTCCTGAAGTATATCTCTCACATTGTCCTGTTCTCTTGCTGAGGAGCCTGAGATCCCTGTGTGGGGATTAGACAGTGGACTGTTACGGGTGTAGGTGAATTGGCTTATTTTGTCTGTCCCTGTCTGAATGTATTGCAGGAATTAAAAAGGACCAGGAAGAGGAAGAAGACCAAGGCCCACCATGCCCCAGGTAACTGAGCAATTGTGAACAGCTACTTCTGTGTTGACATCTGGAGACTCCTGGTTCAGGGAAAACAGGGCGGGCTGACATTATCGATTACATCTTTTCAACCGAGCCTGAATTATTCCTACTAACATTGCTGTTGGTTTTCATTGCAGTAGATATTTAGGTTTCCATTTCTTCCTCCCCTTATCATTTACTAACCTACTGTAGGTGGACCAGACTTCAAAAACTGTATTCTCATGGCGACTGCATGGAAACTTGAGCACATTTTATGGAAAATTATTGAGCACAGTCCTTTCCTGATCACTGTATGCTGTGTGTCCTGAGGGCACTAACTCAGAGTGTCCTGTTACTCCCTCATCAGTGTGTCACCTGGACAATTCACTGAGCTCATTCTCTGTGTGTGTGTGTGTGTGTGTGTGTGTGTGTGTGTGTGTGTGTGTGTCTATCTGTCTTTCTCTTTCATTCTTTTCCATTTGGCCCTGTTCTGTCCCAACATGAAGGCAATAATTTGTTACCTCATTAATGGATCTCTCCTTTTACTTTTTCAACCACTTCCTTATGCTACCCATGAAACCTAGTTGGGGCTCTGTTGTGTCTGATTTCCCCTGGCTTATTCTTTACTTTTTCCTCCTTTTCCAGGCTCAGCAGGGAGCTGCTGGAGGCAGTAGAGCCTGAAGTCTTGCAGGACTCACTGGATAGATGTTATTCAACTCCTTCCAGTTGTCTTGAACAGCCTGACTCCTGCCTGCCCTATGGAAGTTCCTTTTATGCATTGGAGGAAAAACATGTTGGCTTTTCTCTTGACGTGGGAGGTGAGTACCTTTCTATGAAGGTGATAAGGATCCACTGAGTCTTCCATATAAAGATCATATTCCTGCTCCAAGTGGCCATTACTGAGCTGAGAGATGTCATTGCTGCAGTGAGGACCTATAGGCACATGTAGGTTGAATGAAACTCTAGTTCTAACTGGAAGCCCAGACATGGGATGGGTCAGTGAGCATGGCTCTCTTCCTAGTCTCAGGCCATGCCTGTGGCACTCTGATTCTACTCTCATGACATTGGACCTGGGCAGATGTGACAAATTCAGAGAACTATGATTTTGACTCAAGGGTTTGTAGATTTCCTTTTTCACTCTAATTTCAGTGTCTAAAGTCCTCACAACCATGAACAATCTGAGTATTTGATGAGACAGGGCTAAATATTGCAGTTTTTCTCCTAGAAATCATTTGAGGGTATTTGCTTTAAATTGATTGGAAAAATATGGCATAACTGTTTGCACAAACTCGGGACAAATGATATTGGGATAACGATCTACTAGAATAGGGACATTTTACCCACAGTTTCTGGGAGAAAAACCGAGGAATTTCTATCATGACCAGCCTTCAGGCCTCCTGAAATATATCTCTCACAGTCTCCTATTCTTATGCTGAGGAGCCTGAGGTCCCTGTGTGAGGATTAGACAGTGGATTGTTATGTGTGTAGGGGAATCAGCTTAATGTGTCTGTCCATGTCTGAATTTATTGCAGAAATTGAAAAGAAGGGGAAGGGGAAGAAAAGAAGGGGAAGAAGATCAACGAAGAAAAGAAGGAGAAGGGGAAGAAAAGAAGGGGAAGAAGATCAAAACCCACCATGCCCCAGGTAACTTTCAGCAATTGTGGATGCTTAATTCTGTGTTAACACCTGGAGGCAACAGATTCAGGGAAACCAGAGTGTGTTTGATTTCATGTTTTCAACGAAGGCTGAATTACTCCTACTGTCATTGCTGTTGGTTTTCATTGCAGTAGATGTTTGGGTTTCCATTTCTTCCTCCCCTTATCATTTACTAACGTACCATAGGATGACCATACTTCAAAAGCTGTACTCTCGTGGCCACTGCATCGAATTTTGAGCATATTTTATGGAAAACTATTGAGCTCACTCTTTTCATGATCGCAGTTTGCTGTGTGTCATGAGGGCACTAACTCAGAGTGTCCTTTTACTCCCTTACCAGTATGTCACCTGGCCAATTCACTAGCTCACTTTCTCTCTGTCTCTGTCTCTGTCTCTGTCTCTCTGTCTTTCTCTTTCATTGTTTTCTACCTGGCCCTGTTCTATCCCAACATAAAGGCAATAATTTGTTACCTCATTAATGGATCTGTCCTTTTTCTTTTCAAACTCTTCCTTATGTTAGCCATGAAATCTAGCTGGGGCTGTGTGGTTTCTGATTTCCCCTGGCTTATTCTTTACTTTTTCCCACTGTTCCAGGCTCAGCAGGGAGCTGCTGGATGAGAAAGGGCCTGAAGTCTTGCAGGACTCACTGGATAGATGTTATTCAACTCCTTCAGGTTATCTTGAACTGACTGACTCATGCCAGCCCTACAGAAGTGCCTTTTACATATTGGAGCAACAGCGTGTTGGCTGGGCTCTTGACATGGATGGTGAGTACCTTTCTATGAAGGTGATAAGGATCCACTGAGTCTTCTGGTTAGGGTCATATTCCTACTGCAAATGGCCCTTACTGAGCTGAGAGATGTCATTGCCACAGGGAGGACCTATAGGCACATGTAGGTTGAATGAAACTCTAGTTCCACTTGGAAGCCCAGGCAAGGGATGGGTCAGTGAGCAGGGCTCTCTTCCTAGTCTCAGGCCATGCCTGTGGCACCCTAATCCTACTCTCAAGATGTTGGATCTGGGCAGATGTGACAAATTCACACAACTCTGATTTTGTCTCAATTTTGTAGATCTTGTAGATTTCATCCTTCACTCTAATTTCAGCATCTAAAATCCTCGCTACCATGAAGAATCTGAGTATTTGATGAGACAGGGCTGAATATTGCAGTTTTTCTCCCAGCAACCATTTGGGGGCATTTGCTTTAAATCGATTGGAAAAATATGGCATAACCATTTGCACAAACTTGGGACAAATGATCTTGGGATAACGATCTACCAGAATAGGGAATTTTACCCACAGTTTCTGGGACAAAAACCCAGGAATCTCTATCATGATCAGCCTTCAGGCCTCCTGAAGAAGATCTCTCACAGTGTCCTATTCTCATGCTGAGGAGCCTGAAGTCCCTGTGTGAGGATTAGACAGTGGATTGTTATGTGTGTAGGAGAACCAGCTTAATATGTCTGTCCATGTCTGAACTTATTGCAGAAATTGAAAAGTACCAAGAAGTGGAAGAAGACCAAGACCCATCATGCCCCAGGTAACTTTGAGCAATTATGGATGCTTAATTCTGTGTTGACACCTGGAGATGCCAGGTCCAGGGAAAACAAGAGTATGTTCAATTTCATGTTTTCAACGAAGGTTGAATTACTCCTACTGACATTGCTGTTGGTTTTCCTTGCAGTAGATGTTTAGGTTTCCATTTCTTCCTCCCCTTATCATTTACTAACTTACTGTAGGTTGACCATACCTCAAAGGCTGTATGGCAACTGCATGGAATCTTAAGCAAGTTTATGGAAAATTATTGAGCCCACTCTTTTCATGATCACTGTTCTCTGTGTGTCCCGAGGGCACTAACTCAGTGTCCTTTGACCCCTTCATCAGTGTGTCACCCGGCCAATTCGCTGAGCTCACTTTCTCCTCTGTCTCTCTCTCCCTCTCCCTCTCCCTGTCTTTCTCTTTCATTCTTTTCTACCTGGCCCTGGTCTATCCCAACATAAAGGCAATAATTCATTACCTCATTAATGGATCTGCCCTTTTTCTGTTTAAACAGTTCCTTATGTTAGCCATGAAATGTAGCTGGGGCTGTGTGGTTTCTGATTCCCCCTGGCTTATTCTTTACTTTTTCCTACTTTTCCAGGCTCAGCAGGGAGCTGCTGGATGAGAAAGAGCCTGAAGTCTTGCAGGACTCACTGGATAGATGTTATTCGACTCCTTCAGGTTATCTTGAACTGCCTGACTTAGGCCAGCCCTACAGAAGTGCTGTTCACTCATTGGAGGAACAGTACCTTGGCTTGGCTCTTGACGTGGACAGTGAGTACCTTACTATGAAGGTGATAAGCCTCCACCTGGTCTTCCAGATAAGGGTGATATTCCTGTTCCCAGTGGCCCTTACTGACCCGAGAGATGTCATTGCCGCAGGCAGGACCTATGGGCGCATATAGGTTGTAATGAAACTGTAGTCTCCGCTGGAAGCCTAGACATGAAATGGGTCAGTGAGCAAGGCTCTATTCCTAGTCTCCAGCCATGCCTGTGGCAACCTGAGCCCGCTCTCAGCACATTGGACCCAGGCAGATGTAAAAAATTCACAGAACTATGATTTGTACTCAAGGGTTTGTAGATTTCCTCCCTCATTCTAATTTCAGTGTCTAAAATTCTTGCATCCATGAACGAGCTGGGCATTTGATGAGACAGGGCTGAATGCTGCAGTTTTCCTCCTAGAAATCATCTGGGGCATTGTCTTTGAACTGATGGGAACAATAAGGCATAACTGTTTGCACAAACTTGGGATAAATGATTTTGGGATAACGATCTACCAGAATAGGGATATTTCGCCCTTGGTTCTGAGATGCAAACCAAAGAATATCATGACCAGCTTTCAGGCCTCCTGAAGTATATCTCTCACATTGTCCTGTTCTCTTGCTGAGGAGCCTGAGATCCCTGTGTGGGGATTAGACAGTGGACTGTTACGGGTGTAGGTGAATTGGCTTATTTTGTCTGTCCCTGTCTGAATGTATTGCAGGAATTAAAAAGGACCAGGAAGAGGAAGAAGACCAAGGCCCACCATGCCCCAGGTAACTGAGCAATTGTGAACAGCTACTTCTGTGTTGACATCTGGAGACTCCTGGTTCAGGGAAAACAGGGCGGGCTGACATTATCGATTACATCTTTTCAACCGAGCCTGAATTATTCCTACTAACATTGCTGTTGGTTTTCATTGCAGTAGATATTTAGGTTTCCATTTCTTCCTCCCCTTATCATTTACTAACCTACTGTAGGTGGACCAGACTTCAAAAACTGTATTCTCATGGCGACTGCATGGAAACTTGAGCACATTTTATGGAAAATTATTGAGCACAGTCCTTTCCTGATCACTGTATGCTGTGTGTCCTGAGGGCACTAACTCAGAGTGTCCTGTTACTCCCTCATCAGTGTGTCACCTGGACAATTCACTGAGCTCATTCTCTGTGTGTGTGTGTGTGTGTGTGTGTGTGTGTGTGTGTGTGTGTGTGTCTATCTGTCTTTCTCTTTCATTCTTTTCCATTTGGCCCTGTTCTGTCCCAACATGAAGGCAATAATTTGTTACCTCATTAATGGATCTCTCCTTTTACTTTTTCAACCACTTCCTTATGCTACCCATGAAACCTAGTTGGGGCTCTGTTGTGTCTGATTTCCCCTGGCTTATTCTTTACTTTTTCCTCCTTTTCCAGGCTCAGCAGGGAGCTGCTGGAGGCAGTAGAGCCTGAAGTCTTGCAGGACTCACTGGATAGATGTTATTCAACTCCTTCCAGTTGTCTTGAACAGCCTGACTCCTGCCTGCCCTATGGAAGTTCCTTTTATGCATTGGAGGAAAAACATGTTGGCTTTTCTCTTGACGTGGGAGGTGAGTACCTTTCTATGAAGGTGATAAGGATCCACTGAGTCTTCCATATAAAGATCATATTCCTGCTCCAAGTGGCCATTACTGAGCTGAGAGATGTCATTGCTGCAGTGAGGACCTATAGGCACATGTAGGTTGAATGAAACTCTAGTTCTAACTGGAAGCCCAGACATGGGATGGGTCAGTGAGCATGGCTCTCTTCCTAGTCTCAGGCCATGCCTGTGGCACTCTGATTCTACTCTCATGACATTGGACCTGGGCAGATGTGACAAATTCAGAGAACTATGATTTTGACTCAAGGGTTTGTAGATTTCCTTTTTCACTCTAATTTCAGTGTCTAAAGTCCTCACAACCATGAACAATCTGAGTATTTGATGAGACAGGGCTAAATATTGCAGTTTTTCTCCTAGAAATCATTTGAGGGTATTTGCTTTAAATTGATTGGAAAAATATGGCATAACTGTTTGCACAAACTCGGGACAAATGATATTGGGATAACGATCTACTAGAATAGGGACATTTTACCCACAGTTTCTGGGAGAAAAACCGAGGAATTTCTATCATGACCAGCCTTCAGGCCTCCTGAAATATATCTCTCACAGTCTCCTATTCTTATGCTGAGGAGCCTGAGGTCCCTGTGTGAGGATTAGACAGTGGATTGTTATGTGTGTAGGGGAATCAGCTTAATGTGTCTGTCCATGTCTGAATTTATTGCAGAAATTGAAAAGAAGGGGAAGGGGAAGAAAAGAAGGGGAAGAAGATCAACGAAGAAAAGAAGGAGAAGGGGAAGAAAAGAAGGGGAAGAAGATCAAAACCCACCATGCCCCAGGTAACTTTCAGCAATTGTGGATGCTTAATTCTGTGTTAACACCTGGAGGCAACAGATTCAGGGAAACCGGAGTGTGTTTGATTTCATGTTTTCAACGAAGGCTGAATTACTCCTACTGTCATTGCTGTTGGTTTTCATTGCAGTAGATGTTTGGGTTTCCATTTCTTCCTCCCCTTATCATTTACTAACGTACCATAGGATGACCATACTTCAAAAGCTGTACTCTCGTGGCCACTGCATCGAATTTTGAGCATATTTTATGGAAAACTATTGAGCTCACTCTTTTCATGATCGCAGTTTGCTGTGTGTCATGAGGGCACTAACTCAGAGTGTCCTTTTACTCCCTTACCAGTATGTCACCTGGCCAATTCACTAGCTCACTTTCTCTCTGTCTCTGTCTCTGTCTCTGTCTCTCTGTCTTTCTCTTTCATTGTTTTCTACCTGGCCCTGTTCTATCCCAACATAAAGGCAATAATTTGTTACCTCATTAATGGATCTGTCCTTTTTCTTTTCAAACTCTTCCTTATGTTAGCCATGAAATCTAGCTGGGGCTGTGTGGTTTCTGATTTCCCCTGGCTTATTCTTTACTTTTTCCCACTGTTCCAGGCTCAGCAGGGAGCTGCTGGATGAGAAAGGGCCTGAAGTCTTGCAGGACTCACTGGATAGATGTTATTCAACTCCTTCAGGTTATCTTGAACTGACTGACTCATGCCAGCCCTACAGAAGTGCCTTTTACATATTGGAGCAACAGCGTGTTGGCTGGGCTCTTGACATGGATGGTGAGTACCTTTCTATGAAGGTGATAAGGATCCACTGAGTCTTCTGGTTAGGGTCATATTCCTACTGCAAATGGCCCTTACTGAGCTGAGAGATGTCATTGCCACAGGGAGGACCTATAGGCACATGTAGGTTGAATGAAACTCTAGTTCCACTTGGAAGCCCAGGCAAGGGATGGGTCAGTGAGCAGGGCTCTCTTCCTAGTCTCAGGCCATGCCTGTGGCACCCTAATCCTACTCTCAAGATGTTGGATCTGGGCAGATGTGACAAATTCACACAACTCTGATTTTGTCTCAATTTTGTAGATCTTGTAGATTTCATCCTTCACTCTAATTTCAGTGTCTAAAATCCTCGCTACCATGAAGAATCTGAGTATTTGATGAGACAGGGCTGAATATTGCAGTTTTTCTCCCAGCAACCATTTGGGGGCATTTGCTTTAAATCGATTGGAAAAATATGGCATAACCATTTGCACAAACTTGGGACAAATGATCTTGGGATAACGATCTACCAGAATAGGGAATTTTACCCACAGTTTCTGGGACAAAAACCCAGGAATCTCTATCATGATCAGCCTTCAGGCCTCCTGAAGAAGATCTCTCACAGTGTCCTATTCTCATGCTGAGGAGCCTGTAGTCCCTGTGTGAGGATTAGACAGTGGATTGTTATGTGTGTAGGAGAACCAGCTTAATATGTCTGTCCATGTCTGAACTTATTGCAGAAATTGAAAAGTACCAAGAAGTGGAAGAAGACCAAGACCCATCATGCCCCAGGTAACTTTGAGCAATTATGGATGCTTAATTCTGTGTTGACACCTGGAGATGCCAGGTCCAGGGAAAACAAGAGTATGTTCAATTTCATGTTTTCAACGAAGGTTGAATTACTCCTACTGACATTGCTGTTGGTTTTCCTTGCAGTAGATGTTTAGGTTTCCATTTCTTCCTCCCCTTATCATTTACTAACTTACTGTAGGTTGACCATACCTCAAAGGCTGTATGGCAACTGCATGGAATCTTAAGCAAGTTTATGGAAAATTATTGAGCCCACTCTTTTCATGATCACTGTTCTCTGTGTGTCCCGAGGGCACTAACTCAGTGTCCTTTGACCCCTTCATCAGTGTGTCACCCGGCCAATTCGCTGAGCTCACTTTCTCCTCTGTCTCTCTCTCCCTCTCCCTCTCCCTGTCTTTCTCTTTCATTCTTTTCTACCTGGCCCTGGTCTATCCCAACATAAAGGCAATAATTCATTACCTCATTAATGGATCTGCCCTTTTTCTGTTTAAACAGTTCCTTATGTTAGCCATGAAATGTAGCTGGGGCTGTGTGGTTTCTGATTCCCCCTGGCTTATTCTTTACTTTTTCCTACTTTTCCAGGCTCAGCAGGGAGCTGCTGGATGAGAAAGAGCCTGAAGTCTTGCAGGACTCACTGGATAGATGTTATTCGACTCCTTCAGGTTATCTTGAACTGCCTGACTTAGGCCAGCCCTACAGAAGTGCTGTTCACTCATTGGAGGAACAGTACCTTGGCTTGGCTCTTGACGTGGACAGTGAGTACCTTACTATGAAGGTGATAAGCCTCCACCTGGTCTTCCAGATAGGGGTGATATTCCTGTTCCCAGTGGCCCTTACTGACCCGAGAGATGTCATTGCCGCAGGCAGGACCTATGGGCGCATATAGGTTGTAATGAAACTGTAGTCTCCGCTGGAAGCCTAGACATGAAATGGGTCAGTGAGCAAGGCTCTATTCCTAGTCTCCAGCCATGCCTGTGGCAACCTGAGCCCGCTCTCAGCACATTGGACCCAGGCAGATGTAAAAAATTCACAGAACTATGATTTGTACTCAAGGGTTTGTAGATTTCCTCCCTCATTCTAATTTCAGTGTCTAAAATTCTTGCATCCATGAACGAGCTGGGCATTTGATGAGACAGGGCTGAATACTGCAGTTTTCCTCCTAGAAATCATCTGGGGCATTGTCTTTGAACTGATGGGAACAATAAGTCATAACTGTTTGCACAAACTTGGGATAAATGATTTTGGGATAACGATCTACCAGAATAGGGATATTTCACCCTTGGTTCTGAGATGCAAACCAAAGAATATCATGACCAGCTTTCAGGCCTCCTGAAGTATATCTCTCACATTGTCCTGTTCTCTTGCTGAGGAGCCTGAGATCCCTGTGTGGGGATTAGACAGTGGACTGTTACGGGTGTAGGTGAATTGGCTTATTTTGTCTGTCCCTGTCTGAATGTATTGCAGGAATTAAAAAGGACCAGGAAGAGGAAGAAGACCAAGGCCCACCATGCTCCAGGTAACTGAGCAATTGTGAACAGCTACTTCTGTGTTGACATCTGGAGACTCCTGGTTCAGGGAAAACAGGGCGGGCTGACATTATCGATTACATCTTTTCAACCGAGCCTGAATTATTCCTACTAACATTGCTGTTGGTTTTCATTGCAGTAGATATTTAGGTTTCCATTTCTTCCTCCCCTTATCATTTACTAACCTACTGTAGGTGGACCAGACTTCAAAAACTGTATTCTCATGGCGACTGCATGGAAACTTGAGCACATTTTATGGAAAATTATTGAGCACAGTCCTTTCCTGATCACTGTATGCTGTGTGTCCTGAGGGCACTAACTCAGAGTGTCCTGTTACTCCCTCATCAGTGTGTCACCTGGACAATTCACTGAGCTCATTCTCTCTCTGTGTGTGTGTGTGTGTGTGTGTGTGTGTTTGTGTGTGTGTGTGTGTGTCTATCTGTCTTTCTCTTTCATTCTTTTCCATTTGGCCCTGTTCTGTCCCAACATGAAGGCAATAATTTGTTACCTCATTAATGGATCTATCCTTTTACTTTTTTAACCACTTCCTTATGCTACCCATGAAACCTAGTTGGGGCTCTGTTGTGTCTGATTTCCCCTGGCTTATTCTTTACTTTTTCCTCCTTTTCCAGGCTCAGCAGGGAGCTGCTGGAGGCAGTAGAGCCTGAAGTCTTGCTGGACTCACTGGATAGATGTTATTCAACTCCTTCCAGTTGTCTTGAACAGCCTGACTCCTGCCTGCCCTATGGAAGTTCCTTTTATGCATTGGAGGAAAAACATGTTGGCTTTTCTCTTGACGTGGGAGGTGAGTACCTTTCTATGAAGGTGATAAGGATCCACTGAGTCTTCCATATAAAGATCATATTCCTGCTCCAAGTGGCCATTACTGAGCTGAGAGATGTCATTGCTGCAGTGAGGACCTATAGGCACATGTAGGTTGAATGAAACTCTAGTTCTAACTGGAAGCCCAGACATGGGATGGGTCAGTGAGCATGGCTCTCTTCCTAGTCTCAGGCCATGCCTGTGGCACTCTGATTCTACTCTCATGACATTGGACCTGGGCAGATGTGACAAATTCAGAGAACTATGATTTTGACTCAAGGGTTTGTAGATTTCCTTTTTCACTCTAATTTCAGTGTCTAAAGTCCTCACAACCATGAACAATCTGAGTATTTGATGAGACAGGGCTAAATATTGCAGTTTTTCTCCTAGAAATCATTTGAGGGTATTTGCTTTAAATTGATTGGAAAAATATGGCATAACTGTTTGCACAAACTCGGGACAAATGATATTGGGATAACGATCTACTAGAATAGGGACATTTTACCCACAGTTTCTGGGAGAAAAACCGAGGAATTTCTATCATGACCAGCCTTCAGGCCTCCTGAAATATATCTCTCACAGTCTCCTATTCTTATGCTGAGGAGCCTGAGGTCCCTGTGTGAGGATTAGACAGTGGATTGTTATGTGTGTAGGGGAATCAGCTTAATGTGTCTGTCCATGTCTGAATTTATTGCAGAAATTGAAAAGAAGGGGAAGGGGAAGAAAAGAAGGGGAAGAAGATCAACGAAGAAAAGAAGGAGAAGGGGAAGTAAAGAAGGGGAAGAAGATCAAAACCCACCATGCCCCAGGTAACTTTCAGCAATTGTGGATGCTTAATTCTGTGTTAACACCTGGAGGCAACAGATTCAGGGAAACCAGAGTGTGTTTGATTTCATGTTTTCAACGAAGGCTGAATTACTCCTACTGTCATTGCTGTTGGTTTTCATTGCAGTAGATGTTTAGGTTTCCATTTCTTCCTCCCCTTATCATTTACTAACGTACCATAGGATGACCATACTTCAAAAGCTGTACTCTCATGGCCACTGCATCGAATTTTGAGCATATTTTATGGAAAACTATTGAGCTCACTCTTTTCATGATCGCAGTTTGCTGTGTGTCATGAGGGCACTAACTCAGAGTGTCCTTTTACTCCCTTACCAGTATGTCACCTGGCCAATTCACTAGCTCATTTTCTCTCTGTCTCTGTCTCTGTCTCTGTCTCTCTGTCTTTCTGTTTCATTGTTTTCTACCTGGCCCTTTTCTATCCCAACATAAAGGCAATAATTTTTTTTTTTTACCTCATTAATGGATCTATCCTTTTCTTTTCTTACCACTTCCTTACGTTACTTCTGAAATCTAGTGGGGCTCTGTGGTGTCTGATTTTCCCTGGCTGCTTCTTTAGTTTTGTCTGCTTTTCCAGGCTCAGCGGTGTGCTGATGGAAGTGGAAGAGCCTGAAGTCTTACAGGACTCACTGGATAGATGTTATTCGACTCCGTCAATGTACTTTGAACTACCTGACTCATTCCAGCACTACAGAAGTGTGTTTTACTCATTTGAGGAACAGCACATCAGCTTCGCCCTTGACGTGGACAATAGGTTTCTTACTTTGATGGGAACAAGTCTCCACCTGGTCTTCCAGATGGGAGTCATATTCCCACAGTAAGCAGCCCTTTCTAAGCCGAGAGATGTCATTCCTGCAGGCAGGACCTATAGGCACGTGAAGATTTGAATGAAACTATAGTTCCATTTGGAAGCCCAGACATAGGATGGGTCAGTGGGCGTGGCTCTATTCCTATTCTCAGACCATGCCAGTGGCAACCTGTGCTCAGTCTGAAGACAATGGACCCAAGTTAGGTGTGACACGTTCACATAACTGTGCAGCACATGCCGGGAGTGATCAGTCAGACATTTTAATTTGAACCACGTATCTCTGGGTAGCTACAAAGTTCCTCAGGGATTTCATTTTGCAGGCATGTCTCTGAGCTTCTATACCTGCTCAAGGTCAGTGTCATCTTTGTGTTTAGCTCATCCAAAGGTGTTACCCTGGTTTCAATGAACCTAACCTCATTCTTTGTATCTTCAGTGTTGAATTGTTTTAGCTGATCCATCTTTAACACAGGAGGGATCCTTGGCTGAGGATTGTATTTCAGAACCACCAACTGCTCTTGACAATTGTTAACCCGCTAGGCTCCTTTGGTTAGAGAAGCCACAGTCCTTCAGCCTCCAATTGGTGTTAGTACTTAAGAAGACCACAGCTAGATGGACAAACAGCATTGGGAGGCCTTAGCCCTGCTCCTCTCGATTCCATCCTGTAGAGAACAGGAGTCAGGAGCCGCTGGCAGGAGACAGCATGTCACCCAGGACTCTGCCGGTGCAGAATATGAACAACGCCATGTTCTTGCAGAAAACGCTTAGCCTGAGTTTCATAGGAGGTAATCACCAGACAACTGCAGAATGTAGAACACTGAGCAGGACAACTGACCTGTCTCCTTCACATAGTCCATATCACCACAAATCACACAACAAAAAGGAGAAGAGATATTTTGGGTTCAAAAAAAGTAAAAAGATAATATAGCTGCATTTCTTTAGTTATTTTGAACCCCAAATATTTCCTCATCTTTTTGTTGTTGTCATTGATGGTGGTGACATGGACTTGTTTATAGAGGACAGGTCAGCTGTCTGGCTCAATGATCTACATTCTGAAGTTGTCTGAAAATGTCTTCATGATTAAATTCAGCCTAAACGTTTTGCCGGGAACACTGCAGAGACAATGCTGTGAGTTTCCAACCTTAGCCCATCTGCGGGCAGAGAAGGTCTAGTTTGTCCATCAGCATTATCATGATATCAGGACTGGTTACTTGGTTAAGGAGGGGTCTAGGAGATGTGTCCCTTTTAGAGACACCTTACTTATAATGAAGTATTTGGGAGGGTGGTTTTCAAAAGTAGAAATGTCCTGTATTCCGATGATCATCCTGTAAACATTTTATCATTTATTAATCATCCCTGCCTGTGTCTATTATTATATTCATATCTCTACGCTGGAAACTTTCTGCCTCTATGTTTACTGTGCCTTTGTTTTTGCTAGTGTGTGTTGTTGAAAAAAAAAACATTCTCTGCCTGAGTTTTAATTTTTGTCCAAAGTTATTTTAATCTATACAATTAAAAGCTTTTGCCTATCACTCTGGACTGTTGGATTGTTTTTTACATTCAGTGTTATAATCTTTTGTTATGCTGATTCGTTTTGGTGGGTACTGATGTGAATTAATAAAAACATTTCCATTTCCCTGTTTATTTTCTAATCTCTTCCACCTTGTAGGCTATGTTTACCATATGTAGCAGAATGCATTTACTCCATTTCTTGGTTCTAGATATTTATATTCTTTGTGAGAGTGTGTGTGTGTGTGTCTGTGTGTGCCTCTGGCATTTAGGAAGGGTTGTGTAGCTCATGTTTGATATTGATTAAAAATGTTTCATAGTTTTCCCCCCTTTGAACTAGACACACTTCTAATATTTGGTTTATACATTTTAAATTATGACTTTCAACGTCAAATATTTCCATATGACAGTCAGTTACATGATGTGTTTTCTTTTTCCTACCTCCTTTACCTGCCACTTCTCATAATGGTATTTGAACCTAAACATATGCCAGTGAAATTCTGTGGTTGTCATCTTGCCCACACCTTGGTTTTTGGTTTAGATCCACAATTAAATATATTAATGCTCATGAGCTGTTCAAAAGTGAATGTCACAGTCATCACTTGCTGAGTGGTACTCATCCTTAACAGAGTCCTCATGAGGGAATCAGGTCTCGCTGAGTTTAGCATGTTTAATAATCTTCCTCGTGGTCTTGATACATGGATCGCATTACTGGATATAAGGTGTTTGCCCAAAATGATTTTTCTTGCATTTTTAGGAGCTATTGTCTTCCTTGCGGGACATACATGCTGTATGTTCTCATTGTGGGATTCTATTTTGTTCTACCAGGACCTATAATTTCTGCCAGTTACTTCATTTGTTCTCTTCACCATGAGTCTCCAGAGGATGCTTCCTTTGTCCATGCCTCCCCATCTCCCAGCAATTCTGCGTTTCCAAGACTGGCACCTCTGGTCCTCTGCATGGTGAAGCCCCTTCCTTTCAATTCCCCAGTAGCCAGTGCTCTAATCCACCAGGTCTCAGGCATGATCTGTGTTTCTCCACATGCTCTTTCTGAGGATAGTTTTACCTGTGTTCTGTCATGAACAGGCCCCCCCTGCTGTCCTGGCCTCGATTTGCTTAGTGTTTCCTGCTCCCTCTGCCCTTGTGTGGCTCCCAGACCAAGTGAAACAAAATCACCTGAGGGCCACAGTGTTCCCTAGCCCTGGCGTTTAGGGGCAGGGTTATGGGTGGGATTTTTGACTCTCTAAGTTAACGCCTAGGGCTTTGAAGTGTCTGTTGAGAAATTCAGCTGTTATCATCCTAGGTGGACTTGCTCTCTCCTGTCCTCCTACTTCAAATGCAGAACTTCAATCGTGTACAAAAGAAGACTGAGTCATATAATAGAACACACCCTTATTCATTGGCTGGCTTCACCAATCATCTCATGGCTGAACTTTTAAAAATACAATCTTAGCCACATACCTATGAAATGTATATGTGTGTGTATACATATGTGAATTTGTTTCTGAGATTATGGAGGCTGAAATTCCCAAGATGGAAGGAAAGCTGGATACCCAGGAAAGCATTTGTTTCCCATTAGGCCTCTTAATTCTCTCCTGACCTTTGATTGATTGCATGAGTCCCACCCCCGTTAAGGGGGGCAATCTGCTTCACTTAGTCTGCCCATCCCGATGTTAATCATATGTGAAACACTCTCTGGAACACAACCAGAATCACATTTGGCCGAATGTCCCGGCACCCTGGTGCTCAGTCACAGTGACACGTGCAAGTAACTATCACACTTGTCCTTTGTCACATTTGTCATTTCCCCTGTTTTTCTCCCAATCTGCAGCTTATATTTGTTCTCTTAATACTGTCTCGTGTTGAGCAAAAACTTTTACTTTTTATAAAGTTGAATTTATCAATGTTTTCTTTAATGGTTTGTGTTTCTTGATAACAAAGAACACTTTGCCTAACTGTGTCGTGAAGATTTTGTCTTATATTTCCTGCTATACTTTTTCTACTTTTATAGTTTATATTTAGTTGCATAATCCATTTTGAGTTAGTTTTTGAGTCAGTATTGAGGTTCAGGTGAATCTTTTTCCTTTGGGGATATGCATGTCCAGTTGTTTCTACACAATTTGTTGACAAGAGAATGCCTTCTCCACTGAATCATATTTGGACCTTTGTCAATCCATTGGGTGGTTGAGACTGGTCTGAGGGCTGTCCTGGTGTTTGGACAGAGAGACAGGGCATGAAGTAGGGTGGTTCTTATGGGAAAAATTAAGGAAGGCACATTATTCTATGAGGCATAGGAAGCCCCAAGCACAATTGGGGTACCTTCTACCAGCATGTTGTAGCACATTCATCTCTGCTGTCTCTACCTCTCCTGTTGCAAAAGCTTGGGTGTGCATAGACACTGAGGTTGAGTGGTGTCTTTGGGCACTTTTGAGCATTGACACCAAAGCTCCAGCATCAAATCTTAGAATATCAAGCAGCCGGGTGGATCACCTGAGGTCAGGAGTTCACGACCAGCCTGACTAGCATGGTGAAGCCCTGTCTCTACTAAACACAAAAAGTTTAGCTGGGCATGATGGTGCATGCCTGTAATCTGAGCTACTTGGGAGGCGGAGACAGGAGAATCGCTTGAGTACCTGGGAGGCAGAGGTTGCAGTGAGCTGAGATCACACAATTGCACTCCAGACTGGGCAACGAGAGTGAAACTCCATCCCCCCAAAAACAAATAAATAAAAATAAAAGAATATCAAGCAGTCAAAGAAGCAGGAAAACATGACACATACTGAAGAATCTAATAATCTGGTTGAAATTGACACACACGTTGGAAATAGAAGAAAAGGACGTTACCGCAATTAGTATAATTGTATTTTAATTAAATGGAGAGGTTGAAGATTTTTTAAATATCAAATTCTGTAGATAAAAACTATGATTTACAGTGTGAAATGGAAGAAGGCACTGGATTAAATATTGCAGAAGAGAAGATTATTAAACTAGAAGGAATAGAAGTTGAAACTAACATAAATGAAACACACATTAACAAATGACTTGAAAACACATAAAGACCATCAGCATCAAAACTTTAAACACCCTAGTATAGGGCTAAATGGAATCCCTGAAGGGCAGGTAGTGGAGAAGAGAGACAAAGATATTTAAAACATACTGGATGAAAGATTTAGAAGCTCCATGGAAATCATAAACTTCAAATATTACAGAAATATGATTATCCCAAGAACAAGAAACATGCAGAAAACTTCAACAAGGAACACCTTAATCGAATCCATCAAAACCAGTGATAAAAAGGAAATCCTAAAAGTAATAAAAGGGAAAAGAACATGTTACATACAGAGCACTAAATATAAGGATGGCATAAGATTTCTCATAGGAAACTTTACAAACAAGAAGTTTGCAATAAAGTACTTAAAAAAAGAAAAACTGTCACCTACAAGTCTACACCTGGCCAAATTATCTTTCAAAAATAAACATGAGAAAAAATATTTTTGAACAGAAAACAAAATGATCTCAATTTGCAGATGGTGTGATCCTATGTATAGAAAATCCCAAACAATACATACAAAGGCAAACACACATACATGCACACAGACACCAGACACACACACACACACACACACACACACACACACACACACACACTATCAGAGTTAATAAGTGAATTCAGCAAACTTTCAGCAAACAATCCATTGTGATGGCAATGAGCTATCTGAGAAGTAAACTGACACAATGATTTCATTTATAATAGCACCTGTAAGGATAATATGCCTGGGAATAAATTTGTTCAAGAAGGTGCAGTACTTGTACACAGACAACTACAGAACATTGCTCGAGGAGATTCAGGAAGACCTAAATCAATGGACAGACATCTTGTGTCCATGGGTTGGAAGTTGTAACATGGTTAAGATAAAAATACAACTCAAAGCAACCCACAGATTCAATACAATCCTATCAAAAAGTGGCCTTTTTTACAGGAATGCCTAACAAGAACTTCATATTCCTAAAAAATAGTGTGTCCCCCCAAAACAAAAGCAATCTTGAAATGCAAGAAGAAACATTTTCTATTCCAAAGGTCTTTAACTGCTCTAAGCAGTACTTGGTAGTCTTCAATATATAGGCTTTCACATCTCTTTTGTTCTTCTTTTGTTTCTGCACAGGATCTCACTCTTTCACCCAGGCTGGAGTACAGTGGCACAATCACAGCTCACTGCAGCATGGAATTCTCAGGCCTATGACATCCTAGGGCCTCATCCACTGATTCCTGGGACTACAGGCTCACACCACTAAACCCGCATAATTTTTCTGATTTTTCAGTAGAGATGAGGGCTCACTATGTTGCCTAGGCTAGTTTCAAGCTTCTGAGATCAAGCAACCCTCCTGCCACAGCCTTCCAAAGTGCTGGGATTTGAAGCCAAGCCTGGCTGGCTTTCACGTCTTTTCTATGTAGTTTATATTTCTGGATGCCATTGAGAGTCTGGCTGGCTTTCACATATTTGCTATGTCGTTTATATTTCTTGATGTTATTGTAAATGTTTATTAAAAGAATCTTTTAAAAACTTTGTTTTGGCCAGGCGCGGTGGTCCACGCCTGTAATCCTAGCACTTTAGGAGGCCGAGGTGGGTGGATCATGAGGTCAGAAGATCGAGACCATCCTGGCTAACACGGTGAAACCCCATCTCTACTAAAAATACAAAAAAAAAAAAAATTAGCCTGGCGTGGTGGCGGGCGCCGGTAGTCCCAGGTACTTGGGAGGCTGAGGCAGGAGAATGGCGTGAACCTGGGAGGTGGAGCTTGCAGTGAGTCAAGATGGTGCCACTGCACTCCAGCCTGGGAGACAGAGTGAGAGTCTGTCTCAAAAAAAAAAAAAAATTGTATTAAAATTATATATTTAAGGAATTACATATATATTTATATATATATATAATACATATCCTTAAATTATATATATTTAAGGAATACAACCTGAGGACTACATATACATATACATAATGAACTAATGCCTACTAGGTGAGGGGCTGCCTTGTGAGCAAACCCAAGGTCCCTGGCTTATGAAGCCTTTGTCTAGAAGGATGGAGGGATCAGCAAGTTGGGCACACAGCAGGTTCTGTCTTTGGTGTGGGCATCTGCCCACTCGGGTCTCTGGCAATACTAACCAGGCTTCACGATGGGTGAGGTGAGCTAGGAATGGGAAAGTGGATGACTTCAGATCCAGAGACTGCAGTTGTCACCTGAGGACCTGGCGTAGGCGTGGAGGGGTCTCCCACTCACTTGGCCCTGGGTCAATGCCCAAACATGCACAAGGACGGGACTCTCGGCCTCAATGCTTTAGGAGCCCCCAGTCTTCTAAAGAGGGTTTGTGGTGGGGAAGAATGTTCAACAAAACAGAAGAGTTATGGGTACTCTAGCTTGGCAACAGAGAATACTTCCTTGTGCTACTAAATGGCAATATTTGACAATTATGGATGACACAATTGAGCAACAGCTTTCACTGTTTAACAAGCAGGGTCTCTGGAACACTAGGTTAGTGCTGTCGGATGTTGACTGAAAAGTCAGTGGTTTGAGCCCATCCAGTCATATTAATGTTTCTAGCTGATGTGACCTTCCATCTGAAGAGTCTCTTCCTTGGACCAAATATCTCTTAAAGCTTCTCTTCTTCTTGTCTCTTGTCCATTCTCTAAGATGCCTCTTTGTTGCTTGGGGCAAAAAAAGTCCATTTTTAATCCACACCCAACAAACATCTACCCTTACGTATCCTGGTTTTTAGGGTTTTGAGTCTGTTGTTTGTTTTCTCAGCTTCTCATATTTGGAATACTGGAAATTCCTAAAGTGGAGAATGACAGAACATGAATCACACCTATGGTGAAGCCACAGGCCCTGGATGAAAAACCTAATCTGCCAGCGTTTGAAGTTAAACACATTAATCTTCTGTGCCTCCATTTCTATCTGTCCAATGGGCTAAATCAGAACACTTAGGTTGTCCAGTGTTTAAATGAGCAGTGCAGGAAAAGCCTGGAGCCAATGCCTGTCACGTAGTAATTGGTCAACACGCATGAGCTCCTATCAGCGCCATGGTCTCCAGCATTTCCATCAGGCTTTGATCTTTGAAATGTCCTTCTTGATATGAATGGATCATTCCTCAAACATTCTCTAACCGATGGCCATGAAATTGCTCCAATGTGTATTATTACAAATACAACTGCAGGGACCAGACTGACACATGTATCTGTCGTGCATCGCTTGTCTATTTCTCCGTAGACACCTGGAGATGGAATTGTCAGACCAAAGTATTTATACATGTTTGATTTTGCTAATTTCTGTCTAAATTACTGTGAAAAGAAAATATAACATGTCATACCTTTAACATTTTTTGAGAATTCTTTTTTTCTCCATCTTCTGGTCAAAACTGGGAAGTACTTGCCTACCATTTCCTCTGAACTCACTTTTGCCAACATTTGTGTAGTCATACAGTGGGATCACATTATATGCATGACATCAAACTCAAATCCTTAAATGAAAGCGATTAACATGACTGTGTAAAAATTTATCTTCAAAATACAATGAATACATATATACACACATACTTATATCGGAAAGGAATTATTTTATTTGGATACTTTATCAAAGTCATATATACTTGAAAATTTGTTTAGTAAAACAGCAGTCCCCTTGTGTACTCCCAGAGTTTCATCACATAGAAGCAATTATTTCGTTATTTATCTCCTTATGTCTAAATAGATATTATTACTTTTTGATTTTCAAGTTTAGGCACTACCTCTCCTTCACATACTTGCTCATCACCACCACCCCCAAACACGCCTCTCACCACCTTACCCTCCAACACGTTTGTGTCCTCGTTTGCTGGGTCAATTGCTACATTGTTATAACTTGTATATTTTATTCAGAGTTCAGTCACATTGGACATACATAGCAGGAATGAGAGGCCAGTATCTTCAGGGACTCTCTCTCAAGTGGATAAGCTTCAGAGATTTTTGTAATCTTTGGTCACTCTCCCCATCTTTTTCCTATTCCAGGTAAGTACTGGATCTGATGGGCCCAGCTCAGGTCAGGCACTCTCTCCTTGAGCAGTGGAGAGCGGGACATCTTCATGTGTAGTACCAGGAAGACACTGTCCAAAGAGGGACAGGTAGTTCTAAGACAGAAAAGTCTGTCTGGGGTACAGGTAGGCAAAACAAGGACACACACACAAAAATTAGTCTGTTCTGTGAGGGGAGCATGCAGTAGAGGGTGGATTCAGAGTGGGAGGGGAGAGTTTTGAGAGATATGGGCCATGGATATCACTCTGTGGGCCGGAGCCACACAAGACGGTTGGGGTCTCTCAGGGGCAGGGAGCTGAGGAGGATCTGCCCTCCCCAACCTGGGAGACTGGTGAGGGGACTGTCCTGGTCACCAGACAGAAATGGGGCCTGGGCCAGGGCAGTTCTGGTGGGAAAGAAAGAACAGGACATCTCCTTAAGGAAAGGTCCTGAGTCAGGTCTTGGCAGGGAGGGAGGTTACCTTGCCCATTGGCGGCTGAAGATGGTTGGCCAGATGAGGGCACTGAAATCCATGTCCTCTAAACTTGTAGTTCAGTAAAAGAATGACAGCAGTAAAGGGTCTTTAGGAAGAGGAGGTGGAAGACCTGATTTGGGTTGGGGGCTCCAAGAAGAATGTCTGCCTTGCTGTGCAGAAGCCTGCTACACAACCTCCCTGGTCCCCTTGCTCAGTCTCCCGGCCAGACTCCTGTGAGCCCTGGAAGTGCACAGTCAGCTTAGCCAAGGCATCTCCAGCCAGGACTCATCCCTGGGCATTTCTGTGGCCTTGGGTGCCCTGGCCTCCAGGCCCTGTCTTGCAGGCAATCGTCCTGCAAGCGAAGGGGGAAGGGAGGCTACTTGACAGTTAACTCTGAGTGGCTCCACAAGGTCCTGACTTAGCTCCTAGTCACTTGCAAGCCTATATACCCCCATCTCATCCCCCAAACGATGAAAAGAAACTTTGCAGGACTCATGCCAGACAAATAGGGTGGGACCATTCTGTAGAGCCAAGTTCTCAGGACATCAATAAGAGATGGAAACCACCTGCTGGAAGGTGCCACAGTGGGAACCTTGGGGTCAGGGAGCAGTCACTGAACTGTCAGGGTGAATCCTGGCTCCTGGCCCTCACACACCCTTTCTCCCCCTCCCTCCTTCTCTCCTCCCTCCTGTCTGCTCTTTCCCCTCTCTCTCCTGAATCCCTCAGGTACCTTCCCATGGGCCCTCACCCGTCCTTTTCAGAGGCTCCAAAGTGAGCCCTCAAAACACTTGGTAACCTTGGGCATTTCCAAAACTGGAGAGACTTGACCACAGCATTTTTATGAGCTAGGAAAGTCCTCCAGAGCTCTTGCCTAAATTTTTCTGCTGATGAGAAGAGAACAAGAGTTTCCATCTGATCTGGTCCTAAGGCAACTTCTCTTTGGAGCAGAGTCTGGGCAGGAAGAAGGGGGTTGCCCAGGGCCCCGGACTTGCCCCTCCCAGCTGCTCTGCTCCTCTCCCCTTCACTGCGGGAGGCTGGCCAGGGATCAGGAGCCTCTGTTCTCCACAGATGCTGGGATTCCAGGCTCAAATCTAAATATTGGCTGATTTAGGAGGCTAAGGGAGGCAATTCCCTGGAGGGAGGTGTCAGGATTTGGGACAAGAGCAGCATCTAGTTGTCATCCACAGAGACCCCAAGAACAGAAATCCACTGGTAGCCGGTTGGAGGGGATCCCATGAAAACAAGATGAAACGCGCGCATTAGTACCGGACCCAAGATCAGGAGATGAAAAACTGCACTGTCCTAAGGGATGAAAGAATTAGGGAATCCTGGAAGTAAAATTTTTCATATAGGTCATTTCTTCCAAAGAGACATAGGGCAATGGCCCAATGACGTGAACAAAAGAAAACTCGGGGTCTAGGATTGAGGGGAGGCAGCATTTTTAGTGGAGACCTGTGACCTGGAGGCCCAGGGTCACCCTGAGAGGGGAGGGGTCTTGCTGGTCGCTGGGTCCGGGACTCCAATTGCATACAGCCAGTGGCATGGAGGGTCTGTGACCACGATTGGGCAATTTCCCCCATTCTGCTTATGGAGCAATAGAGAGGAACCTCACTGGAATTATACAGAAAGGTACCAGTGAGACTTGAACTCTGATCACTGAATTCAGAGTCCAAAGTGCTCACCATGGAACCTCACACTAGCTTATAACTGGAGGTAACTGAGTTCATACTTAGCAGCCATAGTTCCCACACACCTATGTTAAGGCATTTCTTCTGATCCCTCAAGCAACACCAAAGAAGGTGGACCTGCGAGAGAGGAGTCATCCTCTTTCTTTCTCTCTGCCCTCTCCTTTGATCAACTTTTATCATTTCATTTGCACCTCAGAAAATGAGGCAAAATCCAGTTTGGGCTTAGGGCCAGAGAAGAGCCCCTGAGGCCTCCCTCTGGAAAACATACTCTCTCAGTTTACCAGAGTTTCCTGTACCAAGGGGAAATTTCCGCAAACAGTAGTGTTATATTCTTTTTGCCTTCCCTCTTTTCCCTTTGCCCAGGGAGGCCAGATGATTGTGAGAACAGGACTTGGGACTTCTTGGGTGTCTTGCCCCCTTCCTCCATGTGATAAATAATGGCTGACACCAAGCAAGTGGGATTGGGAGGCAGGGAATCTTTCATTTTCTTCTTCATATACTTCTATGCATTTGTTTGGTTGGTTTTGGCAAGATTTTCTCACCAGAAATGGAGATTTGTTGGATTTAAAATAAAAAGTAATCAGCCATGTTTTACATTTCTATAAAACACTCAAACCAGGCCATACTCCCCTGCTGTGCCTCAAAATCAACCATAAACTGTCGAGGTCAGGAGGCAGGGCCCTGACACTTAAGCACAGTGTGTTTCCTCAGAATTGGCCAAGTTGATGCCACTCCAATTTCTCAATATACCACAACCCATTAATTGCGGTTTTTTAAAGGGTACATGTATTTTTACCAAAACCACAGGGCTTCAGTGTTCTCAGCACACAGAAAGCCAATCATTGAGACATTGAGTATTGCTGAGGAAGAAGGCTTTAATCAGGTGCTGCAGCTGAGTAGACAGGAGATGAGTCTCAAATCTGTCTCCCTGATTGACTAAAGTTAGGGGTTTATATAGCGCAGAAGAAAAGTTAACTGTGTGTGGGAAAAGAGGAACTAGGGAGGGCTGAGGAAGCACTCGTGATGAGTGAGGGGACTGGCATCTCATTGTCTGGATGCTGTGATTGGCTGAGTTTCAGGTCTCTGATGCTTTTTGAGAGGCCTGAGAGTCCTTTCCTGAGGAAGGAACTCAGATAAAACAAATATAAGTTTGTTTTATAGAATGGCTTGACCACAGGAGTTTGAAACCAGCCTGGGCAATATGGTGAAACCCTGTCTCTACCAAAATACAAAAAGAAAAAGAGGGTTGCTTCTAAGATGGCTGAATAGGAACAGCTCCGGTCTACAGCTTCAGGTGAGATAGACACAGAAGACAGGTGATTTCTGCATTTCCAACTGAGGTACCTGGTTCATCTCACTGGGACTTGTTGGACAGTGGATGCAGCCCACGGAGGATGAGCCAAAGCAGGGTGGGGTGTCGCCTCACCCGGGAAGTGCAAGGGGTTGGGGGATTTCTTTTTCCTAGCCAAGGGAAGCTGTGAGTGACTGTACCTCGAGGAGCAGTACACCCCTGCCCAAATACTGTGTTTTCCACTGTCTTTGCAACCGACAGAACAGGAGATTCCCTCTTGTGCCTGGCTCGGCAGGTCCCATGCCCATGGAGCCTTGCCTGCTGCTAGCACAGCAGTCTGAGATCAACCTGTGACACTGGAGCATGGCAGGGGGAGGGGGTTCTGCCACTGCTGAGGCTTGAGTATGTGGTTCTATGGTCACAGTGTAAATAAAGTGGTAGGGAAGCTCGAACTGGGTAGAGCCCACTGCAGCTCAGCAAGGCCTACTGCCTCTAGATTCTACCTCTGGGGGCAGGGCATATCTGAATAAAAGGCAGCAGACAGCTTCTGCAGACTTAAACGTCCCTGCCTGACAGCAGGGACTGCTGTCATAATCATTATGATTATGAATCATAATCATGAAGACAATCTGTATTCCAGAATAGTAAGGGAACCTATTCCATCAGGGAGCCAACTGAAAACATCAAATCCCAGTTCACACCCCAGGGTGTGGTGTCATGCACCTGTAGTCCCAGCTACTTGGGAGGATTAGTAAGGAGGTTTGCTTGAATTCATGAGGTCAAGGCAGAAGTAAACCCTGATCATGCCACTGTACTCCAACCTGGGCGACAGTGAGACCTTGTCTCAGAAACAAACAAACAAACAAAAAACCCCACAAAACCAAACAACAACAAATTGTCACCTCATTCTGAAATGACAGTGGCAAACATCACTTTGCTATTTGAAAATTAAAAGAAGCCGGGCGCGGTGGCTCACGCCTGTAATCCCAGCACTTTGGGAGGCCGAGGTGGGCGGATCACAAGGTCAGGAGATCGAGACCATCCTGGCTAACAGAGTGAAACCCCAACTCTACTAAAAATACAAAAAATTAGCTGGACGTGGTGGCGGGTGCCTGTAATCCCAGCTACTGGGGAGGCTGAGGCAGGAGAATGGTGTGAACCCGGGAGGCGGAGCTTGCAGTGAGCCGAGATAGCCCCACTGCACTCCAGCCTGAGCGAAGAGCGCGAGACTCCGTCTCAAAAAAAAAAAAAAAAAAAAAAAAGGAAATTAAAAGAAAAACACTCCCTCTTGCTATCAACCTGCCCTCTTGCTCTAACTTGTCTGACCCATGGTTTAAAATGCCCAAAAGCTGAAGTACTCAAATTATAGTACACTTACCTGCTCTGCACCAGCATTTACTTTTGTCTGGAGGAGATCACCATGCATGGTCCTATAAATGTCTAACGGCATGGAATGATGAAGGGCAGTGTCTTTTAGGATAGTTGGATATATATATATATATGCGGAATGCTACATCACAAGGATAAGGATGTGAAAAGAACCAGTTTCTTTTGTAATCCTAAATGTTCTAGTCTGAGAATTAAAAGCCATTGTTCGAAGAAGGGTGCCCAGGGTCCAGCTGGTCGCCGAAAGCTTGCTCCGCAATACAGGCTAAGGACCAGCTTCTTTGGGAGAGAACAGATGAGGGAAGCAGGAGAGAAAAAAGGGAGAGGCAGACGTCACTTCCCCTTGCCGGCTCCAGCAGCGGGTTGGTCGGCTGAGCGGCAGAAAGGCAGACGGGGACTGGGAAAGGCACTGTCGGTGACATCACAGATAGGGCGACTTCTATGTAGATGAGCCAGCGCAGGGGCTGCTGCTTCACCACGAAGGAGTTCCCGTGCCGTGGGAGCGGGTTCAGGACCGCTGGTCGGACCTGAGAGTCCCAGCTGTGTGTCAGGGCTAGGAGTCCCATTGAGCAGTCTTGATCCTGTATTAGCCCCAGGAAATGAAATAGAAACAGGACCCTACGTTAAAAAGTTGCAGTGGAGATGTGGTGGCCACCAGGGGCTGGAACTGTGGGGTGACTGAGAGTATCCAAAGCCCTGTGGCCAACTTACTGGTGCTGAGTGTGCTGGTGAGCCTCTCTGTCAGCTGGCTTCCCTGGGCCAGTTGCTCCCGGAAGCTCTGTCCCAGGTAGTAGTCAATGTCATTGCTCCTTAGGAGATCCTCAAAAGATTTTACTGTATCTTTTGCATGCTGGGTGAGAAGATAACAAACACCTCTCCCTTCTCCTATTTTTTGCCGTAGGTAAGACAGTTCCCGGGCCTGATCCTGAATCAGGGAATCATATTTCCTAATGCAGGACAGAAGAGGAAAGGGTGGATGATAAGTTATGGGGCTTCTGTAGAGATTTCTATGAGAACATCTCTAAGGAACTCCCCCAAACTGAATTCTGGCACATAAGCCATAGGAGGCATTTAACAGTAAATTCTACCCTGATAAAGTATTGCACTAAAAAATTTAGTATGGGCCGGGCGTGGTGGCTCATGCCTATAATCCCAGCACTTTGGGAGGCTGAGGCAGGCAGATCACAAGGTCAAGAGTTCAAGACAAGCCTGGCCAATATGGTGAAACCCCTCCTCTACTAAAAACACACACAAAAATTAGCTGGGCATGGTGGCGCATGCCTGTAATCCCAGCTACTTGGGAGGCTGAGGGAGGAGAATTGCTTGAACCTGGGAGGTAGAGGTTGCAGTGAGCCGAGATGGCACCACTGCACTCCAGCCTGGGTGACAGAGTGAGACTCTGTATCAAAACAAAACAAAACAAAAATTTACCATGCCACTGTTCTTCAACTGTTATATATATGTTAATTATATGTCCCTAGATAAATTTTTTGGGAGCTGGGCCTCCAGCTGGGATACTCTCTGGATGAGACTCTTCAGGTCCTTTTTGGCCTGAAGTCCTGGAGAGTAGAAAGCCCCAGTGCCATCAGACAGCCACAACTCATCCTCATCAGTGACACTATGAGGTGAAGACCCCTCCAGGGTGTCAGGAGCTCTCAGCTTCCAGGGTCTTTCCAGACTAGAAGAATAATCACTTGTAACTGAGAGGGACTGGACCCGGCTCTTGAAGTTTTGAATGACCTTGTTGGCATTCTGCAGCTGGGCCTTCAGATCTTTGATGTCCTTTCATAGGACCCAGATGTTTTCTGACTTTCCATATACCCAGAACTCTTCCTGCTTCCCTAGTTCATTCTCCAAGGGCTTCCTCTCAGAGGAACTAGCCAGCGTTCCGCCCCGGCGCCCCTGCTCAGAGCACAGCCCCTCCATCAGGACCATTTCCTTGCGGCTGTTGTGCTCCTCACGCTCTGAAAAAAGACAAAGATGTCTTCCTAATTAAAAGTTGGATGTGCTGTTGTGGCCACTGCCTTTGAGAGGAGGCAGGTTTGGTCATGAGGACAATAATTACTAGGGAAAAAGGTGAAGTCGTACTTTATTCAACCCTGACACTGTGCTAGGCATTCAAATACAGTATTTCTTATCCTCCTTATACCCATAAGTTAGGTTTCACCACTCTCTATTTTACTGACTGGGGAAACCAAAACTTAAAGAGAGGTAGTAAACCAGCTTGTTCTAGATCACTCAAACTAGCACATGGCAGAGCCTGAATTCAAATCCTCCAACGTCCTGTGTTCATTCCACACACACTGATGTTTCTCAAGACATTAACATGCCCTTATCTAGTTAGGATAGCCACAAGAATGTAGGACAAGCTATTTCTGCATGCTGCAAGTTTAATGCTCTCTAAAGTTTACTATAATTTAAAAGTTTATTGGGTTACCACTGTGTGAAAAATAGGCATAGGAAAATAAGACTTCGAATAAATATATCAGCATGTTAACATCAGTGTATTGGGGCAGTGGTAGTCAGAATGAGAACTAATCCACAGCATTTTACCTGATGCCAGACACTGTTCTAAAGCATTTTATAAGAATTTACTCATTTAATTCACATTAGTACCTGATGGGGTAGGTAGTTCCTTTATTACTATTTTAACATATGAAGAAACTGGGGCATAGGAAAGCTTACAAATTGGGATTTGAACCAACCAGTCTGGCCCCAGGATCTTTTCTCTTAACTGCCACACTACACTTCCTCAAGAATGAGAGAGACTGTGTTTTTCTTCTCTTCTGGTTTTCAATGTGGTGGGTGGCCCTATGGTTGTAGTCCTTTTATAATGCAAAACAAAATTATTTTTAACTTACAGTTTGCATGTTTCCAAAACCTCATGTGGTCTCTAAGTAGGCCTTAGTATTTCTATAATAATCAGTTGGCTAGAACTTTATATTATTATTATTATTATTATTATTATTAGCAGTGTGCCACAAACTAATTGTAGAAATTCAAACTTATACGCAGCCTCATTTTGGGTAAGAGTTCTCCTATTAACCTCCTGTCCTCCTCTTCCCCACTACTTGTCAGGTGTGGAATTGGCCAACAGCACCCAAATGTGACAGCTGACTCCAGGGAGGGAAGGTGAGCCCCACACCCTGTGCTCTTACCGGGACTGGTGGTTTCCTCCTGTTCAGCCTCATTCTTGCTTTGGCCACAAGTCTCGTGGCCCAGGTCCTGGAGGTCCACCTGGACCTGTTTACTGTCCTGCTTCAGCAAGGGTTCACCTGCGTGGGAAGAGACAGCAGGTGTTACAGAATGTCTGAATTTCCCACATATGCCCTCAGCCTCAATGGCACATACCCTAACCTTGTGGGGCAGGGAGGGCAGATCCACAGTACGAGAGAAGCTTCTTTGAACTGGTGGGAGAAGAGACCACCAGCTCCAGGAAGCAGAATTTCTTTCCACAGGAGGAGCCTGCATTTGCCATTGATAATCTCCCCTTCAGATAACCTAGGCCTTAGTTGGGACAAGGTATCTGTAAGTCAGGGATTGTGTACTCTCATCTCTAGCAGCCCCATTGAAGCTGGCAAGTGCTTTATCAGCAGGGGTTCAATAAATGTTGAATGGAGCTGAACTAATTTAGAGTCCCAAGACACCTAGACCTGCACTGTCCAATAAGGTAGTTAGTAGCCACATATGGCCACTTTATACTAAATTAACTAAAATTAAATAAAACCAAATGTCCAAGTTGCACTAGCCACACTTCATGTGCTCAATAACCACATTATGTCTGTATAGAACATACAGAGCTTATAAGACGTACAGGCTAGTTCTTTACTAGTAAGTCATAGTTACCTACTAAGTATAACTCTCTATTTCTCCAGCTCGTTCGCCTGAGCAAAGACAGTGGCTTCTGATAGCAGCAGCTTCTCCTGGAGATCTTGATAGCGTTGTTTGCATTGTGACAGCTGGGAGCGTGGGTGCTGGGTGGACCCTGGTGGGCTAAATGCTGATTGGGCCCAGTGTCACAAGGCTGGGACTGGTTCTCCAACTGTGAAAGGGGCCAAGACAAGGATCAGGACAGTCCGAGGCCACCCCCATGCAGTGATGACCATGGCCCGTTGTGAACCCCGTGGACTTTACTCAAGTCTGTCACAGCACTTCTCATGCCTTTTGGCAGTGACTTGCTTTCCGGATGGAGCTCCTGGAGTGCTGGGATAATGTTTTCCTCATATCTGTATCCACAGCACACAGCACAGCGCCAATCAAGTCTACAGAGGAGCTCTTAGGAAACGTTTTCTCAGTGGTCAACAAGAGAAGGGGTGGAACCCTCCACTCATCTCCCCTCACATTCTGTGCCATCGATTCTCTCAGAATCCCCTGTATTCCCCATTTTACTGAATCTTCAGCATGGCTCCTCCCCTAAACAGGATCCCAATAACCCATCTGAGGTCCAGGAACAGACACCTGTGATGAGCTGTGACCAAAAAAAAAAAAAAAAATGGCATTGATAAGGAAGGGATGTCATTACATACTACTTGTCTGGGCTGCCTCATAACCTGATGCATCCCTATGTTACAGCAGTTACCCCCTCCTATTAAAATTACCTGTTTATGTGCCATCTTTCCTTACCATATTAAGTATCTCAAGGGCAGCCATTGGTTTTATTGCCCCATGCCAATGCCTAGTGTGTTATCTGAAAAATTAAGTACCCAAGAAATATTCATGTTGTAAAAGGCTTTCTAAAGGCTGAATGTAGGCAGAATATTATTCCTGTTGTTTGTGGTACAAAGAGACCTTTCTCTTGGTACCTCTTGATTCACATGGGAGAACGTTTTAAAGTAAACACTGTCATCTCGAGCCCTTCTCCAGTGGTTTTTCATTCCATCTAAGCCTACATTGACTTGGTGGGCATCCACTGTGAAGGTAGCCCCAAGGTCAAGGCTCTGGGGTCTGGGGCAAGGCCTCACAGTCACATTCCCCTCCTCTTGGTGTTGGTGCTTCCCAGGAGAACCAACCAGTTCTGTGTTTATTCTGTCGATGGTGCTGGTCAGATGCACAAGGAGCTCTGGAGTAAGTTTACTATTCCCTTCTTTGCTACTCAGCACAAGTTGTTCTTGAGGAGGTTGATGATATTGTGGGCATTCTTCAGTTTTCCCTGGAGCTTTCTGAACTCAGCCTGAAGACTACTCTCACTCAGACCCTCTTTGGCAACCACAGTCTCAACCACCACCTTGCCCTTCTCCTTGTCTTCCTCAATCTCCCATCCCTCAGACATTTCTGCTCTTTCAGCTCTGCATTCTCAAGGCAAAGATGGGTTCTGGGTCTCCACAGTTGCCAGACTTTTCTCCAAAGCCACCTTGAGGAACTAAAAGAAAATCATGCTTTGAAGAAGTTAGGCCATTAAAGAGGGCCCAAGAGAAACATGAGATTGCAAAGGTAGTTTTTGATGAGAACAAAAACAAACAAAAAAAGCAGATCTAAAATGAACTCCCTACCCAGAACCTCCTTAGTCAGGCAATAAGAGCAATAAGATCTCAAGACTAAGTTTTATTATTATTATTATTATTATTATTTGAGACAGGGTCTCGCTCTGTTGCCGGGGTGGAGCGCAGTGGTGAGATCATGGCTCACTGCAGCCACGACCTCCTGGGCTCACGTAATCCTCCCACCTCAGCCTCCCAAGTAGCTGGAACCACAGGTGTGTGCCACTACACCCAGCTAATTTTTTTTTTTTAATCGAGACGGAGTCTCGCTCTGTCACCCAGGCTGGAGTGCAGTGGCACGATCTCGGCTCACTGCAACCTCTGCCTCCCAGGTTCAAGCGATTTTCCTGCCTCAGCCTTCTGAGTAGCTGGGATTATAGGAGCGTGCCACCATGCCCAGCTAATTTTTGTAGTTTTAGTAGAGACGGGGTTTCACCATGTTGGTCAGGCTGGTCTTGAACTCCTGACCTCAGGTGATCATTCTGCCTCAGCCTCCCAAAGTGCTGGGATTACAGGCGTGAGCCACTGAGCCCGGCCCACCCAGCTAATTTTTTTTTTTTTGAAATGGAGTCTCACTCTGTTGCCCAGGCTGGAGTACAAAATGGCGTGATCCCGGCTAACTGCAACCTCCGCTTCCCAGATTCAAGTGATTCTCCTGCCTCAGCCTCCCGAGTAGCTGGGATTACAGGCATGTGCCATCACACCCACCTAATTTTTATATTTTTAGTAGAGACGGGGTTTCACCATGTTGGCCAGGCTGGTCTTGAACTCCTGACCTCAGGTGATCTACCCGCTTCAGCCTCCCAAAGTGCTGGGATTACAGGTATGATCCACTGTGCGCAGCCCCGTGCAGCTAATTAAAAAAAATTTTTTTTCGTAGGCCTGGTGTGAAGGCTCATGCCTGTAATCCCAGCACTTTGGGAGGCTGAGGCGGGTGGATCACCTGAGGTCAGGAGTTCGAGACCAGCATGACCAACATGGCAAAACCCGGCCTCTACTAAAAATACAAAAATTAGCCAGGCGTGGTGGCAGGCGCCTGTAATCCCAACTACCTGGGAGGCTGAGGCAGGAGAATCACTTGAACCCAGGAGGTAGAGGTTGCAGTGAGCCAAGATTGTGCCATTGCACTCCAGCCTGGGCAACAAGAGCAAAACTCTGTCTCAAAAAAAAAAAAAAAAAAGGCCAGGCTTGATGGCTCATGCCTATAATCCCACAACTTTGGGAGGCCGAGGCGGGTGGATCACTTCAGGTCAGGAGTTTGAGACCAGTTTGGCCAACATGGTGAAACCCATCTCTACTAAAAATACAAAATTAGCTGGGTGCGGTGGCACATGCTTGTAATCCCAGCTACTTGGGAGGCTGAGGCAGGAGAATCACTTGAACCCAGGAGGCAGAGGTTGCATGAGCCCAGATCGCCACTGCACTCCAGACTGGGTGACAAGAGTGAAACCCCATCTCAAAAAAAGAAAAAAAAAATTTTTTTTTTTTTTCAGAATGAGGTCTCACTGCATTGCCCAGGCTGGTCTCAAACTTCTGGACTCAAGTGGTCCCCCTGCCTTGGCCTCTCAAAGTGCTGGGATTACATGTGTAAGCCACCATGCCTGGCCAAAGACTTACTTTTACAGGAGGAGTATAAAACATCTCATTAGTAATTTTCATAATTGATTATGTGTCGAAATAATATTTTTGATATTTTGTGTCAAGTAACACTACTAAAATTAAGCTCACCTATATCCTTCTACATTTTCACTGTGGCTACTAGAAAATTTTAAATTACATCTGTGGCTCTCATTACATTTCTATTGGACAGCACTGGGCTGGGTGAGATGACTAGGGGCAGAAAGTACATTCTGAGGGCCAGACAATCAAGGTGATTGATACTGGGGTTAGGTTAACTGAAGGGTAGAAAAGGCCAGGTTAATAGGAGGCAGGGACTGAGTAACCGGGAACAAAGTTATCAGAGCATGAGAGAGAGATTCTGGGGGTCAGCCGTCTGGGATATTATAGGGAGGAAGGAGGCTGTGCTACAAGGGCCAAGAGACAGGAGGATGCACTCAAGTTGGCCTGGATGAAGGGACGACCCTCTGCGACTTGGGTGGGGGTAAGGGTGGCAGGCTGGGGCCAGCCCTGCACTCACCGCTTCTGCTTCCTAGAAGGAGAAACAGTGTCACTTGGTACCTCCACCTCAGGGGCGCAGTCAAGACACGCTGCCAGGCCAGCCTCTGCCTGACCGCCGGCTCACCTCTCTTCTTCCAGCTTCTTCCGCAGGAGGTCCCACCTCCAGGCGGGCATGCTGGCCAGCCGGGCCTCCTCCTCCTCCTGAAACACAACCACAAAGCTTCAGAGCCTGCAGGGGCTGGGAGATAGGGGGCACCCTCAACCTGGGGACCTGAAGGAGTCAGGGTCACAGGAAGTGACCCTTTGGATGCATTTCTGTGGGACAAGTGGATGGAGGTGCCTGGTCACACCCCCTCAGAGCTGGCCTCCTTTCCCCTAGTAACCCAGACCCTTGTGTCCTACAGGAGGCACCAGAGAGATCAGAGCTGAGTGGGACAGAAGCAGAGAAAAAGTAGCCGGGACCCAGAGGTCCTGAGCCTGATTCCCCACAGGGGCAGGTGGCCAATGGCCACAGGTCCAAGATCTCTGGGCAGACGCAGATGCGGGCCCCCACCCAGCCTCTTGGCTCAGGGAGATTCAGGCTGCCCCTGGCTCCCCTGAGAAGGACCTTCAGCCCATGGTTGCCCTCTTCCCAACAGAGTGGATACGTGCTCTACAATCGTGGGGCTGCAATGACATCAGGGGCAGGTGTGGTGTCCAACATAGGCAGTTTACAGCAAAGAGTTTTATTTCCTGAATATTACAGAGGAGAAAGGGTCTGTACACCGCACACTTCACACAGAACACTGCACACGTGGCTCCCTTGACCTCAGCCAAGGAGGTAGCTGTGAACTCCAGTGGAAAACCAGAGAGCAGGCCACACTGCCCCAGGGAGGAGCCGCAGCCCCTCACTCAGAGGGGCTTCTTCTGCTGCCTGGCTCCACACAGAGCTCAGCAAGACCACGGGGCCAGAGGGGGACACCTGGTTTGTTCTGTGCCTGCCCTGCCTATCCGACCAACGCCCCACACAGCCTGCTCACGATGGGACCTCAGAGGCTGAGGCAGCCTGGTCCTGGGCCCTCCGGGCTGCTCAAGGCCACAGTCCTGGGTTCTTCCCGCTGCTTCACGCCTCTGGAGGGCGTCAGACAGGCGTCCAGGCCCACGTTAAGACGCTCGAGGGTGAACTGCGAATTCCGAATTCCGCTGCTCAGATGTCAAACAGCTCTGCCTCCTTCTCCTTCCAGAAGGAGAAGCTGCGGTCGATGTAGCGGCAGATGTCCTCGTTGCTGAATTCGCCCATCTCAGACACTAGTTCCAAAGGGTCTTCGGCGGGGGCTTCGGAACCCGGAGAGTCTGAGATCCGGGGAAGCGCGGCGGGCGGGCGGGCGGGCGGGGGCGGCGGCTGCGGCACAGGGGCCAGGGCCTCGCGCTGCCCCTCGGGCGGGTCCCCCTTCTGAACCGGAGCGGCCTCTTCGGTCCGCTCCTGTTCTTTCCCCTTCTCTTCCTTTTTCTTCGCCTGTTCTTCGGGGGCCGGCCCAGCCTCCAGGCCGTTTCCGAAGAACCTGTGCCTGAGGTCCTCGAAGCCGTCGCTCCAGCCGCGCCGGCCGGCCTCCACCTCCTCCAGCACCACGCGGTGGAAGAGGCGGATGCGCTCCCACGGGTGGCTGTCCAGCCGGTGGAACATCTCGTAGCACAGTAGGTGGCGGAACTTGCGATCCTCGCGGCTCAGGCCCATCTCCGGTAGCTGGAAGTAGCCGAGCATGAAGAGGTCGAGCGTGAGGCTTTCGTAGCGCGGGGGTGCGCCGCCGTCTAGGGGCGACAGGAAGTGCTGGGGCCAGTACACGCCGTGCGCGCCAGGCCCGGGCTTGGCGGCACGTGCCGCCGCAGGCTCCGCCAGTGGTGCAGCAGCTTGCCCACTGCCTGCCGCTGCCTCAGCAGCTGCCGCAGCCGTTCGTTGGGGCTGTGGGCCTCGCCCTTGCTCACCGGCAGCCGGGGGGCGTCCGTGGCCTCCAGCTCCGGCCAGCACGGGCGGCCGTCACGCCAGGGAGCAGTCTGCCTAGGCGCGCCTGGTCCGCGGAAGGCCCGGTCCGAGGAAGGCCCAGAGGCGCCAGTGCTCCAGGAAGAGGTAAACGATGCGCTCCTTGCGCAGGTCGAGGTAGTCCTGGACGCCGCGCAGTTCCGTGCAGAGGGGCGGCCGGCGCGCCAGCTGCTCGGGCTCAGGTAGCGCCGCCTGGCAATCCTGTGCCTCAGGCGGGCCCAGGGTGTCCAGGGGCTCCCAGTCGGCCAGCGGGCCGTGGGCGGCGGCGGCGCTGGGCTGGCCAGAGCCGGCCGCCACGTAGTCCTCCTACAGGATGGGCTCGCGGACCGGGGCGCCAGCGGACTGCGGGGGCTTGCGGCGCGGACAGCGCGGGGGCGCCGCGTCCAGTGCGCGCAGCTCGTAGGTGGCGCGGTGATGCTGCACGGAGGCGCCGCACTCGAGGATCTCGCGCGCCACAGCCTCGCGGCACCAGTTGAGCCAGTGCGAGCGGCCCAGGCAGTCAGGGCGCCTCAGGCAGCGGCGCCAGCGGCTGGCCCGTGTCAGCGGTCGGCAGCTCCGCCAGGTGCGCAGGCCGGCAGCCCAGCGCGGCTAGCAGCGTGGCCATGCTCTTGAGCAGCGTGGAGATCTTGCTGCACCAGGCGGGCAGGCTGGCGGCGCGGCCATGCATTCGGCGCGGGTCGACGGTGAAGCGCGGCTCCACAGGGCGACGGAGATGGGCAGCAGCTGCTCAGCTCCAGTTGCTCCAGGCGCGCCTCCAGCTTCTGCGCCTTGTGCAGCACCTGCAGGTTCTCGATTGCTGCTCGATGCGGAGGATGTCGGCCTCGGTCATGAGCTCGCCAAAGGGCCAGAGGATGGCGTTGTGCTCGCGGGAGTACCTCCAGCCCTCGCGGGGGTACCTCCAGCCCTCGCGGGGGTAGCAGCACGAGCTGGCGGCCGTCAGCTAAGGCGGGGAAGACAAGAGAGGGGAGGGAGGCGCGTCTCCCTCTGGCCCAGCTCCCGCCGTGGCGCCAGGAACCTTTTGCATGTCCTGGGTGGTGTAATGGCTCCGCGGGGCTGCGTCTGCAGGGAGGGACCGCGTCTGGCCGGCGGGGGGTGACGCTGGGGTGAGGCTTCGGCCTGAGCCGCCGCTCCAGGCTCTGGGCAGTGTCCACTTTGGTCGCTGGCGGGGGGCACGGCCGGTTGCTGCTCGCTGCTGCGGCGGCAAGAACAGGCCAGCAGACGGGGTCTCCATGCCTGGCTTGTTCGCTCATTACACCACCCAAGGAACTTGCCAAAGGCCTTGAAGCTGAGAGGCGCGGTGGCCCGCCCCAACCCATCCGAGGGCGGCTATTGTGAGGCCTCTCCTCCCAGACTCATGACCCCTTCTCCAGCTCCCCTGTGGCCCAAGCCTTCCGCTCCCTGTGGTCAATGTTTTATGTGCAGAATGAGAGGCCACTCCTCTCTTAAAGAGGCTGCAGCTGCAGCTTCCACTGAGCTGCCCACCCTTCCCCTCCCTTCGTCGTGCTGGACAGCTGGGCACCGTAATATTCTCATTTGCTCACTTTTCTCCACCTCTGATGTCCAGTTTTCCCCCCTGGGCCTGCCATCGCCTCCACAGAGGTCCCTGATTCATCTTGACCCTATGGGATCCACTCCCCACATACAATTAGGAAGCAGCCTCTTCCCTGCTTAACACTCCCCGCACCCGGCTCCCCAGTGCTCCAGGAGAAAGTCCGTTCTCTTCTGGGCCTCTGGCCAGGTCTTGGTAACCTGGCCCCCACTGAGGTCTCTCCAGCTCAGCGACCCCCTTCCTCCAGGACAGTCAGGGCCACATCCACTCTCACTTCCAGACTGCCCTGTCCCACCTGCGGCTCTTCAGCCCCCTCTCCGCCTGGCCACCCCTCACTCGTCTTCCAAGTGTTACCTTAGACATCACCTCCTCCTTCCCTAACACACCCCCCAGCCCACGTATAAGGTGGCCGGTTAGGGCTGCCCCAGTCCCCTGCGTTCCCCATTGCAGCTGGCTGTGTTGCATCAGCCCAGGTACTTCTCTCCACTGCCACCCACTCTCTCACCCTGCCCCATTTTGTGTGCTTGGTGACTCGCACACATGTCCGCAGCCACCTTAGAGCAGGCCTTGATATGTTCACCATGAATCCCCAGAGGCTACAAGCGTGTGGGGCACATAAATGGCACTCGGGGGCCAGGCGTGGTGGCTCACGCCTGTAATCCCAGCACTTTGGGAGGCCGAGGCGGGCAGATCACTTGAGGCCAGGAGTTCAAGACCAGCCTGGCCAACATGGTGAAACCCCATCTCTACTAAGAATACAAAAATTAGCCGGGCATGGTTGGCGGGCATCTGTAGTCCCAGCTACTCGGGAGGCTGAGGCGGGAGAATCACTTGAACCCAGGAGGTGGAGGTTGCAGTGAGTCAAGATCGCACCACTGTACTCCAGCCTCAGTGACAGAGTGAGACCCTGTCTCAAAAAAATAAAAAATAATAAAAATAAATGGCATTCGGGGAATAGTTTTTGGATGAATGGAAGGCAACTCATCCTGCCAGCTGGTGCTGATCAGCTCACCTTACAGAGAAGGAAACTGAGGCTGGATGAGGCTCAGTATCGGCAGCTGGAAGGCGGCAGCGCAGCAATGGAGCCCAGGTCCCTAAGACTGAGACCAAAGCTCTCTTGGCTACTCAGTGTGGTCCTTGGACCAGTGTCATCAGCAGCCTCACCCAGGAGCTGGCTAGAAATGCAGAACCTCAGCCCTGCCCAGACCTCCTGAATCCGAACAGGCCTTTTAACCAGATCCCAGGTGCTGGGCAGGTGAAGGAGAGTCTGAGAAAGGCTGCTGTCTCACTCCAAGGACAAGCTGCTGGGGGTGTGTGTGGAGACTGGGACAAGCCCCAAACGGGGTCGTGCCACCCTGATTTCCCTAAAGAAGATGGCCGGGCATGGTGGCTCATGCCTGTAATCCCAGCCCTGGCCAACATGGTGAAACCCCGTCTCTAATAAAAATACAAAAAAATTAGCTGGGCGTGGTGGCATGCGCCTGTAATCCCAGCTACCTGAGAGGCTGAGGCAGGAGAATCATTTGAACCCAGGAGACAAAGGTTGCAGTGAGCCGAGATCATGCCACTGCACTCCAGCCTGGGCGACAGAGCAAGCCTCTGTCTCACGAAAAAGAAAAAAAGAAAAAGAAAGAAAGAAAGAAAATAGGAGGTCCCGAGGTTGGTGTTGGGGGTGGCGTGGGGGATGGGCTGTGCATCCAGATGCAGACCCCAGGGCTCCCTGGGCACCCCGCCCCACCCACTTTCCACCTCTGCTCCTCCTCCTCCTACATCTTCAGCTGCATCTTGCCCACCATCACCTGGCGCTTCCACTCGGGCTTGGGACGGCCCTGCTCATCGTGCGTGGGGATGAGCGCCTCCACGTCCAGCTGCACCCCCGGCGCAGGAGTAGTGGGCGGCACCGGAACCAAGCTTCCGTTGAGCAGCAGCTGAAACCCCGCAGCTGGCGGTGTGGGGCTCTGGACTGGTAACAGTGCAGGTGACACAGACGGCAGCGGCGAATCGGGCTGCAGGGAGAAGCGGTGGGGCTGAGCGCCTGGTGGCCTAGGGCCAGGGAAGCCGGGTCGCAGGCTCCTGCTGGGCCCGCCTACCTGGAAGGCCGGCTGCCTGCTGCCTGAGAACACTGTGGTCAGCCCCTTGCTCTGTGGCGTCGGCTTCAGGCTCTTGCCTGCCTTAATCTCAGCCAGTAGCTCTGAGTTGTCGCCCATCGGGAACATCACATTGAAAGACTTGGTGCCTATGCAGAGGCAGGAGATGAGGCACTGGCCAGGGTGGGGCTGCATCCCTGCCACCCCTCACCTGCCCCTCTGCAGCCCCCTTCCCAACCCAAGATTGGATGGGTGCCCATCCTCGGGGCCAGCGGGCAGCTCTCCAGATCCCAGGTCCCGCAGGCAGCTTTCAGGGCCCCCAGAGGCAGGCCCTTGGTTCCCCGACTGTGGCAACCCCACCATCCTCCCCCACCCTACTCACGGGATGGAGGGCCCCTGCCTGGAGACCCCTGGGAGTTCATGGTGGCTCTTGGGCATATATTCCTGCCCAGCCACTGACTGCCCAGCCCCAAAACACTACCTGGAATCAGCCACCGGACCTTTGTCCCAGGTTTCCTGGCTCAGCCCGGCTGGGTGGAGCCTCCCTCTGGCCCTCTCCCTACATCAGCAAAGCCTCAGTGACCCTTGAGCTGAGTCAATTGGGGCCTCCATGGACATGCAGAGTCCAGACCCCGGAGTGCCAGTACCACCTGCTCCCCTCCCTCGCCACCACACCCACAGACAGACGCACAAGCAGACACATTGGTTGCAAGCCGGGAGCACATTTATGGCAAAGCACGGCTCAGCTCTAGGGGAAAGCAGAGCCCTTACTAAGGCCACAGGAGGCACCCAGGAAGAAGGGCAGGCAGGTAATATGCAAACACCCAGGGCAGAGGGTGCATTTTCTGGCTTAGCCGGAGGAGGCGAATGGAGATTTGGAGAGATAGGTCTCTTGAGCCCCGATGAAGGGGTCAGGTCTGGGAGGGAGGAATAAAATGGGCCGACAGCTCTTGGATTCCCAGGCTGGGGATCCCAGAGTGCAGTCACCGGGAGGAGAAGAGTAGGAGAAAGGGAAAATCGGTGTGGCTTATTCATTTATTTAGGCAAAACCATCAGCCAGGCGCAGAATGCTTGGGTGCATATGTGGGTATGAGGGTAGGTATGAGGTACAAGGCCCCACCCATGCATCGAGGTTCTCTCGCCTGCCAGCCCCTGCCCCTGCCCTTTCCTCAAGGCTGGGCCCCTCCTCCCGTGCTTTTCCTGCCTCTTCCCCCCACCCCGCGCCTCAGCCTCAGCCAGGAGCCGCGCACGCAGCTACTCACTCTTCCTGTGCCTCAGGACTCTCACTTCTAGGGACCAAGAGGAGAGAAGTGACAGCGGAGTTAGGAGGGAAAGGGGGCCAGGATGAGACTGGGATAGCAGGGGACAGGGAGCGGGCCAGGGAGAGCAGGAGGGGGGAAGTGGAGAAGAGAGGAGGAGCATTTCTGCCCATCTGACCCTGGCTCAGGCTGCTCTGGGGCCCCATGAGGGTGGTCCATCGAGTTCCTGGTTTGGCTGGTGCCCCTGAGGGCTGGGCAGGGCAGGGCCACCAGTGGCTCTAGCCCCCAGCAAGGGCCTCCACCTTGGCACTGGGTTGGGGTAGGGCACCCAGCCCTGGCTGTGCTGGGTGGGGGTGTCTGGGGAAGCCCAGAGTATATTTTTCTCTGCCCTTAGCTTCAGCCCTGCTGCAGACTGTGGAGGGAAGGAGAAGGAGGCTCGGCAGGTGCTGGACATGCTTCCATGGGCTCTGGTCTGCAGGGGCTGGGGCTCCATAGGAACCATAGGGGGACAAGCTCTGCTCTGCACTCCTAGTCAGGGAGATGAAGCTTTGAGGGGTGCCACTAAGCATGATCTCTACCCTGAGTGGCTGGGTGAGGAAGGCACCCCAGCCAGGCTGGGATGGGAGCACCACATCTAGGCACCCTGTCCTGGGCCTTCTAGGTGTCCTGGCAGGGGGACACTGTCCCACCCTACAGAAAAGAAGCCCAGGAATCCTGCGCCAGTCTAGCTCTTAAAAAAGGATGCCTAGGGAAGTCACCGGGGAGGGAGGGGGAAACATGGTGGGTCACAGCTTTGCCCCCATAGCCAGGCTCTGGCTGGCCCAGGGCCCCTGGCAGGAACTGGCTAGGAAGAGTTCCTGGCATATCTAAGAAGGCTTCAGGTCTGTGCTGCTTGGAAAGACAAGAGAAAGACGTGGAGAGAGGAAGAGAGGCTCAGGATAGACAGGGGCAGGGGGAAGGGTGGCCAGCTGCGGGGCCTCTCTGAAGCTGGTTCGACTTCAAGTGTCCCTCCAGTACCAGCTCATCAGAAACACCAGCACCAGCTCATGGGAAACACCAGCGCCAGAGCTGGAAGGCCCTTTCTAGCCCGTGGGAGGCAGGCCCAGAGAGGGGAGGGGACTTGTCCAGGCCACACAGCTAGAGGGTGGGAGGCAGGCCCAGATTGGGGAAGGGACTTGCCCCAGGCTGTGCAGCCCGGTCCTGCTTTGGCAGGACCTCAAGCAACCCAGAGCCCTCTCTTAGGGTCAAGTACTCAATGGGGTAGGGGTGGCCGGAAGACCATGTAGAAGAGGAAGGACCCGGGCAGTGACAGCTGGGGAGGGGGCGGTGTCTAGATTTCCCTCCCCTTTCAGGGCTAGCGCCGCCCCCCACCCCTCAACCTGCCCCTACTCACTGCCGGTGGGCGAGGAGGAGCGGCGCTGCCCGCAGCCAGGGCCAGCGCCCTCGAGGGGCAGAGGCGGGACCAGCGGCGGCGAACTCGCGGCCTCGGGCAGGGGCGGCGGCGGCGGCGGCGGCGGCAGCAGCTGCTGCTCCCTGGACGCCTTGGGGTCCGCGGCGCAGCCATTAGGCACGTGGTTCCCAGGGAGTTCCGCCTGCGGGGATGAAGGTGGGGGCTCACCTCCCAGCTTAGGGAGAGGCTGAGGGGTCTGGGTCACATCTGGCCGGGGGCGCGTGCAGAGCCGCGGTCAGGTGTGGCAGAGCAGTTGGCGCCCACGTAGCATCCGCGACGACTGCGCCGCCTGCGGGGGAGCGGAGGGGCCTTCGAGCGAGCCGCGGGCGGCAGGGCCGAGGCGCGGGCAGCCGGCGGGCGCGGGCTGGCGGGCACGCACCTCCTCGCGGTGCGCCATGCCCGGGCGTGCGACCAGCGTCTCGCCGGGGCAGCGGCCCAGCTGCCGGTAGTAGTCCCCCGTGCTGGGCTGCTTGCTGAAAGCGCGGGGCTTGCGGCTGGAGTCCTGCCTCCGTAGCCCGTCGTGGCCGTCGCAGGAGCTCGGCTGCGGGAAGACAGTGACCGGTGGGGCTCGGGCAACTGCCCGGTAGGCGCCCCCCACGCCTCCCCACCCAGCTCTTCACCTCCTGGGAACTCGCGGCCAGCGGCCGTCGGGGGGTGCAGCAGCCGACTTCCTAGACCCCCTGTTCTCACGGTGGGCAGCGGGCGAGGTTCATGGGGGCCTCGGTGGAAGGGCAGGCTCCGCCCGCCTTACAGGGAGGGGTTCTGGGCACCGGCCAAGGGGCACAGGGTCCCCCACTGAGGCCAGAAGGGGCGGGCCCAGGGGCGGGGTGGCCCAGCCCCGACGCCAGGGGGAGCTAGAGAAGGGGCACCTCCCAGCTTAGCCTTCACTAGGCCCTCGGCCGCACTCCGCTCTCGGCTGTCAGAAGGACTGCGGGTCCCCAGGGCTCCGCGGAGCCCTGTCTTTCGGGGGTCCCGGGCCGGAGGGAGCCCCCTCCAGAGCCTGTGCTCTCCGAGGCTCCGGCTTGCCCCGGACCCCGCTTGTCCGTCTAGGGGCTGCTCCAACCTGCCACGGTGCTGGTGGTCCTGCTGTGCACCTGGCGGCGGGGGCGGCAGGACCCGACACCTGCTTTACGTGATACTTCCTCTCAGGTTACAGACGCCCGCGCACGGCCAGCCTATGGGCTCCGACGGCCTGACATCACCCGGGGCCCGCCAATCCCAGGCCGAACCCCCCCCCCAGCCGTCGCGGATGCCACGGGGGCGCCAACTACTCTGCCACACCTGGCCGCGGCTCTGCACCCGCCCCGGGCCAGATGTGACCCCGCCCCCTGCGCCTCTCCCTAAGCTGGGAGCTGAGCCCCCACCTTCATCCCCGCCCGAGAGGAGAGAGGGCTGACCGTGGGCAGAGGGGGCCTCTCATATTTGGCTGCCGGCTCCGGGTCGCGTCCCCACCGTTTCCCTCCTGCATCTGGAAACCATCGCCATCCACGAAAGCGACACCGACACCCGCGCTCAAGCCTCGGATTTCAGGGGCCGTAAGGCGGGGTCGGGTGACAGCGCGGCTTCCCGCCCCGTCGCAGCTGCCCCCAACTAGGCCCAGCTCAGTGAGGGAGAGTGAGGCGGCCGGGCCAAAGACTGAGTGACCGGGTGGGGGCTGTCCCCTGCCCCACTCTCCAGCCCATGCGTCCCTGCGGTGGCCTCAGACCCTTCACCCCGCCCGACCTGGCTCACGTTGCAGGAAACGCGACACCGCAGGATTCGTTTTCTGGGCCAGCCCGCCGGCTCCGCGCCCCCTGCAGCCCGGAGGCTCCGACGCCACGACCCTGCTCCCACCTGCGGTCAGGCACCCGCGCGGGAGGCGCCGCGGCGACACAAAGAGCCCTTTGTAGAGCTTCCCGGCCCGGGCCCTGGCGTCTGCGGCCCAGCACGCACACAGCCGGGAGGGACACACACAGCCGGGAGGGGCACACACAGCCGGGAGGGACGCACACAGCCGGGAGGGGCACACACAGCCGGGAGGGACGCACACAGCCGGGAGGGGGCTCGCACAGCCAGGAGGTGACCTCACAGACCTGGCACTTGGGCTCAGCGGTGGAGAGGGGGCACTGGCTGGGCCACCTGTCCTGTGGATTTGGGCGGGGCCCACAGTCTGCGCCGGGAGCTCAACGATTCCAGGGCCCCTGCAGCCCTACCCGCCCGGCCCCCTCTGCCTCCCAGAGATGAAAGGGGAAAGCCACTGTGGGAGCTTGGTCTAAGGTGGCGTGAAGAGGGCAGCTACTGGAGCTGGCCTGCAGGTTTGGTGTCCCTCCCATGCCTCCCTTGCCCACTGGCCTTGTGACCTGAGTCACCTTGTATGAATTGGCCCTGGGGTGGCTTTGCCTTGGGCTTAAGAGAGAACTGCAAGGTCCCAGGCTCCAGCAGGACCCCAGGGAGCTGCCACACCACATCTGGCCACCTGTGACCTCAGGCTGTCCCCTCACCTCTTAGACCATCCTTGCTCTGTTCCTGTGGCCAGAACGCCAGTGTTCCCCAGGGCACCCTGCCGAGGATACCCGCAATTGCTCAGACCAGACCTCTGCCCCAATCCCTGCTCCAGAGCCTCAGCCAGGCGCCTGCAGGCCCCAGACATCCCTAGGCACCTCACACTTCACCTACCCACCCTGCCCTCATCCTCTCCACACAGGCTCGCTTCCCTCCAGGGCTCCCAGCTCAGGCCTGGCCCTTTCCCCCAGGAGCTCAAGCCCTAAACTGGAACCAGCCACAGCTTCACTTCCTCCCAGCCCCTACTGCCGGTGGGCGCCCAGCCCTGCTAGTGCCTGCTCACCTTCCTCCCTCCCTCCTTCCAGCCCTTACCTCTACAGCCATGCCACTGGCACCTTCCACCTGGCAGCCACCTCCCTTGGGTGACACTCTCCGACTGAGCCTGGGGCTGTGGGGGTGGGGGGGCATGCTTGGGGAGGGGCAGTCTCCATGCATTCTCTGTCAACTCCATGACAACCCGGCCACTCTGTGCAAGAGGTGGCACAGGCCCAGTTCCTGGTGAGGAACAGCTGTCTGGACCTGCGTCCTTCACCCCCCAGCTCCCATGGAGGACAGTGACCTGCTCTTACTCTCCTCCCAGTCCAGTGTCCAGCCCTGACCCCTCGTGGGACTCGCCAGGAGCTTTGACTCTTGAATATGCCATGGACCCAGGGACCCCCACCCTGTGCCCACTAGTGAGGCCAGGCCTTTGGCCTGACTGGCCCCCATCAGCCCAGTACCCCTGCTGGGAGGCAGGCAGTGGGTGAGGGCTCACTACCTCCTTCTTGAGGGCCTCTGTCTCCACGTGGCGGAGTTTGTTCTTGGTCTGCATGTAGATGTCAGCTGCCTGTGGTCCCACAGGAGGCTTGGGAGATGGGTAGCTAGGTGGGGGTGGGGGCAGTTGGGTGCCTGGGGGCGGGGGTGGCGGGGGGAAGCTGGGTGGGGGTGGTGGGGGTATGGGCTTCCCAATCGTGCCCCAAGGCAGGCCCAGCTCTGGGTTCAGCATGTCCATGTAGCTCTGTATGTCTGCAGCTCTAGTGCTGGGAAGCCCTGGGGAGGCAGAAGGAAGGGCCAGATTTGGAAGCATGCAGACAGGCTTTCCCCCAAGAATGAGACTCTCCACCACCTGGAAACAACTTGCCGAGGGCCAAGGTGGGCTCCGGGCACCACTTGGTACACCTGTTGTGGCCCCTGGCGTTGCTGGGCTTCCTCTCCCTGGCCCTGCCCTGCCCCAGCCCAGCACTTATTGGGGGAAGACCAGGCACTCCGGTTTGGAGGGGAAGCACTGGAGGCTTTCGTGTGTCTAGAGGGCAGGGTCACCTGGAAGGGGAGGGTCTACTCCTTGGGAGTACAGATGGCCACATCCAATCTTTGCAGGGCACCCTGCCAGGTCTGGAGGCCACCATCTGGTGGCGTGAAGCAGGCATTGCAAGTGGATGGACGCCCATGCTCAGGGCACGGTCAGGGTGTGTGTACACACAAGCCTGCAGTCTGCCGAGGCGATTGTGAATTTGTGTATGTTTGAGTGTGTACGCATTTGTGCACATGCTTCTTTGTATTGATGAATGTGTGTGCATTGCTCTGTGGACATGGTGTGTGTGTGTGTGCATATCTGTAGTATGGAAATAGAGCATTGTGTGCTTGTGTGTAAGGTGGGTGTGTGCAGATATTAGCCTGGCTCTGTATGTGTGTTCATATCTGTATGCTGTGTGTACACATGTACAAGTGTGTGCTTTTGTGTGTGAGTAGCTAAGAATAATGAATGGTGGGCGGCACACGTGGATTTTGTGGGTGGGGAGAGTACATGTGGATGTACATGTATGTCTGTGATGAGCACACACAAGTATGAGTGACATCTGTCTCTCACCAGAAAGGGTGTCGCCTCCCCATGTTTAAAAGCAAGTGATGAGAGTAGTCTTCGATATTGGCTGTGGCAGGCTGGCCCAAGGCCAACCCTCACAGCCCAGCAGTCTGGCTTCAGTCTGCTCTCCCTCCCCCTCTTCCTCCTGGGCACACTCACCACGTGGAGGGTGCTGGCCCTTGATGCTGGAGTGGCTGGAGGAGCAGGAGTCGTAGTTGGAGAGGGTGCTGGTGGGCGAGCTGAGGTCAAAGTTCAGAGGCTGGACCGACACCGTGGTGTTGGGTGAGGACATGCCTGAATCCGGCTGCTTCGCCTCCAGCTCCACGGATGGATCCCGGGAGAGCACGCAGTGCTCCATGCTCTGAAGGGGAGGCAGGGAGGCCATGAAGGCAACTGCACCCCAAGATGCGTTGCTCTCCAGGCCAGGGTCCTACTCAACCATGCCTTTGCCGTGGGATCTTGGCCAAGCCACACCCCTCTCTGGGGTCTCTTCCCCATCGCTAGAGGGTCTTTCAGATTCCTCCGGGTTAAGATTCAAGCCCAGCCCCGCCAGGCAGAGGACCCAGGTTCTTGGGAAACTCCCTCCCCTGGCTCCTCCCTGATTAGGAGGGTGGAGAGATCGACGAGGAGGGGGCCTTGAGCTGCACCCCAGGGGGAGAACTGCCAGGAGATCGGCCTTCTCCCTCACAGATCGGCACAGGCTCCATGGGGAAGGGCACAGCACAGGCCCATCCCTAGTGACCTGGCTGGCAAGCCAGCTCTCCTTGCCAGACCTGGGACCTGGAGCAGACTCCCAACACCAGCCCGGCCTGTCTCCTGATGGGGCCCTTGGGGTAAGGGTAGGGCCTGGATGGCCAGCTGAGCAGTGATGGGCAGCCAGAGCTCAGGCTGCCAGGCTTGCCATTCCCCCGCCCTGCCCGGTCTGTGCGTCTGACCACAGGCCTGTCCCCTCCCGGTGCAGAGGGGGCTGTGGTAGGGGCCCTGCTTACATTGCCCATGCTGCCCCTGCTGCCGGCAAGCCCGCTTGCTCCGCTGCCTCCTGCCCAGGCCTGCTCCTCCTTGCCCCGTGCCCCCTCCCTGCCTAAGAAGTGTCACAGGCACCCTGGGAGAGAGAGGCAGGCCTGGCACCAGGTAACGGCTCAGCGGCCGTGCTCATTGGCCCCGTAATTAGGGGCTCTGCTGGAGTGTTTGCCTTTTCTGGGCCAGCGTCTTCTGTGGCTTGGGTCTGTCCCTGCCTCAGCTGGGCCTGCTTGAGTGAGGGGACCAGGGCACACACACCCCACCCATTCCAGGGGACCAGGCCCTGCTACCTACCGCAGGAGTCAGGGGAGCCATAGGAGGTGGCGTGGGCAGCACCCAAAGGTGCTCTTTACCTGGGCAACAGCAGTGGGTGCTGAGGGCACCAAGCCCTGACCCCTGTAGGCAGCAGATAAGAGGCTGGGCCTCAGCAGGTGTACTGCGCCTGGCCTGAGCCACCCAGCTCTGCAGTCTGGGACTGTGGCTTCAAACTTCCCCTCCCCGACTTACTAGCTATTTCGGGTGAGTCACCTGTGCTTTTTGTGCCTAAGTTTCTTTATCTGCAAATGGGGGTAACAGCACTACTTGCTCTGCTGAGCTCCAGGACATGGCGCCCAGTAAATGCCATACTGTCAAATTTTTTTCTTTTCTTTTTTTTAGACGGAGTTTTGTTCTTGTTGCCCAGGCTGGAGTACAGTGGCATGGTCTTGGCTCAGTGCAACCTCCACCTCCTGAGTTCAAGCAATTCTCCTGCCTCAGCCTCCCAAGTAGTTGGAATTAAAGGCACCCGCCACCACACCCAGCTAATTTTTGTATATTTAGTAGAGATGGGGTTTCATCATGATGACCAGGCTGGTCTCGAACCCTGACTTCAGGTGATCCACCCGCCTCAGCTTCTCAAAGTGCACGCATGAGCCACCACACCCGGCCTGTCAACTTTTTTATTTTATTTTATTTTATTTTTAGACAGAGTCTTGCTCTGTCACCAGGCTGGAGTGCAGTGGCGCGGTCTTGGCTTACTGCAACCTCCGCCTCCTGGGTTCAAGCAATTCTCCTGCCTCAGCCTCCCGAGTAGCTGGGACTACAGGCGTGTGCTACCACACCTGGCTAATTTTTTTTTTTTTGTAGTTTTAGTAGATACGGGGTTTCACCATGTTGGCCAGGATGGTCTTGATCTACTGACCTCGTGATCTGCCCGCCTCGGCCTCCCTAAGTGCTGGGATTACAGGCATGAGCCACCGCGCCTGGCCTGAGCCACTGCACCCAGCCAACTATTTTTTTAATGTACTGTGAAGAGTAACTGAGATTACACCTTTAAGGCACTCGGCAGGGTACCTGCCTAAGTCAGAATCCAATGAATAGTGTTTGCTGTCCTATGACCACTAGCAGCTGCATCCAGACAGGCCCTCAGGTGCCCTGGGCTCTGGTGCCACCCCCCATGGTCCCTCGACAGAGTCACAGGCTCTCTTAACTGATGGGGACCCACCACTGATGCAGAAATGTCCTTCCCTGTGTCCATCCTGGCTTATATACCCTAGTGACAGAGTGCTCACTACCTGCTGGGCCATTCATTCTCTTCCAGAGACTCTTTCTCGGGGGGAAGTTCACCCTCAGGCCCGCCTGCAGCCTCTGGCCTCTGGGCCTTGCTGTGTTCTGCAGCCCCCAGAGCCAGGACCATCCCCCTGTGCTGGCAGGGACGACAGATGGACAGAAGGTGCTCAGGGCACAGACCATCTGCCTTCTTCCCTCCGGGCCTCATTTCACAGCCCCTTCATGGCCAGGCTGCCCCATGGAGTTGGTCCGCATCCTTTTGGGGTTGGCTGTGAGGCCCACTCTCTTCCCTGCCTATTGCCTCAAAGCAGGCATTGTACCAGATGGTGCAGAGCCCTCACTTGGAGACATCCACAGCTGAGTTCAAGTCCCAGTAGGTCACTTCGTGGCTGTCTCACCATAAAAACATAATTTAAAAAGAGTAGCATGGGTTTCCAGTTATGACCCAGCCATGAAGTCAGCTAATATATGGTGCAGGGGCAGAGAGGTGGCTCCTGGTCAGGCCATCAAGGTAGGTTCTCCACTCTACCACTTACTGGTGATGCGATCCTGGTGCCCCGCAGACTCCCTTTACCCATATGTGGAACGGGACACTTACACTCTCTTCTGCAGAGGGTGGCTGTGAGTTATACCCAAGCTAATGTCTATGGGTAGGTGAATGAGCCTGCCTGTTCCCAATGGGGCCTGTCTTGTGATTTCTCCAGCCTTACCCCTTGGGGTGACCCTGTTCTTCCCTGTCCTCTTTCCGTTAACCTTTGTGCCTCTACTCCCTCAGTCCCCAGCAGGCAGTGGTTCTGGGCTGACAGGTCGTGTGGGGTAGCGGGCTTCACGTCTCTGAACCTCAGCTTCCTCCTTGGTAAAAGGGGTGACGACACCCACCACTGGGGTGGAGGGGCGAGAAGAGAGAATGCGACAGGAGCAGCGCAGGGATCGTACCAGGTTCTCCACCGTGCGCAGGTAGTGGGTGCAGTGGCTGTGGCCGTTGAAGTCCGACAGGTCAGCGGCCGTGTACCCGTCGCGGTCGCGGACTTCCAGCTCCGCGCCGTTCACTACCAGGATCTGGCAGCACTGTGGGGGCACGCAGTGAGGACCCGGCCGCGGCCACGAGCTGGGACCCCCGCGCCCGGGCAGGGCCGTGCGGAGAGCGCGGTGCCAGCAGAGGGCGCGCGCCCCCACCCCGGGCCCGCGCTGACCCCTAGCTCCCCGTTCTCGGCGGCGTCGTACAGCGCGGTCCCGCCCCACAGGTCAGCCGAGATCTCCCCGCCGTGCAGCAGCAGCCAGCTAGCTGAGCACCTTGCTGTGGCCGCGGCTCGCCGCGAAGTGCGTGGCGGTGGCGCCGTCTTTGTCCTGCTCCGACAGGCTCACGTCGGTGCAGCTCACCTGGGCGGGAGGGGCGGGGAGAGAGGGGCGGGGGATGGGGGCCAGGCCCCTGCAGGCCCCGCCCACGGTCCTCCGCCCCACTCCTGATGGCCCCGCTCCCTCCACTCCCCGCCCTGCCGGCTCCGCCCCGTCTCCCCTCCGCACCGCCCGGGCCCGGAGCTCACCAACCACACGATGACCGGGCTGTGGCCCATCTGCGCCGCGGCGTGCAGTGGGGTCATGCCGTCGTGGGCGCGGGTCCGCGCCGCATTCCTGCACCAGGTACTGCGTCACCTCCAGGTGGCCCTCCTGGCACGCCAGGTACAGGGGCGTGGCACCGTTCTTGGTTTGGGCATTCACTCCCCTGCGGAGACACAGCGCCCACCGTGGGCTTTCAGCGCCTCACCCCCTCCGAGGCCTCCTTACCCGCCCCCCTCCCCTCCCGGGGAGCCCTGGACGGCAGGGAGAGTGGGCGGGAGAGGGCCCTGTCACCGGCCCGCTGCCGCCCGGGGGGCTCCCCCTGGACTGAGTCCTGAGCCACCCTCCCTCAGAGGCCCCTGAGGGCGTCCCACCCAGCACTGCCCTGCCCTCAGTCCCACTTTTTTTTTTTTTTTTTTTTTTTTTTTTTTTTGAGAAGAAGTCTAGCTCTGTCGCCCAGGCTGGAGTGCAGTGGCTGGATCTTGGCTCACTGCAATCTCTGCCTCCCGGGTTCAAGCGATTCTTCTGCTTCAGCCTCCTGAGTAGCTGGGATTACAGGCATGCGCCACCACGCCCCGCTAATCTTTTGTATTTTTAGTAGAGACGGGGTTTCACCATGTTGACCAGGCTGGTCTCGAACTCCTGACCTCGTGATCCGCCCGCCTCGGCCTCCCAAAGTGCTGGGATTACAGAGCCACCGCGCCCAGCCTCAGTCCCACTTTTTAACCGAGGTCTACAAAGATGTGGTGAGCTGGCCTTTCCTCCCCTCTCGCCCACTGTCACCATGAGTCCCCACAACTGCTGTGTCTGACCTCTATCCCTTTCATCGTGTGCCCCCTCCATCTGGAATGTCCTTCCATCCTCCTCCCTCTTGAAGACTCAGTACCCATCCCTCCTCCATGAGGGCCACCCTGATTTATTTCCCCCTTGCTGGCCTCCGCCCCACACTGCCCAGGGCCACTATGAGCATGACCTGTCATGCTTGGTTGACCATAACTGATTTTGACCTTTGCCTCCCCCAGAAGACTGAGTTCCCAGCGGGCAGGGTGGTAAGGGTTGCCAGACAAAATGCAGTTCACACAGTTCAACCGGAATTTCGGATGAACGGATAATGCTTTAGTATTCTATATCCCAAATATTGCATGGGACATACTTATACTAAAATACAACTTTTTTATCTGAGATTCAAAGCTAGTCAAACATCCCGGGTTTTGTTGTTGCTGTTTTTGTTAATCTGGCAGCCCTCGGGATGTCCACTATGTACTGAATGCTTCTGCTGTGCTAGCTCTGGGCTACGGCACTGGCAAGAAGGTTCTTCTATTTTTATTTTTATTTTTGAGACGGAGTCTTTCTCTGTCATCCAGGCTGGAATGCAATGGCGCAATCTCAGCTCACTGCACCCTCTGCCTCCTGGGTTCAAGCCATTCTCCTGCCTGAGCCTCCCAAACAGCTGGGACTACAGGCATGTGCCACCACGCCTGGCTAATTTTTGTATTTTTAGTAGAAACCCAGTTTTGCCATCTTGGCCAGGCTGGTCTCAAACTCCTGAGCTCAAGTGATCCGCCTGTCTCGGCCTCCCAAAGTGCTGGGATTACAGGTGTGAGCCACTGCGCCCGGCCATCAACTATTACTGTGACCATCAACTGAGATTACACCGGTAAGGCACCTAGCAGGGGACCTGCCAGAATCAGAATTCAGTCAATGGTGCAGCTACAGCTGGGGAGGCTCACAGATGGAGCTGGGACTCTGTGCCATCACCCATAGTCCCACAACAGAGGCACAGACTCAGCTCTCTCCTCGGTCACACAGTTGGTAAGTGGCACTTGAACACCCATCTGTCTGTGCATGCAGGGCCTGGCTGGCAATATGGGCATGCCGGGAGTGAAGAGATGGAATGTGTCTCAGGGGCTTCTAGGGCCTAGTTCTCGGCTGTCACTGTCCCTTATCCTTGCTCTGCCAGCCCAGAGGGGGCCTACCTAGGGAACAGCAGGGCTGTCCTGGCTGCTGGGCTGTTGGGTGTGAACAGCCCAGGGTGCAGTTGCCACTGAAGGACACTAGGTGGAGCCACAACCTACCCCCAGACCCAGGAGAAGTTCCAGGTTGGGGGCCACGACCTATTGGGTTCCAGTTCACCTTTTGTGCCTAGGAGGCCAATTCCTCACAGGACTTGACATCCTGCCCATCTACCTCCCCCAGTCTTTCACCCCGTAGATCAACCACATGCTCCACCCTGCATTCATCCCTCGTTCACCCATCCAACTGCCCATCCACTTGTTGCCTGCCCATCAACGTGCACCAGGCTACCCCCCTTTGCCCACCCACCCTCTTGTTCCCAACACGACTCAGCCCCTCTTCTGACCCCTGTCACGTGTGCCCTCTCCCTCCCTCTCACACACATCCTGAGCCCCTCCCAGCTGGCATCTCCCTGTCCCTAAAGCCCTGGTTCTCTGTCCACTTCCCTGAGTCCTGAGACCCCAAGGCTGACTCTGACTGAGACCCCTGACTCTGCAGCCCCCATGGACCCCCACTCACTGATTTCTCCTCCCTCCCCACTCCCTAGACACAGGGCTGCCATTTGCTGGGGCTGATGCTGAGCCGGGCACTTCATGATGGTGCGGGGAGCAGGCACCATGCCTGGTGATCCAGAGGGGGTCCCGTCAACACAGATGAGGGAGACAGAAGACCCAGCTACGTATCTATCTTCAGAAACATGCTGGCTCGTGGCTGCCAGCCTCCACACCCCAGCGCCAGCGTCACCCCCACACACACTCACATACTGCTGCATCAGAACAGGCTGTTGAATATTTCATGACCGACGCTCAGCGGCCTAAATTTTTCACCCCGTAACCAAGGCACAGTGAGTGCCGGGGTCTTGGGGATCAGGGGCTGGTGCGGGCCCACTGGGTTCTTTCTGCAGAGGCCCATGGCGGTGTACACAGCGGGTGGGGGGCCAGACCTGCAGTGAGCTCTGCTCTCTCAGCACTCCCTACTTGGCAGAGATCCATGACCCAGGGGTGCCCAGCCAGCCGGAGAAGGTCTGAGAAGCTGGCATCAAGCAGGATCTGAGCAGCAGGGGGAAGTGGTACCCACGGCCTCCTGCAGGGCCGCTGGCTGGCACTCCCAGCCCAAGTTCCTGGCACGGAATGAGCCCTCAGTAAGTGCTGGAGCTCATCACCATTCTCATTAGTATTCCACCATCTGCACTCATGCGCCCCATTATGGAGTCAGAGCCTCCAGCTTGGAATACCCCAGAACATGAGGCAGATATGCTGTTGGGCTGGGTGGGAAGGGGTCCTGGCTCAACATCCCCTTCCACCTTGGCCTGAGGACAAGAAGAACAATGGGCACTCTCACAGTCACTGGGGAGTATTACAAAGATATGGATGAGCATAAGGACCAAAATGAAATTCCCATCACACACCTGGAATCCAAGCACCTCGGGAGGCCAAAGCAGGAGGACTGCCTGAGCCTAGGAGTTCGAGACCAGCCTGGGCAACATAGAGAGACCTCCGTCTCTACAAACAATACAAAAATGAGCCAGGTGTGTTGGTGCACACCTGTAGTCCCAGCCACTCAGGAGGCTGAGGAGGGAGGATCACTTGAGTCCAAGAAGTTGAGGCTGCAGGGAACTATGATCATACCGCTGCACTCCAGCCTGGGTGTCAGAGCAAGAGCCTGTCTCTAAAATAAATAAATAAATGAGAAAATAAACAAAATTCCCATCACTAGAGAGAGGAATTAATAAAAGTAATATTAGTAAATAATAATAATAGTGATAGCAGCCACCATTTACTGAATGATTACTCTGTCTCAAGCACTGTGATGAGTACAACACACACGTTCTCTCAGCTGGTCTTTGTAACAAACCCACAGGACAGGTGTTAGCATTGTTCTTCCAGTACAGATGAGGAAACTGAGGCACAGGAGCTAAGATCACTCTGTGAGAAAGAGGCAGAGCCCCGATTTGAGGCTGTGTCTGATGCAGAGCCTGCTTCTGACTCCAAATGTGCCACGTCTACACCCCTTCTGCTCTTGGTCGGTCTGTCCCTCTGCCTCCCTCCCTCCCTCCCACCGCACAGACCACTGCCCTTCCCCACAGACCTCACTGCTGGGAACTCAGGAACACTCTTTGACAGCTGCTGGGGCACAGCCCCGCAGGAGGACCTGGCTCGAGTCCCGTGCCTTTGAGCTGTGCCACAGTCTTGCTTCTTGTCTCTTTGTGTTCCCAAACCCATCCATGAAATGGGGGCAACAGTTGTCATCCTGACCTCGTGCGGAGTGCCTGAGAAGTGCCTGCAGAGCCCTGAGCACAGGCCTGGTGCCTGGCGCACAGCCATTGCTGAACTTTAGGATCCTTCCCTGTGCCTGGGAGGACCAGCCACCAGGGGGTTCTATGGCTGGCCTGGCGTGTCCGGGTGCTGCCAAGTACGGGCCAGGCTGGGCATCATTTCTGCTGTGGGGAACACTACCTAGAGGGGAGAGAATGGGTCTTGGGGGAGACCTCTGACTCCCAGACCCTTGCCAGCTCTAGCCCTGACCACAGTGACAGCTGCAGAAAAGTGCTCCCAGACCAAGCCCTTGCCCTTTGCCCCGGCTTTGACCCAAACCCTCTTTGTAGGTCAGAGGCGCCCTGGTGATGATCGTATAAATCATGATTTGTTTTCTTTCTCCTGGGAACAAAGATGCTATGGATGAACTGTAACTATTCATCAAGTCACCTCTGATTACACAAAAGAAACATGGGTCCCCCGTGTGGGCTGTGGGAATCTCTGGCGGAGACTGGTGCCAGCTGACTGCCAGCACCGCCGCAGGGAGTGAGCTGCCCATGGAGCCAGAGTCGGGCTGCAGAATGATTCCCACAGCCCCCCCCCCCACCACTGCCAGTCACGCCTCCCCAGAGGGAGGCCAGGAAGAGGCTGTCCCTCCAAGGATCAGTCTGGTTGTGGCCCGTGACTGCTTTCAATTGAAATTCACGGAGCCTTTGGTGGATCTACGGCTCTCGGTGTCCTCCAGTCAAACTTCCCGGCCTATGTTAAAAGATTCCCAAGTAGGCCTGGCCCAGGGAAGAAATGCAGCCCCGATTTGAGAAAGGTTCTACACCCCAGCCCATCAGCTAGCATGGAATAGTTCCAGAAGCCTACAGTTGCCTGCAACTCTCCCAGCCTCCCAGGTCTTCCTCCTGGCCCGTAATTAGGCCAAATTTGACCCCACCTGAGGCCTCTACACCTCCCCACATCACTGCCGGTTCCATCACGGCAGGGCTGTGAGGCCGACCCTCTTTTCATTAGGTTCTCAGCTCTCCTCTCCTCAAAGATGCCTGGCTTCCCTGACCCCTCAACTTAAAGAACCATCCCCATCGCTTCCTACCAAACTCCTCATTTCACTATATAGCACTTGCCACTCCTGAATTATCTTGTTCTCCTATTCCTCAGACCCATACACGCGTGGATAGAAGAATGTGTGGCTGACGTGATGACAGGCCGGGCAGTTGAGTGCACCCACTTGCTGTTTGTTGAATGAATAAATATGAGAAGGGACATCCAGGCCAGGAGTAGGGGATGTCTCTTCACTCATGGCCGCAGCCTGGTAGAGCAGGTTAGATCCACTTGCCAGATAGGCTCGGAAATGCCCAGAGGGGAGTTTTGTCTAGGGTCACATGCAATGAGCTGTAGGCAGAGTGGACAAGTCCCTGGGATTCCATGCCCCACTCATTCAGCAGATGTTTACTGGAGTCAGGCTCTGGGCATACAGAGCCGGGAAGACAAAGCCCCTGGCCTCATTAGTCAGGGACAGACGGGATGAAAACACACATCTGTCTGTGTGATGCAGGGCCCAGCCAGAAATCCGGGCATGCAGGGAGTGAAGAGATGGAATGTGTCTCAGGGGCTTCTCCTAGGGGTTAGCTTCCGGCTGTCACGCAGGATGCACACAGAACGCAAAGCCAGGCAACCATAGGGCGGCTGGGAGGCCAGGTGCAGTGGCTCATGCCTGTAATCCCAGCACTTTGGGAGGCCGAGGTGGGCGGATCACCTGAGTTCAGGAGTTCGAGACCAGCCTGGCCAACATGGTGAAACCCCATCTCTACTAATAATACAAAAATTAGCCAGGTGTGGTGCCATATGCACCTATAATCCTGGCTACTCAGGAGGCTAAGGCAGGAGAATCACCTGAACCTGGGAGGTGGAGGTTACAGAGAGCTGTGCCACTGCACTCAAGCCTGGGCAATAGAGCAAGAGTCGAGTCTCAAGGAAAAGGGCAGCAGGGAACAAGGCCAGCGGGAAAGTGAGTGGGCATCATGGGCGCGGGTGACAATTTCAGCGAGGCTCAGGGTTGGCCTTGCTGAGGTGAGGTCTGGGCAAAGACTTGCAGGAAGGCAGGGAGCAGGCGGGGATCTCTGATCCCTGCAGAGGGATCAGCCTCTGTGAAGGCAGGGGTGCTGGCCTGTTGGAGGGGACCACAGCCCGGAGGAGGGACAGCCTCTGGGCCATTGTAAGGAAGTGAGCAGCATTCCCTGTCAGTGACCAGAAGCCTGTGACGGGAGGTGCTCTTTTTTTTTTTTGAAACGGAGTCTTGCTCTGTTGCCCAGGCTGGAATGCAGTGGCACAATCTCAGCTCACTGTAACCGCTGCCTCCCAGGTTCAAGTGATTCTTATGCCTCAGCCTCCCAAGCAGCTGGGACTACAGGCGGGAGCCACCACACCCGGCTAACTATTTTTCCCCCTGAGATGGAGTCTTGCTCTGTCGCCCAGGCTTGAGTGCAGTGGCGCAATCTTGGTTCACTGCAACCTCCGCCTTCCGGGTTCAAGCAATTCTCCTGCCTCAGCCTCCTGAGTAGCTGGGATTACAGACACCCACCACCATGCCCAGCTAATTTTTGTATTTTTTAGTAGAGACGGGGTTTCACCATATTGGCCAAGCTGGTCTCAAGTTCCTGACCTTGTGATCCGCCCGCCTCAGCTTCCCAAAGTGCTGGGATTACAGGCATGAACCACTGCACCAGACCAGGACTTGCATTGTCTTTTCTTTTCTTTTCTTTTTCTTTTTTGAGACGGAGTCTTGCTCTGTCGCCCAGGCTGGAGTACAGTGGCTCGATCTTGGCTCACTGCAAGCTCCGCCTCCCGGGTTCCAGCAATTCTCCTGCCTCAGCCTCCCGAGTTGCTGGGACTACAGGCACGTGCCACCACACCCGGCTAATTTTTGTATTTTTTAGTAGAGACGGGGTTTCTCCATGTTGGCCAGGCTGGTCTCGAACTCCTGACCTCGTGTTCCGCCCGCCTCAGCCTCCCAAAGTGCTGGGATTACAGGTGTGAGCCACCACACCCAGCAGGACTTGTGTTTTCAAAGGCTGCGGGTGGACATGGACGGGTGAAGGCCAGGGCCTTTCAGGCTTACTGAGGACTTCCCCTTTTCCGTTCTGTAGTGCACAGCCTCACAGAGCCTTGGGCCCAGCTGAGCCCAAGGGGTTCAGGTAGCCCCCACGTGAGGCAGAAAGGGGGTTTCTCAGAAGCCCTGGGATGCCCCAGCAGCGTGCTGCTTACAGAGCCCCAGGGTCCAAGGCTCAGCTCTCCCCCTTAGAAGGGTAGGGCAGGAGCACTAGCCCCGGTTAGATGACAGCTGGGACCAGGAGCTGCTGGTGGAGACACGAGATGGTCTCCTGCTGTGAGGGGCTTCCCCGGACTCCACCAGGCCCTTCCTTTCCCAGAGCCTCCACGTGGGTCAGGGAGTCAAGGACGGCAGCCACCTCCTCAGTGTGGACACAGGCCCCGCCCCCACGCCCTGCAGCCAGGTGAACTGACAGACACCAGGGGTAGATCTGGGGCTGCTGATAAAAAGGAATGAGCCCCCACGGCCTGTGGCAGAATCAGGGACCACCCCAGGCAGAGCCTCCAGCCTTCTAAGGGGGAGAGTTGAGCCCTGGGCCCTGGGGCTCTCTAAGCTGAGAGTTGCTAGGGGCTTCCCAACAAACTCCCTTTCTGTCCCAGGTGGGGGCTGCCTGAACCCCTGGGCCGTGGGAGCAGCCAGACTCCGTGAAGCTTTGCACAAAGGAAGGGAAAAGGGGAAGTCTGCAGTGGACTTGAAAGGCCCTGAGGGATTAGGACCTGGACCAGGAGTGGGAGAGAGACCCAGAGAGGAGGTACAGCCTGCTCAAGGCCACACAGCAAGCCAGTGATGACCACAGCTGGTGAATCAGCCTCTCTAAAACACCATTTCTGTACCTGTCAGCTCCACCAGGCAGGGACGCTTGTCTGGTTCACCAGCATATCACTGGCATTTAGAATATTGCCTGGCACATAGAAGATGCTCAATAAACATTAGTTGAATGAGTCCATCTGTAAAATGGGCTGATTACATAGCTACTGCTCGGGGTGGTTGTGTGACTCAGATGACACTGGGTGGTGCCAGACCCCTAGAAGATACTCAGCACCAGGTTCTTTTTCTTTCCTTTCTTTTCTTTCCTTCCTTTCTTTCACTCGTTCCCTTTTTTTTTTTTTTTTTTTTTTTTTTTTTTTGACAGAGTCTTGCTCTGTTGCCCAGGCTGGAATGCAATAGCATGATCTGGGCTCACTGCAACCTCCACCTCCCTGGTTCAAGTGATTCTCCTGCCTCAGCCTCCCAAGTAGCTGGGATTACAAGCATGTGCCACCTGTACAGGCATAGCCCAGCCACACACCCAACTAATTTTTGTATTTTTGGTAGAGACGGGGTTTCACCATGTTGGTCAGGCTGGTCTTGAACTCTTGACCTCAGGTGATCCACCTGCCTCAGCCTCCCAAAGTGCTGGGATTACAGGCGTGAGCCACCATACCCAGCCCCAGGTACTTTCCAATCCCATTCCAGTCTAGTCTGGTCAGGGGTAGGGGAGGCTTTGGGGGAAGGAGGCACCTGCTGAAGTTGATAACATCTCTGGGCTAACTGGTTTTCCAGCTTGCTATGACTGGCAGCACCCACGAGCCCAGGGGAAGAGACTGGAGCCTCCTCACTCCCCAGCCTGGAAGCTCAAGCCTCAGGGTCCCAGCTGATCCCCAGCTCCCCGACCCCCACAGCCCTGCCCAGCTGCTCAGGCCCTGGGGCAGCCAGAAGCAGGTGTGAGGGGGGCAGAGTGAGCTCCTGGGCTCCAGGACCCTCCTGGGAGGGTGGCCACTGGCCTTGGGGCCACCTGCTCTTCGCCCCTCCTCACTCTGCCCTGAATGGGGGTCTGGACCCCTTGTTCCCCTCCATCAGCCACTGGAGCTCCTGCTGGGAGGGCCAACCCTCCCAACTCAATCTCCCTGAGACCCAGAGCCTGGGACTTGCCCAGCCCAGCTCCTGCCAGCCCCGTACCTCCCAACTGAGAGATCCTTTTTCTTTTTCTTTTTTTTCCCCACCTGGAGATGGAGTTTCACTCTTGTTGCCCAGGTTGTAGTGCAATGGCGCGATCTTGGCTCACTGCAACCTCCGTCTGCCGGGTTCAAGCGATTCTCCTGCCTCAGCCTCCTGAGTGGCTGGGATTACAGGCACGCGCCACCACACCCGGCTAATTTTGTATGAGAGATCCCTTTTCTACAAGGGCTCAGAGGGAGGGTCCCACATGGCAGCAGCCCCGAGGTCACTGTGACAAGTCCTCTGCTTCTGGGAAGACTTGACCCCATGAACGGGATAGACGGGGAGGTGTGGGGGATGTGCAGGACATTCCTGCAATCTCAAGCACTTTCTATTATAACACCCCAAGGTGTAGCCCTGGAATTAGCTGAGCCTCCCCGAGGCTGTCCAGCCTTCCAGCTCCTCTGCAGCGTGTCACTTCCATGTCTCATGGCCACCCACAGCCCCTCCCTGGGCAGGATCGAGTTTCCCACCAGCAGGTCCGGGAGCCCTTCCTCCCTCAGCACTCACCCACGCGCCAGCGAGAGAGCTGAGCCTTGTGAATAATTCACAGCAATTCACAGCAGGCCCCAGAGGCTCGCAAGAGCATGAAGCTGGGCCACCTGGGTGCCCTGATTGGGCCCTGTGGCCTGGGGCAGCTCAAGCCTCTGCCCTACCCAGCTCCCAGCCTTCATATCCACAGCCTCGGTGAGCAGGAATCCCTACCCCCAAGATAGGAGGTTAAGTGGGTACCCCAGCCCCCAACCCCAATTCCCAGCTGCCCTTCCTGCATAAGCCCAGCCTGGCAACCACAGAAAGACACCTTCTTATCAGTCGAGTCACATGCTGCTGTGGGGAACGGAGCCCAAGCCCTCTGTCCACCTCCCTGAGATTCATGGTGACTCCTGGGGGGCTGGCAGCTCATCAGTCCAGCCCATCTGGCCACTGGGTCGGCACCAGCGCCCAATCACACACAGCACCTGGCATGGCCTGGGAGGGGGTCAGGGTTCCCCAGCCCCGGAGCCCTGGAGGGCGTTCCACAGCACAGCCAGTCTTCCTAACACCTGGGATCCAGCCCACGGAGGGATCGTGGCTTCTCAGTGAGGAAGGCTTAGGGGCCGGCGGTCCCCACCAGCACTTGCATAAGGCGGGCTCAGCGTCTTCCAGTTCACACTTGGGCCATATTGGTCCCGCCATCAGGGGCACCTGCCCCTCTCAAGACCTGTCCTTCTCCTCTGCTTGAAGTGAGGGGGTGGGACAGGTGCATCAGAATCACCGCCATGAGGGTGGGGACATGTCCCCGGTGTGGCTCCCAGGCCCCAACCTGGAGAGTCTAACTCAGGAATCTGGGACAGCCTCCAAGAGGTGTTGACAGGAGCCAGTTGGAACCCTCTACTCAAGGGTCCCTGGGTCCCTCCTAGTCTAAATCCCACTGACTTTGACATGATCCAAACCCTAGTTTGTTTGGAAGCAGTGAATTCATACCAAAGCAGCCACCAAGAAGGCCTGGCAGGGCTGGTTGTGAAGCACCCCTTCCTCCGGGTGCTGCCTGTTGGGTCTCCCACTAACCAAACCAGGGAGCCCCTTCTTAGCAAGGATGGAACCAGGCCCAGCTCCCTTGTCCTGGGCTGAGGGGACCACTGGAGCCCGGCCTGGTGGGTCCTAGGGCCACCCTACATCCACGCCAGTGTGCCTGGGCCCAAGAGGCTGCAGCTGTGGCTACCTTGCCACATGGCCATATGGCCAGAACTGGCCTCCAGCTTGCTCCCTGGTGGCCAGGGGCCCTGCAGGCACACCCAGAAACTGACCAGTGGTGGGGACAGGCCAGACCCTCTCACCTCGTAGCTGCTCTCGTCCTGAGGCTGGGTCCACATTCACATTTCCATCTCAGGCTCCCACTTAGACTAACGAGGGTCACCCATCAGAGTAACCCACTCCCCGCTCAGACCCCTGTGGCATCTGGCACCCTACCCTCTCAGACAGGGCCTGGGCAGCTTTTCCCAGGATCCCTGCCTCCCCAGGCGCACCTAAGACCTGAGTCTCTTCCTCCCTCCCCAAGACTCACACATGCCACCTGCTCTGTTCGACCCCCCACCCCACCCGGGGGAGCTCCCAGACCACTCCCCAGGAGGTTTGGGATCCCCATGCTTCCCTTGATAGTGGGAACGGGCTGAGGGGCCACAGGAGATAACAAGTTGCTTTCTGGATGGCCTCCAGCCAGGGGCTCTGGGGTCAGGAGGTGGGGTGGGGGTTGGGGAGGGGCCTTTCTCCCTTAACTGCTTGGTAACTAATGGGGTTCCCTTTCTGCCTGTTTGACTAGGGCCTAGGAGGCGCTCCTGCCCTTGCTGCCCCCAACTCCATTCTGAACAGTCTTGCAAGTGAGCACAGCCTGAGCCAGAGAGAGCCCCTGCGGCAGAAGCAGCCCAAGGGGAACAGGTGACCTTGGCCTGTGTGCCCAGCCTCCCAGGTCCAGCTGCGTGCGGCCGGGCAGCTGAGGATGTTGGGAGCACCTGCTTGCAGGGCTCTGGGGGCAGCCCCAGAAGGGGTTTTCCAGGAGGGGAAGATTTCATGTTGAGTGGGAGCCATTTCTCTGGCCTGGCCCTCTGGCCCCAGGATGGCTACTGGAGGGATCTTTGCCCTGGAGTGCCAGAGAAGTGTGGAAAATCCCAGGCATCCCCCAAAGCCCTGGCCCGGCCCACCCAGAGGACCCCTTAAGAGGAGTGATCTCACTCAGGGTAGTGCCTGACGAGAAGCCTCAGGGAGGGGAAGTCTCCTTTGGCTGCAGCGTAGTGGATAGGCAGGGCGCCCATGTCTGTGGCCGCGGTGGGATCCCCACCGCCATGATGCAAGAGCCAGTTCACCACCTCGGGGTGGCCAAAGCGGGTAGTCAGATGCAAGACTGTGGGACCAGAATTGTCTTTGTCCTGTGGGAGGAGAGCGGGTTCAAGTCCTAAAGCCTGTTGCTGCCCGGCCCCTGGCTTGGGCCGCTCCCAGACTCCCACAGGCCTGGAAGGTAGCTCTGTGCTCTCTGTCTTCCCTGGAAGAATTGGCCAGGCCTCACTCAGCAATGGTTTTTTTGGGTCAAGCGGATCCTGGGTTTGAGTCCTGCTTCTGTCCTTGGGCAACTAATTGGCCCTCTCTGAACCGTACGTAGCCAATAGGCAGCACCGTGCAGGGTTTTCAGAGGCTGCAGGTCCTGACTGCGAGCTGCCTACACGACAGGCACCTGGTTGTCATGGCAGGAGACTGGCTCCAGGCCCAGGGCCACAGCCCTGACTCCCAGGGGCTCAGGGAATGCCTGAAGGAGTGACACAGGGTTACTGGGCTGAGCAGGGCCAGGAAGGGGGGCTGTGGGGCTGTACCAAGCTAGCATCAGGATTGGGGGGCAGCCCCTGCATCCAACACTTGCCCCCTCTCTCTCCACCCTTCCTAGGTGTCACGTGGGAACAGAGACCTCCACCTTGGTGCGCCTCCAGCAACCCAACCTCAGTGCCTTAGTCAGGCAATAAGGGCCCTGGGGACTGGTTTGGGTAGGAAGGACACACCAAATGAGCAGGAGGAATTTCCCCATAGAGGCGAAGAGAATCCAGAGATGGTGAGGGAGAAAAGCACATAAGAAATTAAAAACAAATGCAAACAAACGAGGTTGAAACAGGGCTGGAGGGTGTGAATGTGGTGATTCTTCTCTTCCTGAGGAGACAGGGTCCTGCGAGTTTTGTCACAAGTCAGGAAGCTCCATCAGCTCTGCAACACCTGAGTCCTGGATGGCGGGAGATGATGGCTTAAGATATCTGGGCGCAAAGCCTGAGGCCCTGCCTGTAACTCCGACTCCCTCAAGGGCAGCTGAGAGGGAGGACTCAGGGCACTGGGGAAAGTCAGCAGACCCAGTCACAGAATTAGAATAAGGTGGAGCTACGCAGGGAAGACAACACCAACTATTTCCTTTTTCTTATTTTATTTTATTTTATTTATTTATTTTTTTTGAGACGGAGTCTCGCTCTGTCGCCCAGGCTGGAGTGAAGTGGTGCGATCTCGGCTCACTGCAAGCTCCACCTCCTGGGTTCACGCCTTTCTCCTGCCTCAGCCTCCCGAGTGGCTGGGACTACAGGCACCTGCCACCGCGCCTGGATAATTTTTTTATTTTTGTATTTTTAGTAGAGACGGGGTTTCACCATGTTAGCCAGGATGGTCTCGATTTCCTGACCTCATGATCTGCCCACCTCAGCCTCCCAAAGTGCTGAGATCACAGGCGTGAGCCACCGTGCCCTGCCAACACCAACTATTTCATTGGCAGTAGAAGAATCACACTCTGCAGCTACTGAGAGGTGGAGGTGAAGCCACCCTGCCAAGCAGCCAACCTCACTTTTTGGTTATTATCCTTGTGCCGATGCTGCCGGACAAACTCTCTCTACAAATCTCAGCATGTGGAAGAAACAGAGGCAGGAACAATTGCCCAGCACCTTTCTATTTCTCGAGGACACTCTTGAAGTTATTCATCAATGTTTTAATTAAAGCAGATCTTATCGCTTTTCCTCAAATGGGAACTTGTTCACTTTTAGACTTTGTTATTGTTCATTTTGGGCTTATCTTTGGTCTTTTCCTGTGCTCTTAAAAGGGTGCAAATCAAAATCTGAGTATGATAATCCACTTATCATATGACTAATTACTTCAGTACAAGGAGTTCCTGCCTGTCTGTCCAATATGAATCTTACTACGTCCCAATGTCACATTGGCTTCTTTTCCTTCTCGGTGGCAGCATTTGGAGCTTTTACTTAACTTAGGGTCAATTTCGACCTCTGAATTTTCCACCCCTCCCCCACAGCTGTTGCTGGGTCATGCTGTTTTCTTTTATCTCTATAAATATTGTGACTTGTAATTGTCACTTATAAATTCATTGTGGCTATACTGAATCATTCCCCCATTATCCAAGTCATCCAAATATTCGATGTGCATTTCCACAAATCATGTAGTGGCCCCCTGATTGGGGATGATTTGTAGAATTAATTATATGCTTTAGATCTCCATTCAGGTCTTCAGGTCACCAATACATTAAGCAGAGCAGGGCCCTGAACAGCTTATATGGATCAACGATTGACAGAGCTGTCGGGGTTGCTGCAAAGCCACTGACTTTTTGCTGTTCCCCGTAACAAAGTATGTTCAAATCTAGGTCACAGGTTTGTGGTAGGGTCGATTCACAGTATACATGTGCAACGGCGTTCAGTAGCATAGCAGTTGAGGTTGTGAAGACATGTGCACCCAGGTCAAAGAAGAAAGATCCTTAGACAAAGCCGCTCAATTCCCAGGCACCCAATCTTCCTTGGGCTTTGTGAACCTGAGATTTGACAGGCTCTTGGGAATGTCTGTCTCTAAGACTCTGTTGGCAGGCTTAATCAGGCTGGTGGCCATCTCCATATGTGCCCCCCCAGCATTTGTGACAAAATAAGGGAAGGGGGACCCAATAAAGCTACTTCTGAAAGCTTATGATCCCACCCCTCATTTAAACTATGTGATGTTGTCATTCTATATAAACTCTTTCCAAGTAACTTAACTAAAACACACTTTGCCATTAGTCTTGAGTGTGGGCACAGCATTATTCTTTTCTAGGCCTTAAGGGTTCCTTCTGCTTAAAAATAATGTCTAACTTTCATGAAGTTTACCCATGATTAAAGTGCCTTCTGAATATATATTATCTTGTTCTATTGGTTTCAATATACCTATTTTCTTTAAAAAGAAAAAAATGATGAACCATGAGTGTTAACACCAGAAAAACCTTAAGGTACATCTGATCTAATTTCCCACTTTAAAGTGAGAAAATCAAACAGTGCCTAGGGGTTTGATTTTTCCCCAGGCTAATTCGGGTTTTCATATTTCCATCTCAAAGTAGACTTTCTTTGGCTAACTTTAAGTTTTAAACGTAAAGGCCTGAAAAGTAACTCAGGATCTAGCTTTTTCATTAGTTTTGATCGTGTATGAAAGCAAATATTTCTTTCCCCCAAATGAAACCCCCGGGCTTCCAGTATTTGTAGTGATAGTGTGAATCCATTAGGTCTATTTTTAATTATATCTCTCTTATTGGTTATTTTTTTCACATTTCCTAACTCATTTGTGATATTGCTTCCATATAATTCAACTTTTTGTGCGCTGGGTTCCCATTTGCCCCACAAAGGCCTATGTGCAAATCTGATATCCTGTTTGAATGACATTGTTTTGTTTTTACCTTATTGCTTCCTATCTTTCACAACAATGTTGTCAGTTCTCAACATTAAGGCATTAAAAATTAGCTTTTCTCAAATGCTCAGCATCATTAATCATTAGGGAAATGCAAATTAAAACCATAATGAATATCATCTCACACCTGTTAGAGTGGCATTTGTCAAAAAGGTGAATGATGTGTTAGACATAATGCAGAGAAAAGGGAACACACACATTGTGAATAGGTATGTAAATTAGTACAGCTGGTGTGGAAAACAGTATGGAGTTTCCTCAAAAAACTAAAAATAGAATCTACCCTATGATCCAGGAACCCTATTTCTGGGTACATATCCAAGAGAAGCTTCAGAGAGTGCTTTGTTGGGTTTTCTGGAACCCGGCAGGGCTCAGGTGTGTGGGGATGCGCTCTGTGAGCCTGTGTTTCCTCCGCCGTGAGGGCTCCTCCCGCTCCTGTAGGAAAAGGCAGTGCCCCTTTTGTCTTGTCCATGTGGGACTCCAAAGGGTCCAGACGCGACAGAAAGGCGGCGAATCCTCTCAGAGTGGGCAGGGGAGGAGACAGAATATGGGGAGGAGATAGAATATGGGAATGGGGCAGTAGAGGGGTGGGATTTCATGAAATTTCCTGATTCAAGGCTATCATGAAGTAGGCCTCTTTGGGAGCTCGGCCCTCCAGTCGCTGGTGAGGGTAACATCCCACCAGTCTCTGGTGAGGTCCAGTCGCCTCCGCCGACTGCATTGAAAGCCAAAAGCAGAACTAGGCCAGCACCGCGGCCTGGCGTCCAGTGACCCAGCGGTCTGCATATTCCCCAGGGTGGAAGCACTCGGACTTCAGGTTTGAAGGCAATGCGGTCACCACTGCAATAAGAAAAGCAACTAGGGAAAATGGCACCTTCTTCTCCAAACTTTTGAGACACTCTTGCTCTGTCGTCCAGGCTGGAGTGCAGTGGCACGATCTCGGCTCACTGCGACCTCTGCCTCCCGGGTTCAAGCGATTCTCCTGCCTCGGCCTCCCAAGAAGCTAATTTTTGGCATAGAGAGAGAGAGGGGGGAAGGGGGGGGAGAGAGATTGATTTTAATGTCTTCAAGCAAAAAGAGACTCTTTCTGCCTGTTGGCCATCTGCTGCCAGGTGAACGTGAAAATCCATCGAGACGCTTTCTGTGAAAACCGCCTTTATCTCTTTGTCCCTCTTAGGTTAAAATCCGCACTCCAAAACCTTATTGAACAGAAAAATTACAAAAAGCACATATAAGACGTTTCAGTTTTGTAAAGGGTAAAATGAAACTGCCCTTCAGGAAGAATCAGAAGACCGACGAGGGAGAGAGGAGCGATCGTGAAATCTAAGTGGGCTGCCCCCGGGTCTTCCAGGGTTTTGTACTCGGTGGCTTGGCCTGAGTTGATGTGCCCATATTTTCAAACAGCCAAGTGCCCTGAGACACAGCCTTTGCTACGGTACCTGCTGAAATCTGGAAGTGTGATTAACTATTACTTAAATTGAGTGGGGCAGACTAAGAGACAGCAGCAGTGAAGGATGACCTTTGGGAGAAAGACGTCGAGGCGCTGAGGCCAAAGGGTCCGTGAGGAAAGAGCCCGCAGCTCGCGCCCCTCGGCCTGCGGAAGGGAGGGCAAGGAGGGTCCTACGGTTCCTGGGAGGACGCGAAGAGCCAAGAGCTCTGACAGCTGGCGCCGGGGAAAAGGCCCCGAGGCGGGGTCCGCATCCCTGGAAGGGCGGCGTCCACACTCCTGCGAGGCACGGGGCGCCCGGGGCTCGGAAGCTCAAAGCCCGCCGGCTTCTGCAGCTTCTGGAGCTTCTGGGAGCCAAGAGTGTCAGCCGGAAGGATCCCGCACACGGCGCTTAGTTCTGGAACTGGATACCCGGGGGAGGATGCGGGATCCCGAAGCCCGGGTGTGGGTCCCCGTGGTCTTCGTGTTGGGGGTAGGTGCGGAACGCTAAGCCTGGGCCTACTGGGAGCCATAGTCTTCTTGATGGCTGGTGCTTATTGGGCTTTTTTCAGTCGAATTTCAAAATGCAGTTGAATTTCTTACTTTGGAAACGATAATAGAAATGGCTGACCTCAGATTTTCATGATTATGTTTTGCCTTTTCCAGTGTATGTGCAGTTTCTGTAGTATAGTGGTTATCATGTTTGCCTCACATGTGAAAGACCCTTGGCTCGAGACTGGAGGGAAACATGGTTTTTTGGTTTTTCTTTTTGTCCCTAAATTTAGTGAGTTTAATCGAGGTTGGGAAACAAACAGAAAAGTAGTTGAACCTGTGGCTACACTTTAGACCTCCTCAATCTAGACAGATTGTTGACCAGGCTACAGTTTCCACTGGTCTGCCAGCAAGAGGCCTGCTTAATGTTAGCTTTGGTTCCAGAAATTCCTTAAGATTCTCTTCATTCTCTTCTGTCGCCTGAATTTTCACAGGCTGACACTGAAAGTGGATGACATCTTAGTGCATTTCCTAAGTGTCCCGCTGGGCTTCGCTTTACTCTGATAAGTTGCAGATCTGGCTGATTTGCGAGACAAAAACAAAATATTTTTTTAAAAGGTTCTAAATCTGCATCTGGAACTTGTAGAGTCAATAATCTGAAACCACACGAATTATCTACATACAAAAGATTTTGAATGCATACCCCTTCCCCAAATAATCCTCAGAAAACCGGTTAAGTTTTAGCATCTATGACTCTGAGATGCATATGAGGCCTTTGTAAATTTAGAAGTTGAGAGTAGAAAGTACAGGTTTGTATTTTAGAAGGAGATTTGGGAATAAATATAGCTCTGGTTGATATAGATCATATGTTAAGGTTTGTTGGCCAGAGCTGGTGTGTGTCTTGGGTGTTGGGCAAAGAACAGAGAACAGCCAAAGCTCTGCGAGGTCAATGTGAAGGGTGATTTCCTTGGTGGGCTCAAGTTTATGACGCAGCCTGGACCTAGCTTGGCTTCTCAGCTAGAGAAGAAGCATGATTCCATGTCACAGCTCCTGTCTTTGAAAAAGTCATAATGACTCCCAGACCCAACATGTGGGGAAAACTCTGGATTTGTCTCTTCAGTTGAATGTCTCCGTTGAAAATTGAGGAAAGAAATCTCTCTACTATTTGAACTTCATCAAAAGACTAATATGTTAATATTTTGACCGTCAATATTTCCTTAAACTAGTCTACTCCTTTCATAGCTAATACATCAAAGCATATTAACTTAGGAAATGGGATTCTCCCAAACAAGGAAACATTGACGGCAAGGGTTCTTAATCTTTTCACATCACATTTCCTTCAAATGCTTTATACATCTTCAAGCAGACAAATAATAGTATTATAATGATTACGAGACCGATCATTACTCTTTTGCCAAAAAAACCAGCGACAAAAGACTAACTTAGTGGACCAACCTTTGTTTCTTCATTATCTGTACATTGATTCTGTCCTTTTATTTCGTCTTTCTTCTAATTCTGCTTCTGCTTCTTGTTTCCTCCCTGGATTTGAACTTTATTTACCTAAACTACCAGTTAGGTTACCTTCTCAGAACCTCTAAGGCAGCAGTTTGAGATTGACAATGGAAGATTTAAGATTAGAAAAAAGAAACATGAATGAATTTCTGATGTTTTATTATAGGGGTTTATAATGCAGGTAGAAAGACCTTTTTCAGACTTAAGAGTTTGATCCACCAAATGAGCTATTTTGATATTTATAACTTTGTCTAGTAAAAGTTTCCTATAAAAACATTTGGTTTGGATGTGTTTGTTAGCTTTTAGTCGACACTTGAAAAAGGCGGTTGGAAGTTTCTAAGTCTTTTTGGATACTCTTTTCTCTTATCCTCCAGGCCGTGGGTGTGTAGAGGCATTGGTGGTGCAGTGGTAGAATTCTCGTCTCCCACGTGGGAGACCCGGGTTCAATTCCCGGCCAATGCAGCAGGTACTTCTTCATTTCATTATGGCCCTTTACCCGTCTTTTACGCTGCAAAATTATACTGCATAACCTAATAGTGCATTTAGGGGCTTGGCCACCACAAGGTAAAGTGACAACATTACTCACGAGAGTAGCGGCAAGAGACATTCAGGACACTAACCCAGGACCCATGCAATTGTTGGACTCAAACAGCTTAGCAAAGTGGCAAGCACGAAGTGTTTCCGGTGAGTCACTGCAGTTTTGATATTGGTACCTGTTACTTTCATCTATTCACGGGGCGGATCCCTGCAAACCCGAAGAATCATCAGGTTCCTGATTCGCGTGCTGGACCTTGGGCTTACTGCTGAGCCACTGTAGAGAGGATCAAGAAATGACGCTCTTGGAAGGAGAGAAGCTGCGGGCAGGACAGTCACGTCAGAGGTCCAAGAGGCTTCAGCGGCCCAAAGAAAGGGAAGGTGTGTGGGGAAGAATCTGCGTGGAGATGAGGGGAGCGGCGGGGACTGGTCCTTGCGCAGAGGTGGCCAGTGGACCCTCAGGGCTGTACCCCAGACACCGTGAACCGAATTTGCTCACATCGTCAGCGGCCGCGGCCTCCGCGTGCTTTGTGGGCCCATCGGTGTTCTGCGAGGGATTCCGTGTGTCTGGCAATGTCTGTCAACAGGTGTTGGCCTGAAATTTGGCCGGGCACGTTGGCTCATGCCTGTAATCCCAGCACTGTGTGAGGCCGAGGCGGATGGATCGCTTGAGGTCAAGAGTTCAAGACCAGCCTGGCTAACATGGAAAAATCCCGTCTCTACTAAAAATACAAAAATTAGCCGAATGTGGTGGCATGCACCTGCTATTCCGGCTACTTGGGAGGCTGAGGCAGGAGAATCGCTTGAACCCAGGAGGCAGAGGTTGCAGTGAGCCAAGATTGCGCTACTGCACTCCACCTGGGCGACAGAGCGAGACTCCGTCAAAAAAAAAAAAAAAAGCAGCGAAAGAAGGCAGAGATGTCAATGGGACAAAGAGACCTCCCAGGAGGCTTGTTGTAGAGGCAGTGGGTGGATCCTGGGAGATGAGATTTTTTTAAAATTATGTAGCAGAATGGGGAGAGAAACGGAGAAGCGCATGAAAGAGAGAAAAGCACGAAAATCGGCGGCGTCCAAGAATAAAGCAGATAAAATAGTGTGAGTGTTTTTACATTCAAAAAATAGAAGAAGTGCAATGCTTGTCAGCAGGCTTTGTGGTCGTGTAGTGGTTAATACTTGTAGTTGTGGTTGCCACAACCTGGGTTCTAATCTGAGTCACAGTAGTGTTTTCTAGCCTGCGATTGTGGCTAATAGACCTGTCGTTTGCTTTGCCTTTAATCCTAGCAGCCTCCAGAGAGCAGAGTAAACCTCTGGCCCCGAAGGGCGCCAGCTTCTGGAGTTTAGCCCACAGCGCAGAAACTAGGGGGCGGCCTGGCCGATAGGAAAACTTGGACATGCTCTTTGTCTCACAATTGAGCAGGAAAAATTCCCGTAGGTGAAGATGCCGCCTCTCAAGGGCCCTTTGTCTGTAGCTTCCACTGGTGAAATAATGCGGTTATAGTCTTTTTCGGTAGAGAAAACGGCTGTATCAGTGGAATTTTTTAAAAACACAAAACGAGAACGAGTTTTTAATGAGCTGACAATAAAATCTAAACTAGTTGTCATGGTCTGCACAGGCTTGCCTCCATTCCCCATCTGCTAATTTTTATGAGAACAGTAAATTATTACTATTATCATTATTTTTGAGACGTAGTCTTGTTCTGTCACCCAGGCTGGAGTGCCGTGGCTCAATCTCGGCTCACTGCAACCTGTGTCTCCGAGGTTCAAGCAATGAGAACAGTAAAGAAGCTACAGTTCACATAAAGTGCACAAATCTTTAGTGCAATTTGTTTAGTTTTGATCAATGTTATCACCACCCAGCTCAAGTTATAGAAAATTGCCATCATCTGAGAAAGGCCTGTTAGAGCCCCTGTCCAGGTGATTCCCACCCTGTGTCCTCTTAGTTATCACTATTCTGATGTCTATTCCCACAGGTTACAATTGCCTGTTCTTAAAGTTCACATGAGTGAATGTACATATGTTTTGTGTCTGGCCTTTTTCTCCAGTTACATTCATTATACTCATGAGATATATCCATGTAGTTTCATAGATCACTTCTCAATTTTGGGGTTATTGATTTCTTGTGCTGAATATTCTTATAACAGTCTTTGTGTGCACTTGAGATTCATGGAAGTCCTTCAATTGCTGGGTCATGACCTGAGTATAAGTTTAACATCAGTATAAATTGCCAGTCTTCTAGAATGCTTTTTCGCCAGCGATGACAGTTGAAGTGGCACCAAATTCTTGTCAGCATTTGGTGTACTAACTTTGTTAAATGTAGCTATGCTCTCAGACCAGGCTGGCCAACATGGCAAAACCCTGTCTCTACTCAAAATACAAAAATTAGCTGGGCATGGTGGCATGCACCTGTAGTCCCAGCTACTCCGGAGGGGGATGTTGCAGTGAGTCAAGATCGCACCATTGCACTCCAGCTTGCGTGACAGAATGAGACCCTGTCTCAGAAAAAAAAAAAAAGTAGCCATACACTGGTGAGTGGTTAGTGCTATCTCAGTGTGGAATTAATTTGTATTTGCCTAATGAGCAATCCTATGAAGCATATTTTCTTATGGCTTCCAGCATATAAGAAACTCTCCTTTGCAAAGGCCTATTCGAATATTTTGCCCTATTTTATTTGGCTTAGCTCTATATTACTGACTTACAAAAGTTCTCTTATATATTCAAGAATTGAGTCTTGTTTTGACGTTTTTTAAATTATACTTTAAGTTTTAAGGTACATGTGCACAACGTGCAGGTTTGTTACATATGTATACATGTGCCATGTTGGTGTGCTGCACCCATTAACTCGTCATTTACATTAGGTATATCTCCTGATGCTATCCCTCCCCCTCCCCCCACCCCACAACAGTCCCCGGTGTGTGATGTTCCCCTTCCTGTGTCCAAGTGTTCTCATTGTTGAATTCCCACCTATGAGTGAGAACATGCGGTGTTTGGTTTTTTGTCCTTGCGATAGTTTGCTGAGAATGATGGTTTCCAGCTTCATCCCCGTCCCTACAAAGGACATGAACTCATCATTTTTTATGGCTGCATAGTATTCCATGGTGTATATGTGCCACATTTTCTTAATCCAGTCTATCATTGTGGGACATTTGGGTTGGTTCCAAGTCTATGCTATTGTGAATAGTGCCGCAATAAACATACGTGTGCATGTGTCTTTATAGCAGCCTGATTTATAATCCTTTGGGTATATACCCAGTAATGGGATGGCTGGGTCAAATGGTATTTCTAGTTCTAGATCCCTGAGGAATCACCATACTGACTTCCACAATGGTTGAACTAGTTTACAGTCCCACCAACAGTGTAAAAGTGTTCCTATTTCTCCACATCCTCCCCAACACCTGTTGCTTCCTGACTTTTTAATGATCACCATTCTAACAGGTGTGAGATGGTATCTCACTGTGGTTTTGATTTGCATTTCCCTGATGGCCACTGATGATGAGGATTTTTTCATGTATCTTTTGGCTGCATAAATGTCTTCTTTTGAGAAGTGTCTGTTCATATCCTTCGCCCACTTGTTGATGGGGTTGTTTGTTCTTTTCTTGTAAATTTGTTTGAGTTCTTTGTAGATTCTGATGAAACTACAGATGAGTAGATTGCAAAAATTTTCTCCCATTCTGTAGGTTGCCTGTTCACTCTAATGACAGTTTCTTTTGCTGTGCAGAAGCCCTTAAGTTTAATTAGATCCCATTTGTCAATTTTGGCTTTTGTTGCCATTGCTTTCGGTGTTTTAGACATGAAGTACTTGCCCATGCCTATGTCCTGAATGGTATTGCCTAGGTTTTCTTCTAGGCTTTTTATGGTTTTAGGTCTGACATTTAAGTCTTTAATCCATCTTGAATTAATTTTTGTATAAGGTGTAAGGAAAGGATCCAGTTTCAGCTTTCAACATATGGCTAGCCAGTTTTCCCAGCACCATTTATTAAATAGGGAATCCTTTCCCCATTTCTTGTTTTTGTCAGGTTTGTCAAAGATCAGATAGTTGTAGATGTGTGGCATTATTTCTGAGGGCTCTGTTCTCCTCCATTGGTCTATATCTCTGTTTTGGTACCAGTACCATGCTGTTTTGGTTACTGTAGCCTTGTAGTATAGTTTGAAGTCAGGTAGCGTGATGCCTCCAGCTTTGTTCTTTTGGCTTAGGATTGACATGGCAATGCGGGCTCTTTTTTGATTCCATATGAACTTTAAAGTAGTTTTTTCCAATTCTGTGAAGAAAGTCATTGGTAGCTTGATGGGGATGGCAGGGAATCTATAAATTACCTTGGGCAGTATGACCATTTTCCCGATAGTGATTCTTCCTACCCATGAGCGTGGAATGTTCTTCCATTTGTTTGTATCCTCTTTTATTTTGTTGAGCAGTGTTTTGTAGTTCTCCTTGAAGAGGTCCTTCACATCCCTTGTAAGTTGGATTCCTAGGTATTTTATTCTCTTTGAAGCAATTGTGAATGGGAGTTCCCTCATGATTTGGCTCTCTGTTTGTCTGTTATTGGTGTATAAGAATGCTTGTGATCTTTGCACAAGAATTTTGTATGCTGAGGAGTCATTTTTAAAATAAATATATTGCAAATGAATTTTCCCAGTCAGTGAAAAGTCTGACTGAAAGCTGTCAACTGAAAAATCACACAATTTATAAATTTAGAAGGGAGATTTTATTTTTTATAAATGGTTACAGCCTGCAAGGTGGCCATTCCGACAGACAGGGAGGCATACCCTCCTGCTGAAACCTGAAAAGTACGTTTCCAGGGAGGGGAGGGGGGAACAGGGATTTATGTTGATCTGGTGGGCCACATATACATATTCAACAGGGAATAGGAGGAGCTCTGAATATTCATGAAGGGATCGTGCTGCATGCATGCTGAGTAAACAAGCCTGTTACATGCAACCCATGTTCATTTTGGGGTGGAGATGACATTTAAATACATTATAATTAGGCCCTATGCTTCAAAAGGGGAAGCAGGGACACAAAGGCAGTCAAGTGCACAGCCTCTGTAAACCGTCCAGAACCCGTCCACAGCCAGTGCTCTCTTATCAAGGGGAAGTTACTGAAATCAGTCTCTTGTCCAATCAAAGCTGTAGTTATGGCTTGTGTAGGGAGGGCTCAGTCAGTTTATGGTAATGGGTGAGCTGCAAGTGCTTCAGCATTGCTTATCTCAAGGCCAGTGCTTGTTTAGCTAGAGAAAAAAAGGAAGAAGAAAAAAACCTGTGGCAATTGGAACATAGTTTATTCTTTAAGTTGAGGGGCGCATGACTCCACCTTGCCTGGCTTGGCCTTAGGTCTCGTTTATCATACCGTATCTTACTACTGCAAGGAGTCTGTTCTGTCAGTCTTAGGATCTCTATTTTAACAATAATGCTGGTCAGTTGTGTCTAAACCACAAAGGGAGAGAGTATAAGGAGAGGTGTCTGAGATTCCAACTACTGGGCAGGAACTCAGTATTTAAGACTTCTCTGGGGTCTCCTTGGCCAAGAAGCAGTCTGTCCAGTTGGTTGAGTGGCTTTGGATTTTAATTTTAGTTCTCAAAGCATTTAATTTGATGAAATTTTGCCATATTTTTTCTGTATTTTTAAAGCCTGTTATGTTCTATAAGAAATCTTTCTACTCAGGATAGTGAATGTATTCTCTTAATTTTATCTCTCTATGAGTTCCAGTGTTTTAGTTTTAATTTTTAAATTGATGACATCTAAAATTCTACTCCTAACCAAAACATTCCTGGGGGTGACCAAGGACAACTCCAAAAATCTTCCATAAATGGAAGTAAGACTTACTCCTTAAAGAACTTACTGGGATCCGGGCCTGCGGGGCACAGTGGCTTTAGTGCACCTCTGCTCTTAAGACTATTCAGAAATTGTCTTTGTGAACCCATCAGGCTGTTTCAAAATCAGCAATTTAGGGCTTGCTTGCAACATGCAGTTATGCAGCAGCTGTTTTGTGGATCTGGTGAGTGCCTGCACGCATAGTTCCCCGGGAATTTTCTGAATTTGAATTCTCATGGTATTTCAAGTGGCTCAGTTGTCTCTTTCTTTTCTTTTCTTTTCTTTTCTTTTTTTTTTTTTTTTTTTGAGTCAGAGTCTTGCTCTGTCACCCAGGATGGAGTGCAGTGGCTGGAGTGCAGTGGCGCGATCTCAGATCACTGCAAGCTCCGCCTCCCGGGTTCACGCCATTCTCCTGCCTCTGCCTCCCCAGTAGCTGGGACTACAGGCACCCGCCACCACGCCCGGCTACTTTTTTGTATTTTTAGTAGAGACGAGGTTTTACCGTGGTCTTCATCTGACCTCGTGATCCGCCCGCCTCGGTCTCCCAAAGTGTTGGGATTACAGGCGTGAGCCACCGCGCCCGGCCAGTTGTCTCTTTCTTTTGCCTACTGCCACACACGTACCACCAAATCCTGCACTCCAAGCTGCTTCTACACCCTGGACTCCCAACCTCCAGTTAGACAATCCACATCTTCCCACACCTGCCTCAGGCTCCATCAGGCTACTGTGCCTCCTGCAGCAACCAGGCCAGGGGGAATCTGGATTCCTATTACACTTCTGAGGAAGGTGGTCAGGGAGTGTGGAGGATGTGGGTGGGAGGGGGTGAGGTTGAGGGCAGGAGTACACTGTGGTCTTCTGTCTTCTACCTCATTGGCCCAGGTGCTGCTCTCCCTCCGGTTGTCTGCTTTCAGCCCTGCCTGGGAAATCAGGCTGGCGCCCTGATCTTCCTGACTCTCATTTTGTGAGGAACCTGAACGGATGAGCCATCGCTCTTGTCCCACACGTTCTGTCCAAAAGGTGCCCTCCTCTCTGCTTGCTCCGGGGCCTGCCCTCTGAGCTCTGGCACTCAGGCTGGGATGCCGCCCAGTACAGAGGCTCTGCAGCCCTGCAGGGGTCTGACTGTTCCACACCAGCAGGATAAAGGCCACAGGGCATGCTGTGGTGGAAAAGCATTCAGAGGTGTGGGCTGAAGGCCTCTCTTTCCACAGTCCCTTTGAACACCCCATGGAAGTCAGCACCCCTTTGAGGAACGAGGTGGCCCAAGGCCTGGCTTCACATGCAGGCCGTTGGGTCCCAGTGGGTCCTCTCTGTGCCTGGTATAGCCAACGGCTTCACGCATCTTACCCGGTTTCCTCTCCTCCACAACCCAAGCTCCTCCTCGACCCCCTTGCTCAGCTGTTCTCAGGACAGCAAGATACCAGCCCTTGGAAAAGCCCCATCTCCAGTGCTTGGGGAGGGAGTTGGGTTCAGGTCGTCTAACCACAGAAGGACAGAGAACCTGAGGCAGGAGGAAATCCCTTCCCTTGCTGGGTCTCTTGGCACAGCCCATCCAGGGGTCTGGGTCAGGGTCCAGGTATACTCTACCCTCCTTGAGGACCTGGATTTTTAGGCCCCCGAGGTTGGTCAACGTGGAGTCTTTCCCACTGTTCACCTGGGAACTGAAGGAATATCCCATGGGGCCCTCTCTTACTCATTAGAGACACCCAGAAAATACTCCATCCAGCAGAAACTGGGTGCAGTGTACCAGACCACTATAATTATAATTGCAGGGTGTGGAGGTCAGATATGTTTTGTGGGTATTTTCTCTCTGTCTGTGGCTTGCTTGCCTTTTCGCTTTCTTAGTGGTATCTTTTGATGAGAAGGTGTGGCTAATGTTGATGAAGTCTCATTTATCATGTCTTTCTTATATATGTATTTTTTCTGTGTCCTGCTTGTTGGTAGGCTAATCTTTGCCTGCCAACAAGTCACAAAGTATCCTTGAAATGCTTTATATCTTTAACTTTTCAGTAATGCGGCTGAAATTACTTTTGTGTGTAGTGTGAGGGAGAATAACATTGTTGGTCTCCCCACATCCATATAGAAGTTCATTAATTGAAATGACTTATTTTCTTTTATTGAACTGCTTTTATTGAAAACCCATTTATTGACCGTATAGCTGTGGATCAATTTCAGGTCTTCTAACTCAGGCTGTTTATCCGTTTGTCACTCCTGATGCCTTGTGTCTAATAGCTTATAGTAAACCTTAAAGTCAGATAGTACAAGTCCTTGTTCTTTTCCACACATTGCAATAAATTTTGAAATAGATAATAACTCATGAAACCATCACACACATCAGGATATGCTGTCACTTCATCCCTTTCTGACATGGTTTGGCCGTGCCCTCACCCAAATCTCAACTTGAATTGTATCTCCCAGAATTCCCATGTGTTGTGGGAGGGACTTAGGAGGAGGTAATTGAATCATGGGGGTGGGTCTTTCCTGTGCTATTCTCCTGATATCGAGTAAGTCTCACTATCTGATGGGTTTCTCAGGGGGTTCTGCTTTGGCTTCTTCCTCATTTTCTCTTGCTGCTGCCTTGTAAGAAGTGCCTTTTGCCTCCCGCCATGATTCTGAGGCCTCCCCAGTCATATGGAAATGTAAGTCCAATTAAACCTCTTTTTGGTCCTGGACTCTGTTATGTATTTGTCAGCAGCATGAAAACGGACTAATACACTCTCATTTCTGAGTGGGACACATGCTGTCACTCACATATGCTGGTTGCTGACTTGTGACGGAAGATTCTCTATTGTACCCTCTGGGGACAATACATCTCCAGTTGCCTGCGGGGAGGATGAACCCTCAAGAGTCAATGTGTTGACTGACTCTAAATATGGGTTCCTGGTGCTCCATGCTCATGCAGCCATAGGGAAGGAAAGGGAACTATCAAGAGCCAAGGGATCTCCCATACAACTTTACTCAGATCTTGGAACTTTTAGATGCTGTCCAACTCCCAAAGAAATAACAATTACTCACTGCAGGGGACACCAGAAGGGAGACACTTTTATTATTAGAGGAAATTCCCTGGTGGAAAGAGCAGCTAAGGCCACAACTAAGGAAACCCTGGTATTTCAAGCTGCTGCGCTACTACCAGGTACTCCATCCGTGTCAGTGACACCATACTATACCCCTAAGGAAATTAAAGGGACTGAGTAAAAGGCTTCCAGGGAGACCCTCTGGATGGTTGGTAGAAAAGAACAAACTCTATTCCTGAGGCTGACAGATGGGAAATAATTAAACATTTTCATGATTCCTCACATTTGGGACGGGATTTTCCATTCAAATTAGTTTCCTAAATATTCTTCGGGAAGGGACTGTTCTAAACTATAAAAAGGGTTACCACTCAGGAAGCCACCCCATACCCCGATCCCTGCTTAAACCTGTACAACACCAAGGAACATACCATGGTGAAGACTGGCAGACAGACTTAACCCAGATGCCACCTTACAGGGAACTACAAGATTTGCTAGTATTTATAGACACTTTCAACAGGTGGATAGAAGCTTTCCCCACAAGGACAGAAAAAGTACTGGAAGTGTCTAAATTCTTAAAGAAATCATTCCAAGATTTGGATTACCAAAAGGTTTGCAAGGTGACAACTGACCTCACTTCACAGCTAAGGTGACCCAGTGAGGTCATGCCTCAGCCTTAGGCATTACCTGTCTTCATTCCTCATGGAGATCTCAGTCTTCAAATAACATAGAAAGCCAATCGCGACATTAGCAAAACTCTTTCAGTTTGGGGGCTTGCCTGCCCTGCGTCACTATCATTGTTTCCTTGGGTTTCCCAGGAATGTACATGTGTGAGACTGCCGCCCTGCTTATAGATCTGTTTCCCTGCAAGGAAACAGGAATATGTTGCCTGTGGCTTCCAGAGTTGGAGATACATGTAGTTGCACCACTGAGGGCTAACATTTAATTTTGGAATCAAGTGATGCATTCAGACTGGTTGCTATCATTCTGTGGTATATATTTAGTGAACACATTCATGATTGAGTTTCTTGCTTTCAGCTGGAGCGAGAAAGTTTTATAATTGTGATTTGTATGAAAAAATCATAGGCAAGGGAATGGGTGTAAAATAAACTTTATTGTCAGAGGTTTCTAAAGGCTCATCCTTCAAGGAAAATGGACAGATGCTGAAGAGCTGATAAACTGTCTACAGCAGTGTTATTCTAAACTAATCTTGATTCCAAGTTCTTGCCATTTTCCTCCAGCTACTGTTGACTCCAGTTATATATAGGATGGGGGAAAGGGGATTATCTATGAATGTAGGCATCACTTTCTCTTGGGCAGTTATCACATTGGCAGACTGAAGGGATGTGATTTCTACAATCAAACTATCCATTTGGAGTACAAATCTGGAGTGGCTGTAAAATTCGGTTCTCAGAGATGAACTTGCAGATTCGGACTTTCGATTGTTCTGTTGTTTTAGTTTTTCTTATCAACTGGGGAACTGTTTGTGACTAAGCTTTGTTAAAAGTAGAGCAGAGCTTTTCATAATTCCAACATTAGTTGTTACCTGAAACAAACAAAAACACACACAGAGACAATTAAACAGTAATCTTTGGTGAGGTCTTGCTGATACCTGAGGCTGGAGTGAGAGCTGAGTGGTGATACAGCTCATGTGCGTGATCCAGATTGCGCACTCCTTATGAGACTGTAACTGATGCCTGATGACCTGAAGTGGAACAGTTTCATCTGGAAAACATCCACCGCCCCCTTCCATGGAAAAATTGTCTTCCATGAAACCAGTCCCTGGTGACAAAAAGGTTGAGGACAGCCAAAAAGGCTGCTTTAAATGATAACCTTCCCCAAAACTAAATTACCCCTGTAAAATGAATGAAAGGCCACCAAGTTAGAAGGATGAAAGGGGCCTGATTTCTACTAAGATGTATGCCTCGTTAAATAATTACCAGCCATTATTCCAGAAGTCACAAGATTGGCAGCTTCCCCAATTACTGCTGTGAAGAACATCACTATTGTAGAACCTAAGATTGGCCTCTTGAGATGTCTTTTCAGGCTTTTGCATTTCTGACTGCTGGAAGGCACCATCTGGCCCGAAAATCAACCAGTCCCTTAGCCCCCACCCAGAAGCTGACTCCATGCAGGAGGGCCATTTTCCACGCCCCTGTGATTTCATCCCCAACAATCAGCACCACGCAAGCCCTAGCCCCCTCCCCACCAAACTATCTTTGAAAAACCCCTTACCTCCAAGCCTTCAGTGAGATTGCTTTGAGTAATAACTCTGTCTCCCACATGTCGTGGCTGCCTGTGTCAATGAAACTCTTGCCTGCAGTGCCATGGTCTCCATGAATTGAATTTTTGTGTACATTGGTCAGGAAGAACCCATCAGGCGGTTACATCTGCAGGATGGTGCCAGTTCTTTCCACAAAGGCTGGTCAGATACCCAGAAAGCATTTCTCCACTACTACCTGGACAATGTGTCTCCCTGTCAATCTCCAGGGAATGGGGCCTGGATCAAGTATTTAGTATTCAGCAGTCACTACACTGTCACCTAATCCCTCATTTTCAATATTTTGCCATGCTTCCAGTGGCCTAACTGGCCACCATGCCACAGAATCTTTACTTTAGGGTCTCCAAGGAGAACTCTCCACTCGATGTTTTGTGATTTGAGCAATGGAATAGAATCTGATACTGGTGGGCTGGGGGAGGTCCCTGGACACTGGTGGGATCTCGACCCCAGCCGTGGTGTCCAGGCTCTTGACACCATCGCGAGAACAAAGTCAAAGGTGAGTCAGCAGATAGTGAAAGAACAGATTTATTGCAAAGCAAAAAGAACACACTCAAGAAAGGGGAGCTTGGGCATACCCAAGAGAGAATAATGGGTTCTGGGGTTTCATCTTGATGGGTTTCTTTAACCAAGGAGTGGAATGTTCATGAAAATTCCTGGGTAAAGGTGGAGATTTCTTGGAACTGTGGTGCCATTTTTACATCAAACACTGGTCTCAGAACTGTCATGGCACTGGCGGGTGTGTGATTTAGTTTGTTAATGAGCATATAATGAGGGCCTAGGTAAAACCTCCATCCAATCCAGCACCACGTTGGGTCCACTCAGCCTTAGCCAGCTTGGTCCACACCCTGGTTTTTCAGCGTCTTAACAGCCCACAGCCTCAAGTCATGTAAATCTGCTGCCTAGAATTTGTTATCCTGTGACCACCCTGTAGTATTCCTGTCTGAAATCTACTTGTAAATATTCAAATGGTCTTTCACTTGGGCATTCCAACTTTGCTTACTTCACAGTGTTTCCTGCGTAATATATAAGAAAAGATGATCCAGACATTTGTTAAACATCTCAAATAAGATGTAGCCCAGGTATTTGTGTCAAATTTGGATTATTTTGGTTTCGTCTTTGCAGAATATAAAAAACTAACATGAGGTAAGCACTAAGGTGTGGAGATGGCTGTGCAAGAGATGACAAAGTCCAGCACCACGCTTGAGAGTGTCCAATCATCTCTTCTGGGACAGCATATTTTTCTACAATACGGATTTTTGCAAAAAAACAACATCAAAAAAAAAAAAACCTACAAGATTCATGAAACTGGACAACTGTCTTTATAACATTACCAGTGATAAAACCAGTAAGGAAGGCTGGTTTGCAGTCATCTGAGCAGCCTCTTTACTTTCATAAATATGGTTTCTCTCTGATATTAAACGGCTTCCAATTGCAAGCGGAATGCTGCATCACAAGGATAAGGATGTGAAGAGAACCGGTTTCTTTTGTAATCCGAAACATTCTAGTCTGCGAATTAAAAGCCATTATTTGAAGAAGGATGCCCCGGCTCCATCTGGCCACCGAAAGGTTGCTCCTTAACACAGGCTAAGGACCAGCTTCTTTGGGAGAGAACAGACGCAGGGGCGGGAGGGAAAAAGGGAGAGGCAGACGTCACTTCCCCTTGGCGGCTCTGGCAGCAGATTGGTCGGTTGAGTGGCAGAAAGGCAGACGGGGACTGGGCAAGGCACTGTCGGTGACATCACAGACAGGGCGACTTCTATGTAGATGAGGCAGCGCAGAGGCTGCTGCTTCGCCACGAAGGAGTTCCCGTGCCCTGGGAGCGGGTTCAGGACCGCGGATCGGAAGTGAGAATCCCAGCTGTGTGTCAGGGCTGGAAAGGGCTCGGGAGTGCGCGAGGCAAGTGACCGTGTGTGTAAAGAGTGAGGCGTATGAGGCTGTGTCGGGGCAGAGGCCCAAGATCTCATACTTACCTGGCAGGGGAGATACCATGATCACGAAGGTGGTTTTCCCAGGGCGAGGCTTATCCATTGCACTCCGGATGTGCTGACCCCTGCGATTTCCCCAAATGTGGGAAACTCGACTGCATAATTTGTGGTAGTGGGGGACTGCGTTCGCGCTTTCCCCTGACTTTCTGGAGTTTCAAAAACAGACTGTACGCTAAGGGTCATGTCTTTCTTTGTATTGGATTGTGTCTTGGTTGGCGTCTTAGGTGTTAATCCTACAGTGGAGGGCTGGGGAATAGGAAGTAACATGTGGCCTGCACGCCATAGGAGAAAAAGCGAGCATCAGCCGTATCGGCTTTGTAACACAAATTAGCTATCGTGAAGTCCGCTCAGCTCTTCCCTTTCTACCCTGGCTGCTTTTTGCAGGGATTGGTCCGTGGTCTCCAGTCTCTTGGGTTCTCACCCTGTGTGAAAATCTTCCTGTTTTTCCCTACCCGCCAAGTCACCTCTTACACAGCCTCTGCTTCCAAGCGCAGCCCCCACAGGAGTTTGTAGGATTTCTGTGCTAGCGGGGAATGTGTTCTCACCTCATAGAGCCAGGTAGAAATTATGCAGATGGGCGCTGTTCTCTGGGAAGAAAGCAGGGCCTTTGGGGCTCTCAGTGTCCCCGTTGGGTTGTAGACATAACACGCTTACTTTGCGTAGGGGAACGGCTCTGCCGGCCCCCAGGTGCCCTAGCGCATATGCACGGAGGCCCGTAGGTCAGAACCGCAGTCTCACCTGTCTTGGCGGAAATGCCCTGCGATCCTCCCGGAGATAGAAGGCGGGAAGTTTTATGAGGAGCCGGTCCAGTTTCCCTACTATCTCCTGCAGTTCATATATCTAGTCTTTCTTCAGACTTTAAGCGACTGCTTCATGTTTGATATCTCACTCCCACATCCTACATCCACTGCCAGGCAACTTTCTAGATAGCACCGTGACCCATCCTTCCCACCCCCAAGAAGCCCTTTCCTATTTCTGGTGCCAGTGTCCTCCCCAGTCCCTCTTTCTTCAGGCCCTCGCTTATCACCTTCATGGACAGAAAATACTTAGCTCTCTCTCAACCTGAGGTTTACACCTGACACGCGTCAGTGCCCTGGCAAATTCCTTAATACCCCTTCTCAAATGGCACTGTAAATCATCTCTTTTTAACTCCCAGAACTATCTAATTGGTTTTGTCCCTGCACTACATGAATACTAGTATTCCACTACAGAGGAAAACCCCAGGCCTAGCGATAGCGGTTCTGGGCATTGTGCCAGCCTCTCCCAGGGTATGTTTTCTGACCTCACCTACTTTTGATCAGCTGAGGTCAGGAGTTCAAGACCAGCCTGACCAACATGGCAAAACTCCGTCTCTACTACAAACACATACACACGCACAATAATAATAATAACAATAATAATAATAATGATAATAATAATAATTGCCGGGCGCAGTGGTGTGTGTCTGTAATCCCAACTACTTGGGAGGCTGAGGCAGGAGAATCACTTGAACCCGGGAGGTGGAGGTTACTGTGAGCCGAGATCGCGCCATTGCACCGCAGCCTGGGCAACAGAGTAAGACTCTGTCTCAAAAAAAGAAAAAAAATTAGTGCATCTGAGACATATTATTGGAGACAGTAGAATCCTGCGTCCAACAGGCACTTGGTGCAGATCTGAAACCATTGAGCTATTGGCTCATGTTCCCTATGTTCTATTAAGTATCATGAGCAGAAATTGAGCTCTTTGGCTTTTACCCACTGAGTATGGCTATAGGACAGGTCTCTCTCTCTCTCTCTCTCTCTCTCTCTCTCTCTCTCTCATTCTTTGCATCATTATTTTTTGCCATCAGTGTGGGTTTTTCGTTTTGAGGTTATGAAGTGAATTTCTGGGGACAATCTCTGTTGGGTCGTGTTGACAAGGATCCAGTCCCTGTTTGGTGATACATGACAGCTAATCTGCTCTGTGAGTCTTCTTTATTGTCTATTTATTGTCCTGAGAATAATGGCATTTCCTGATATTTGAGACTGCAGCAATGATAAGTTGTTCAGATCTTGTCTTTCCAATGTTTGGTAAACATTTTATAGGCCCAATTGTTGTCAATATCTGCAAGAGTGGCATCTATGTTACAAGAGTGATCTTACTACTCGATGTCCCCCCTCCCACCCAACTTCGTTTCCTAGGGGCTCTTGGCTTTAACGAATTTACTGTGTCTAAAAGACATCTTAGTACAGGAAGAAAACTAAATCTGTAGCATGTAAGGAGCAGTTTTATTTGATTGGTATATTCAGGTTTCTAACCAGCTGAAAAATTCAAATACATGCCCTTTAAGGATTAAGCTTAAACCACACTACAGAAAGAGAAAAGATTTATATGATCACATATAAGCAATGGAATCAGCAATATGAGTACTTTTCACAACTATACAAATCAAATTTAATAATCTCCAGAACATTAAGGAAGTTCAGCCCTTAATGGAAATGAATGAAAAGAAATTATTCACCCACTGTTACATGCCCTGGAAAGAGAATGTCCTGCCAGACTCAAAAGAGTATCACAGTATTACTCAGATTTTCAGCAATGAAGGCCCTCCAAGGATCTAATGATGTTCATATTTTCAGTTTATTTCCTTCACTGATAAACATTGTTAATAGATACCATTGCCTCTGTTTTCACTTTAAGTGATGTTACTTAGCACAATTCGTTTCTTTAGAATGCACCCTAGTTTGGTGGAAGGAATTTTCCTGCTTTATAAATATAGGATATTTTCTCATGAAACAAATTGGCATACTCTTTCAGTGAAGTGAATAGACAAATTAGATCTCTACAATTGTAAAGGAGTCACTGCCCCAATTATCTTAGGAACAATAATAATCACTTATATAAAATTAAAATAAGAAAATTAAGCCAGGTATGGTGGCTCATAGCTACAGTCCCAGCACTTTAAGAGTTGGAGACCAGCCTGGGCAACACAGTGAAACCCCTGTCTCTACAAATTTTTAAGTATTAGCTAATTTTTAAAAGTTGGCCGGGCATGATAATGCATGACTGTAATCTCAGGCTGCAGTGAACTATGATTGTGCCACTGCCCTCCAGTCTGAGTGACAGAATGAGACTCCCAACTCAAAAAAAAAAAAAAAAAAAGGAAAGAAAATTAAGAATTTGTTGAAAATTGTTTTACTACAATGCTAGGCTGCATGTCTTGCACCTGTACTCCCAGCAACTCAACAGGCTGAGGCGGAAGGATTGCTTTAGGCCAGCGGTTGGAGACCAGCCTGGGGAACAGGGCAAGACCTCGTCTCTAAAAAAATACAAGGCAAGCTGAGCCAGGAGGATTGCCTGAGCCCAGAAGTTCCAAGTTGGTCAGCTATGATTGCCCCGCTGCACTCTAGCCTGGATAACAGAGCAAGACCCTGTGCCTTATTTTTAAATTTATGTTATTTTTTTACTACTTATGCTTATTTATCTATTTATTTATTTTTGAGACAGAGTCTTGCTCTGTAGCCGAGGCTAGAGTGCAGTGGTGCCATCTCAGCTCACCGCAAGCTCTGCCTCCCAGGTTGAAGCTATTTCCCTGCCTCAGCCTCCAGAGTAGCTGGGATTACAGGCGCACGCCACCACGCCCAGCTAATTTTTATATGTTTAGTAGAGACAGGGTTTCATCATGTTTGCCAGGCTAGTCTCAAACTCCTGACCTCAAGTGATGCACCTGTCTCGGCCTTCCAAAGTGCTGGGATTACAGGTGTGAGCCAACTCGCCCAGGCTCCTTATGCTTGAAATGTGAGGTTTCATTAGGGAAAAATTTTCTTGTTGAATTTCTAACACGAAAAAATAAGAGATTTAGCTGTAGATTAAATTAATGGTCCTGGTAGTTTGGTACAATAAAATAAATGAAGTTGATAGCAGAGAGGAATCTTTGATGCTTTTGAACAATTTAAATAATGTAATATTTATTATATAAAGACATGAAAAAGTTCATTACATTATTATTATGTGCATTTATTTATTTATTTATTTTGAGATGTAGTCTCACTCTGTCGCCTAAGCTAGAGTGCAGTGGTGCAATCTCGGCTCACTGCAACCTCTGCTTCCCGGGTTCAAGCAATTCTCCTGTCTCAGCCTCCTGAGTAGCTGGGATTACAGGCGCACACCACCACACCTGGCTAATTTTTGTATTTTTAGTAGACACGGGGTTTCACCATGTTGGTCAGGCTGGTCTTGAACTCCTGACCTCATGATCCTCCTGCTATGGCTTCCCAAAGTGCTGGGGTTACAGGCATGAGCCACTGCACCTGGCCCATTACATTATTTTTTAAAAATCAGTGTGACTCTTTTGACAAATTAGAATGGTTTAATAATCTTGGTTAGGCTGGGCATGGTGGCTCATGCCTGTAGTCCCAGCACTTTGGGAGCCCGAGGTCAGGAGTTTGAGACCAGCCTGGCCAACATGGTGAAACCCTGTCTCCACTAAAAATACAAAAATTAGCCAGGTGGCTACTCAGGAGGCTGAAGCAAAAGAATTGCTTGAACCCAGGAGGTGGAGGTTGCAGTGAGCTGAGATCCTGCCACTGCAATACAGCCTGGGAGACAGAGCGAGACTCTGTCTCACAAAGAAAAAAATAAAAAGAAAAAAGAAAAATAGAAAAAATATAGCAGGGTAGTAGAAATATAATGCACACAAGAATGATAATCATGAAGACAATCTGATTCTACAAGAGTAAGGGAACCTATTCCATTAGAGAGCCAACTGAAAACATCAAATCCCAGTTCACACCCCAGGGTGTGGGGTCACGTGCCTGTAGTCCCAGCTACTCGGGAGGATTAGTAAGGAGGTTTGCTTGAATTCATGAGGTCAAGGCAGGAGTAAACCCTGATCATGCCACTGCACTCCAGCCTGGGTGACAGTGAGACCTTGTCTCAAAAACAAACAAACAAACAAACAAACAAAAACCCACAAAACCAAACAACAACAAATTGCCACCTCACTCTGAAATCACAGTGGCAAACATCACTTTGCTATTGACAAATTAAAAGAAAAACACTCCCTCTTGCTATCAACCTGGCCTCTTGCTCTAACATGTCTGACCCATGGTTTAAAATGCCCAAAAGCTGATGTCCTCAAATTATAATACACTTACCTATTCTGCACCAGCATTTATTTTTGTCTGGAGGAGATCACCATCCATGGTCCTGTAAATGTCTAACAGCATGGAATGATGAAGGGCAGTGTCTTTTAGGATATTTGGTTATATCTATATATATGGCTCTGAAGAAACCCAACACTGGGCGAGTTCCCTCAAACTTTTCACTAGGCATGACCACTGCTGTATTTTAGATAGAGATTCTGTGGGGCAAAACCTGAGAATTATCTGCCTGGCTATCTAGAAGATAGCTCCTTGCATTTTTTGGGGGAGAACACTTTTGCTTCAAGGGAGTGTTTCCTCCCAGGATTAGAAATCTTTCTGTAACCTCAGGAAACATTGCTGATGAAAACCAGGCATGGTGTGCTGTACAACTTGTAGTAATAAGGCAGAAGTTAAAAGGAAAAGACAGGTTTCCCTGTACTTGGCTGACTCCAAGACCTGCCATAGATAGAGCCCTAGCAGATCCTCGGTAACACGATCTGAAAAGTCAGAGCCGCGAGGAGTGAGTTCCGGAGACTCTCTCAACACAGTAAGCCCCAACAAAGATAAGAGGAAAAAACAACAAATGCCTTTACTACCTTCTCTTTCCCCCTTCCCATTTCTAATTATTCAAGTTTTGTTAAGTTCTTGATTTCCCTTCAGTGCAGCTGCAAGGTCACCAGCTATACTTGCATTGCAAGACCTGTGACAGTTTGATTAGCTGCCTTTGTTCTGCTTCTATAAGCCCTCTTGCCTGCCCCTGAGTTTCATGCCATCAAATTCCCACCGCGCCATTCAAACTAGCCGACCCCCTTTCAGAAGTGTCTATAAAGTTAAGCCCTGTCTTTGTTCGGGGCTCAGCCTTTGGATTTTCATCTGCTGGGCCTCAGTGCAGTCAATAAATCCTCCTGTTCCACCCATTGGTCTCTCTGTTCTCCTGATTCCCACAACAGTAGTAGGGGACTGCGTTCCCACTTTCCCCTGGTCTTTCATGGTATGAATAATGGACAGCATTTTTTTTTTTCACCTATAGTCGCAGGCTCGGTCTCAGTGATTGTATGCTGTGGTCAGCTGTTTTTGTTTTTGTGAGACCTTGCTTTCTTGTTTACTGTCCTGGGACAGATGTCTGTAGTCACTTGTTTCCTCGGGAGGCAAATTTCAGTCTCTGTGGGGGAGGTCTCCCATGTTAGCTGTGGTGGTACTTGGCAGGCAGAGCTCAGGGATCTAGGCTTCCGTGCTTTGTAGATTGCTCAATGGTCCCCAAGGCCTAGTGGCTTTTAACACCACTTGAAAACCTTAGTGTTTTTCCACTGTCCCCAGAGTCACCTCTTACACAGCCTCTTTTTTTGTTTGTTTGACTTTTTCTCTGAGAGACAGTCTCACTGTATCTTGGTTGAATCGATCCTCCCACCTCAGCCTCTGGAGTAGCAGAGGCACGAGTCACCACAGCCGGCTTATATCTGTTCTTGTTTTTGTTGTTGTGGTGGCTGTCTTGTTTTTTTAAGAGTTGAAGTTTCTCCATGTTGCCCAGGCGACGTGCTCCCGGCGAAGGAGGCCGCCTGCCTGGCGGCGGGCTGGAGCCACGTCCCAGGGCTGGGGGCGCTGTGGGCACTGTGGGTGCCGCACCCACCGCTGCCCGGCACTGGAGGCCAAGAGAGCGTTCCCGACGGGCTCCGCGGATGCCCCGCCGCGTCCTGCTGCCCATCCTGCCCGGGTTGTCGCGGGCCGGGGGCACGACAAGAGGCCGGGGTCTGCCCGGACGCAGCGGCCTGCAGGGCGCAGCTGTCCCTCCACCAGCCGGGGTCCCCTCGCTCAGCCCATGAGACAAATAAATGAATAAATAAATAAATAAATAAATAAAAGATGGAGTCTTGCTCTGTCGCCCAGGGTGGAGTGCAGTGGTGCGATCTCGGCTCACTTCAACCTCTGCCTCCCAGGTTCAAGTGATTCTCCTGCCTCAGCCTCCTGAGTAACTGGGATTACAGGTGCATGCCACCACACCCGGCTAATTTTTCGATTTTTAGTAGAGACGGGATTTCATCACGTTGGCCAGGCTGGTCTCGAACCCCTGACTTCAAGTGATCCACCCGCCTTGACCTCCCAAAGTGCTGGGATTACAGGCATGAGCCACTGCACCCAGCCAGAAGTGGGCATTAATATGCAGGCGCCGTATAGGGCAACATCTGTGTGCACCTCTTACAAATCTTAATGCTGTGTATATGAGGGGAGTCCTTCGTGTCCCCCTGGGGATGTTTGAGGTTGCCTGTATGTGTTATGTGTGTGCATATTTTTAAGCTCAGATATGCATAGGCGGATTGACACCTCTGTTTGAATGTATTCCCATGAGCTCATGCCATTAATTCACCATCACAAGAAATATTTACTGAGCGTGAGCCATGCCATTCCACAGACACCATTATAGCACTAAGATACAATGAGGAACAAAAAATCCAGGCTTTCTGAGCTCACACTGGGGTGGGGGCATGGTGGGAAGACACAGGCATCAATGTAATAAACAGAAACCACGACAGGGCTAAGTGTTCTGGAGGAGAGGCGCATGGTGTACTGAGGCCCCTGACGTAGACCCCAGGTGCACCTTTGAGCTTTGCCTGCATGGTTTGGGTTTGTGGGCTCACCTGCATGTGTCCATGCATGCCCCATCTGCGTGCCCGTGCATGGCTGCATCACCCCATGCACACGTGCACTGCCCCTGGGCTTGCCCACATGTGCTGCTCCCCAGGGCGCCAGGCTATCAGCCTACAAGGCATTGTGGGTCTGGGCCCAGCCTGCCACCCCCTACAGAGGCCTGAGCCTGCCTTCCCAGGAGGCCCAGGACTCTCACCCAGGGCCCTTCCCTGCAGCTGGAGCAGGCTCTGTGGCTGCAATCTGGTGAGCTGGAGACGCAAGAGCCCAGGGGGCTGGTACTCCAGAGCGTGGAGTTGCGGAGGCAGCTGCAGGAGGAGCAGGCCTCCTAGTGGCGCAAGCTGCAGGCCTACCTGGAGGGCCAGCAGCGGCAGGCCCAGCTTGTGCAGCGGCTGCAGGGCAAGGTCAGGGCCACCCATTCCTGCTCTTTCCCTCCCACGTGTTCACTTTGCCCTGCCCCCACCCCTGGGGCTCACCATCAGCTCCCAATCCCCAGATTCTCCAGTACAAGAAGAGGTTCTCGGAGCTGGAGCAGCTGTTGGAGAGATCCGGAGAGCTGGAACAGCAGCAGCTGAGGGTGGGTGCCAGGGTGGGGCAGAGGCAGGCCCTGCCCTCCACCTGCCCAGCCTGATGCTTTAACCTCTCTGCCACCCAGGACGCAGAGCACAGCCAAGACCTGGAGAGTGCCCTCATCTGGCTGGAGGAGGAGCAGCAGGGAGGGCCAGGGCTGGCAGCATGGCCCCCTGGGCGAGCGCCTACTGATCCCCTGTGCCCCATTCAGGAGTGCCAGCCTGGCCCAGGTGAATGCCATGCTCTGAGAACAGCTGGACCAGGCAGGTTTGGCCAACCAGGCTCTGAGTGAGGAGATACGAAAGGTGACCAGTGACTGGACTCGCAGCTGCAAGGAGCTGGAGCAGTGGGAGGCGGCATGGAGGCGCGAGGAGGAGGTGGGCATGGGGGTGCAGGGAGGCCGGCGATATAAGAGGAAGATAATGCACAATTATGCTAGTGAGACTCTCTTTTCCAATAATGTTTGCACTTCTCAATACTACATTTAAAAAGGAAATAGGAGCACTTGAACGGTTAAGTAAGAAGATGAACAAAATTGAACAGAGGAAAAATAACTGTCTGAAGACATGTTGAAAATACATTTAAAGACAGTCTGTCTGAGACAGGAGCTGAGCTGGCCAATCCATCTTTTAAATAATTGAACATCATTCAGGTGTCAAGTATTTGACCTGGAGCCTGGAAGGGGAGGAGAGAGTCCAAAAAAAAGTCCAAATATAAAGAAAAAAAATTAAAGAACTTGTCCCACAAATCAGGCAACCAAGGTCTAAACTTATACCCTCTGCCTGGGTAAATTGTTGTTGCTTCTTTCTGTGACTCTTAAAAGATGTACCGTATACCTCATTTAATGACTTTGATTTATTCATGAAAACTCTATCCCCATGGGAAAAGCTGTTAAATGAAAAAAGATTTCTTTTAAGTAGAAAAATTATGAAAGGATTCCTTCCAACCCTCCATACCCAAAATATCTCAAATGAATTATATAGCTATCAATTATCAATATATATCAAAATATACCAATTAAAAATATCAGTTAAACAATACGTCAATTGAACTATGAAAGCAAGCTTATTTAAGTAGCAAAGAATAACGTGAAGGTTAGTAAGTATAGCTTATACTTAAAATACAATGAATTGAAAGCTCATGGCACTTCATAGAGTAGGAAGAAGAAACTTAATAGAAAGTGGTAGTTGCGGGAGAAGGACTGCAAGGGAGTTATTTGGAAAATGCATTTTTTATTTCTGCATCATTTTGTTCACAAATTATTCTTAATCTTTTGTGAATTTGTGGATTTCTTGAACTCAAACCAGACTTAAAAATACAGTTATAGCACAGAAAAAAATCTTTCATGGCAAAATAAAAGCTAAGCAAGAGAGCCTTTCAAAACACATGAAAATAACACACACATACAAAAAAAAAGAATAAAGAGATGTACAAGTGACACCTCCTCAACCTTCTCACTTGGTGTACATATGCACAGTAAATTATTTTGGGCTCAGCCAAGCATGGGAGCAATTCAAATAGATCCATATGATATTCTCTGATTAGAAACTCTTGTGGAGTAAGTTGGTGAGTGTATCTTTGCCTAAAACAGTCATGTCAAAATATAGCTTTCTATAGCATATTTATTTAGTATCATTTTGGTGAAAAAGTGGTTATACAGAATAGAAAAGAGTTGTCCAAAACTAAGTGGTTGACCTTTCCAGAGCCATTACCTGCAGAATTGTTATGTAAGTCTGTTCCATACTGATAAAGGAATACTCAGCTGACCCAACTGATTTTCTCGTGTTTTTTCCTTCAAGGGCTAGTAGAAGTCTATATGTTGTGGTGGAAAACAACCTCAGCCCTATAGTCCAACATTTGCCTATCAAAACTTGTCCTATGATTTATAAAACTAGAACCTCACTGGTAAGTCACATTCCTAGAGTCTCCCCCATCCCTAACCCCAGTCACGGAAAATAAATCAAATCATTGTCACTCTTTCTTAACAAAGAGCATACATTTAAAACTTGAGTAAAATTACAGGTACCGTCTGGGGCCTTCAAGGGGGAGCTTGAAGTCTCAATACCGCAGTTGTCCAATCAGAGGATCCAAGATGAATATACTCAAGGACTTTATGCTTGGCATCCTCTGGAGACAGTACATAACCACCAGCTTGGTTCAACTGGAGATTCATTTGGGTTAGGAGAAATTATGTAGGCAATGTACTTAGTCAATGGAGGCCTTATGCCTGAAGACTTACAAGAATCTGAATTCGTATGTTACTTTTGCTTTAATGGAGTGGAATTCCAAATGAAAATAATCAAACAGCATGTGCATAAACATTAGATATAATACCCACATTTACAAAGCCTTTATAGATATGCAAGTGTTATTGCGTCTGTCCCTAGCTTCTGTACAGAATTTAATGGGTAGCTGTTACTATTTTATTGCTGTATAAAAATGAGGAAACTGATAAGTTGTCTAAAGGTGTACAATCAAAACACATCAAAGCCATTGTGAAATACAGGTCCCCGGATTTCAAAAACAGATCTTCTGCTTATAAATTCAGTCTTTTTCATACTGCCATAAACTCCAGAATGGGAAAACAAAGTTACTATCAGAAAAGCTTCTTTTAGCTGGGCGTGGTGGCTCATGCCTGTAATCGCAGCACATTGGGAGGCCAAGACAGGCGGATCACTTGAGGTCGGGAGTTCGAGACCAGCCTGGCCAACATGGTGATCTCTACTAAAAATACAAAAATTAGCTGGGCATGGTGGTGGACACCTGTAATTCCAGCTACTTGGGAGGCTGAGGCAGTAGAATCGCTTGAGCTGGGGAGGCCAAGATGGCTTAGTGATCCGAGATGGCGCCACTGCACTCCAGCCTGGGTGACAGAGTGAGACTCCATCTCAAAAGAAAAAAGAAAGCTTATTTTTTCCCCTAATCACCATAATATTCACTATTAAGTGAGGGAAATAGAAATAATTTACTTAGCAAATCCTTTCTAGTTCAAATAATTTGTATACAGGCTGTGCAAACATAATAATGAGAGATTCTTTTTACTCATCTTGCTTTATATCACTAATTACACTCTTATTTAATGATATTTTAAAGAAAAACGTGTTTATTTTCAAGTAGAAAACTCATATCTGTCTACCAAGGAAAGCTGTAACAAATGTAAAATACATAAAAAAGATAACTGCTAAATTTCTAAAGCATTCCAAAAAAAGACAAATAGAAGGGTGTCAGATTAGGAAAGTATGTCTTGTAAGGTGTAACGGACAGACTGATGAGCTTAGAGATGTGGATCTCAAAGTGGTTCTCAGAGCAACAGCATCAGGGTCACCTGGGAACGTGTTAGAAATGCAGATTCTCAGGTACCATCCCACATTTAATGAATCAGAAGCTCAGAGTAGAGACCAGCAATTTGTTTTAACAAGTCCTTCAGGGATTCTGATACAGCTGATGTTTGAGAAACACTAGCTTTAGGTGAACGTAAGAGGGTCACGTTAGTATTTTTAAATCATTGGAAGTTGGTTTGTTTTGTTTTTTCTTAAGTGGGACTCATTTATACTTCAATACACAGAATGGATATTTAGAGGAAGTCGTTTTTGACCTAACACAGATGAGCACTTCCAATTGAATAGCGCTTTCTGATAATGGGGCTGCCCACTACAAGTGAATAACTGGGTTTCTCTAGGCTGGAGCTGCAGACAGGTCACTATGTGTATGGAGGATTGTATTAATATGATCGTGGCTCTTTATAGCTCTGCATTACTAATATTCTGTTTTAAAGTCTCTCCTCAATATCCAATGTCTCTGTGTGAATGATGGTAAGGACTGGGTAACAGTAACAATCATCCTGTTGTTGACAACAGATGATAAGAGAAAGCCCAACTTTACACTCTGTATAATCTTACACCAATGCCCCATTCCTCGTCTAATTTTTTTTTACATGTTAACACATGACCTTGGCATTACTAAATAAGAAGCCTTCTCACTTAGAACCCGATGCAGTATGATAAAAATTATTTTGAGAACAATCAGGAGCTCTAGTTTTCAATTCTGTTTCTCTTCTCAAGTAGTTCTGTGCCTTAGTTTCTTCTTTGTAAATTTAAATGGTTGGAACAGAGGATCTGTTAAGTGTGATTCAAGCTGAAATTGTATGTAGCCCACACTGAGTTTCTCTGCTATACCCCTAACCCATTCAACAATCACACCACCAGTTTTCAGGACTCACAGTAGGATAGCCGTCTATCATTTGTTAATAGGTGTGCTCTTTCATCCAAACAAGAAACTCATGATTTCTGCAGTTTTTTATTCTAGCCAGGTTCTAGGTGCTGGCCTGGAACTATAAAACAAACATTTCACAAAAAGTTATGACAATATACAAAGGAAAGACAATTTCTTTGAATATCCATAATCTCAATATGCAGTCTGGCTGTGGATGGCCAAGAGATAGTTTCCTCAACTGGAAAAAGTTTTTAAATGAGGCTTGGTGGACGATATATCTTTGCATCATTACAAAGAAGAAAAAAGAGAAATCTCACAACTGAAGAAAGTGAAATCCACTTTACTTAATACGGACCTCTGTCTCTGGTGTGCAGGTCCTCTGTGTCCAAAGATAATTAGCACTTTATAATGCTAATTATTATAATTATGTCTGAGAAAAAAATCATTAGGGGGTAGGTCCGTTCACTGATTTTCAACTGCCCCCTCTATTTAAAAATAAGGTCATTTTTCTATGAAATAGCTTTAGGAGCTCAAAGCAGAAAGAGGGTTATAGAAAATCCTGTGTAGGTATAAGCCTGAGTTTTTAATATTCTTATAATTCTGTGATGTGTCTGGAAACTGAACCGGGAGGAAAACAGTGAACCTATTTAGTCCAGGAGACTAGAAATCAGGACTCAGAAGAGTAAACATTTCTGTAATAGTTAGTCCTCAAATAGTCATTCATTGACCTTCCACTGGGTGTCTGGCAATGTGCAAGCTGTTTCTAGATGCTACCTCATGTAACAACCATCAGAGTTGCACAAAGCAAGTACTAGTACTCCACTTTCATAGACAAAGAAGTAAAATCTTAGAAATTAGCTGCCCAATGTCATGTATGTAGGAAAGGAAAGCAGCATTCTGATCCATATTTGCTGGCTCCAAAGCACTTGTTGTAAATACTTCACTATCCTGTGCTTACACGTAAATGTACCATTTCTCTTAGGGGTCTTGAAATACTGAATCAAAGAATGGTGTAGGGGAAGGGCAGTTTAGAAATACCTGGAAATTTGGTTGTTTGAAGGAAGCCCACTCTCAGATGGTAGGAGATCAATCTAACAGAATAGCTGAGAATATTTTCTGAGAGCCCCAGAAGTATAAAAACGGTCTAGGGGGGAAAATTTGGGACACAGAGTGAAAATAGCCTGCCTCTGAAGACCAGCTTCATTTCTTCCCCTCTGGGTGTTAATGAAAGAGCCTTTAACTTTGCCAGGCCTCAGTTACTAATTTCTAAAACAACTGCTGCTACTATTACTACGGATCTTACTGCTACTATGACCACCACCACCACCACCACATCAGTTACTGAGAACTGAACTAGATGCCAAGCAAAAATGGTAAACACTTCATATACATTATCTTTTTAAACACAAAATGTACTATTAATCCAGTTTTACATATAAGAAAACTGAGGCTCAAAGAGGCTAAGTAATTTGTATGTGAACATGCTTTACACTATGTAAAACATCTTAGTAGATATCACTATTATTAAGAACCTATCAGCCGGAGAGGAAGAATTGGCCTTTTATCTTTCTAAGATGCACAGTTGTCTTTCTGTTTAATGTTTTTTTAAAAATCCCCCTGTGACAAGCTCCAGAGGACAAATAATTTATTTCTTGGGGTGTATGGCTCTCTAAATGAATTAATTGATAGGCATCCCATTGTCAGTCTCAGGGATGTGGAAATAAAACAGACATGAGATGTTTTTTACCAAACTAATTTGTGCTTTAGACACATAAATAATAAATATATATATATTAAAGTAAATGTGTATTTACCGTCTCTCCTGCTCCACTTTGAATTCAAGAACCCGTGTCTTTGTTGGGTCACTGCACTGTCAATTGAGAAGTTTGGTTTTGTTTCTTTGAGTGTTAGTAAGTGGCATTAAATAGTAAATATTGCCGGGGGAAAGAAAGGAGAAAAACAGCTCCTCCAATCCATCCCTGTTTCCATTCAATTAAAGGAGGGTAGAAAGAATACTTAAGATAATTGTAATAAGTCTACTAGAATAGCAGGAGCCACTCTTTTCCTTTCAGTAGGCCATTAGCTCAGAACTATTTTCATAGTAATACTAAGATGATATTTGCCTTTTCACTGTGTTGGCACTTGTATTGATAAGGCAAAAGCAGTGGAGTCTTAGCAAAAATTAAGACCATGAAAACAAACTGCACTAGGAATAATTCTCTTCTTTATTACTGTTTACTTGTAGGGGGAAAAACCATTTTCATTTAAGAAAGTCCTTGGTGAAGTAGTAAAAATATTAATTTTATTAAATCTCAACTTTGAGTACAAGTCTTGTCCTTGACTGTACTTACAAGTTTTGTCCTCCCCAAAGCATATGGCGTCAAGGCTGGGCCTAACCCAGTCTCATGACCTTGTGAATCCAGTCCACAAACACAGAGACAAGCGTGAAGACGGCTGGCCAGCGCGACCTTGCACATACTCAGTTGGGGATTCTAATTCCTTTCAGGACCCAGCAGTTGTGGGTAAAGCAGGCAAGTGGGCCCCCGTAGTCACTCTGGCAGGTAGGAGAACTGATGAGGGCCCCGGGCCACAGCCATGACTAGCCTGCTTCATGATAAAATAGTTCATTTCTAGCCCCCCATACCCTTCCAGGGCTGGCCCAGGGCCCTGCTACCAACCTCACAGGCCCCCACAGGGGCCAACAGTCCCTCAGTGCACATCTCGCTCTCCCGCACATGTCCTCGGTGCTTGATGTTACACTCCTGGTTGGAGATGACGTTCAGCAAGGCCACATTTAGGACTGTGTCATTACCCGTACCTGCAGTGAGGGGAATGGGGAGAAGGAGACGGTCCTGGAGGAAGATCCAGGGCTGGGCCTCCTGGCCACCAGCAGTCCTGTGCACTATGCTCTTACCTTTGGTCTCACCCCAGCCTGCAATCTCACACTTGGTCCCTGGAGGCACCACATATCATTCAGGCGGCAGGCAGATCAGGGCCACACGCTGGTTCAGGGTCACAGATCTTTAGCAAGAATGGGGGCACTCAGGGTCTGAGGCCACAAGGCTCAGCCCCACCTCACACCCTCCCAGGTTGTCCACATACCTCTCCAGCTTGAGCAGGACAAGCTGGGAGCCTGAGGGCCCACACAGCATCTTGGCTACTGGGACCCGCTGTAGGCCTGGCTCTCCATGTTGTGGGTTCTGGAACAGGGTGCCCAACCATACCTCATAGCCCGTGAGAGGCATATGGCTGGGAGAGAAGCTCTGCTAGGTCATTTGTGACTCTCAGTCCATTGCCCCAAGGCTCACTTGTTAGCTTGCCTGGGGAAAGGGGAAGGTGGGATGAGACTGGGTCCCCAAACACAAGGGAGGCTCACCAGGAGGAGAAGCACTGCCGGGCAGTCAGTATCCACTGCTCCTTCACTAGAGACCCCCCGCAGAAATGCTGGCCCTGCCTAGAGGAGTGGGGAATTAGGACAGGGAACAGACTCCTGGGACAGATGCTAGACCTGCCATCTTCTGGCTAGGACCTCTGGGGGCAGGGATAGATTCCCAGCCCCCAGTGGCATAACCACAGAGGACACAACCTCAGCTCCTCTCTGTGGGAGACAGGCAGTTGTGCCTCACCGATTCCCCAAGCTGACTGTCCAGGGTGAGTTGCCCGGATGGCCCCCAGCCACGCGCAGCTTGGAACGACGCTGATCCAGCCGATCCACCCTCTTGCCACACTTCTCAAACTGCACCTGGTCTGTAGGATGGGGTGGGCTGGATGAAACCCAGACTGTGTGGATGTCGTGGGCTAAAGGGCCTGACCCATAACTGGCCCAACTCCTATCCTGGGGGGGTCCAGGATTGATGGCGGCTGGTCATCAGCTGAAAGACAAAGTTCACTGGGGTTAAGGGAGCCAGCCTTTGGTGGTGGGGGCTGAGGCAGGGTCATGGGGCAAGCGTCACTAGTGCTCACCGCAGCGTCGCAGGGCACAGTAGTCGAATGGGGTCCTTGGGTCCATCGTGTAGCACCAGGGCCCATGGCTATCCCCATCTGGGTCTGGCAGAAGTTCTCCTCCAGTTGTGCATGTGGTTCGGAGGTAAACGTGAACCGAGGCGGGAGCGGGAGCAAAATCGTGGCAGGGTAGTCTCAACCATTTCCAGGCTCTGGTCCCAGACATCAAAGCATGCCGCCCCAGGGTTAGGGCCCTGGCGGGGCCGGGAGCACCAGGGACTCACTGCGGCTTGTGCGGCGTCTCAGCGGACCAGCGCTGGCACTGGACACCCTTGCGGGTCTTGCTGACCGTGCCGCGGTACTGCTCCCCCGCGCCGTGGTAGCAGTCTGCGGCGGGTGCAGGCAGCCATCAGGCCGAGACCTCGCCCCGGCCCTTCGGTTCCAGGCTTCCAGCCCCGGCTCTGTAGCCCCCAAGCTTGGGCCTCACCCTGGGGCCGCACGTCGTCTGTACAACGCCGGATCTGGTAGCAAAAGCCCACGCGCGTGCCGGGCCGCAGTGTGAAGCACCAGGGCGCCTCTGAGCCGTCGGGGTTCCGGCAGAAGTTCTCCCGAAGGTCTCTAAGCAGGCGCTGCACTCAGCCCTAGCCCGCCAGCCTCCAGCCCTAAGCCTGTGACTACCCTCCTCCCGTCTCACCCGCAGCAGCACGTCCCAACGCCCGCCCCCCCACCTCACTTGCACGCGTATTTTTCTGGCGTAAATCGGTGCTGATGCGGGATTTGCGCGTCCCAACGCTGGCAAGGTACGCCCGCGGTGGTGGTATTGGCTGTGCCCCGGTAGCCCTCACCCTTCCCGCGGAAGCAGCTGACACTTGTGGCCTCTTGGCGGGGCTGTGCCTCGGACCCGTAGATGGACCGAGATAGGTCGGGCCCCGAGCGAGAGCTGAGATCCCTCTGGGGCTGGGACCAAACCCGCCTTTCCCAGGTGTACGGTACTCCACTGGATATGCTCTCAGGTCACGCCCAGCCCCTCTTACCTCCCGGCCAAGCCACGCCCCTCCCCAAGGTTCCCAGGTACCCTCCCAGGCCTGGTCCCCGCCGCCTACCGCAGCGGGGGAGGTCACAGAACTCTCGCTCGATCTGCGGATCCGTAGTGTAGCACCATGGCCGCTGGGAGCCGTCAGGACTCCGGCAATAGTTGTCGTCCAGACCTTGGTCGAGGAACCTGGGGGCGGTAATGGGGCGTGAAGAAGACCCTGGGACTCTGGCTTATCTGGCCCCGCCCAGTTGCCCTACACGGAGCCCTGCCCCTGGAGTCCTGGACCTTCCCTAGCCCGGCCCCCAGGGCGCCGATACCGCCTACGCGTACTTGCCCGGCTCGAAGGGGTGCTGGTGCGGGTGCTGAAGATCCCAGCGCTGGCACTCGCGCCCTGACTCGGTGCGGTCTACCGCGCCGCGGTATTCCTCGCCATTGCACCAGACACACGCGGCTGGAGACAAAGAGCCAGTGGGTTCGTGGATGGGCGTGGGCTTGTCCCTCCACTCTCCCAGCTTGACCCGGCGCCGCTTACCCACCAGGCAGGATTTGATGCCGCAGCTCTGGAAGCGCACGGCAGGGTCTGTTGTGTGGCACCAAGGACCTCCGGGGTCGCCATCAGGGTTACGGCAGAAGTTCTCTTCCAGGCCATTCCGGAGCGTGGGCATGTACCTGAGGGCCCAGAGCATCACTATAGTGTGTGCTGGGGGAAGGTCCCAGGCCGGGATGGAGGGAAGGTGTTTGTCTCACTGGTGATCATTCGGGAACTTGTGGCTCCAAGCCTGGCAGGACAGGCCACCCACGGTCGTGGCCATGGTGTCCCGGTACCCAACCCCATTGTTCATGATGCAGGTCCGTATGTAGTCTGGGAGCAAGAGACAGAAGATCAACTTGGGCTGAGGTCCCCTGTCTCCCACCCTGCCCCTCTCCACCCCCACTCGCCTTTCTTCTGGAAGAGGTCACAGCGCCCAGAATGCCGCAGCCTCGAGTGCGGCGAGTGTTGAGTCCATGGCAGCAGTTGGCAACCATGGCTGCTCACATTGTAGTGGAAGGCCCTGGAGAGAAGAAGGCACAGGGTAACGCCACGGCCCAGGCTCCCCTGCCCCCAGTCTTATCTAGGCCCAGTGGCCACTCACCAGCAGTCCATTAAGAGCCCACAGCGACCAGCACACTCTTCAGCATCTGCCACATCCTCCTGCCAAGGCCCGGGCACCACCGCATGTAGCAGGTAGCTCTGTGCCCCGGAGCACCTGGAAGTCATTCAATGGCGAGCGCTGCCCTGCAGAGTGGGCATGAGTGGGTGCAGGTCAGGTGGGCATACATGTCAGTAATGTGTATTGGCATGTCCACACTTTGTTCATTCAGGGGATCAAAGCTACAAGGCTTCTGGGATGGACCCTGTATGCACTTTCAAGGGCCAGTCTAGCCCCCCTGCACAGATACTTGTCAAAAAAATTTCCCCTGGGAAGCAGGCCCAGACTTGGTAGTTATCACCGGTGCCTCTGTGTAGTGGCCCAGGCACCGGGCTCAGATCTAACACATATGCTCTGTGAGAGCAGTGGGTGATGGAGCTTGCCCCATCTCATCTCTCAAATGAGAATGCTAAGGCTCAGAGCCATCACATTACCCAGCCAGGGGCCCTGGCTAGGCATTCAGACTCCAAATCTGGGCTCTCACTTGCACGAAAGCATACGCTAGGTTAGAGGGGTAGATCAGGCTCAGGAGGGGTCACTGCCTGCTGTGTGCGTGCATCTGTGTGGTCCTAACACTGCTTCAGTGCTAGAGCAGACGTGCTAATAGAGGCCTAAGTGGGCCATGTCTATGTGTTCCTAGGGCTTCCCAGCTGTGCTCAAGAGGCCGAGGTCACTGCCCCATGCCCACTGAGCCTCTGGCTCCCTGACTTTTTTCTCATCCTAGAATAGGAGAATGGGGCCAACCCCCTCCTGAAGGCAGATGGGGATCAGGGTTGGGGGCACTCACCAGGGACCCCTAAGCATTGAGTCAGAAGCAGCAGGAGTGAGAGCCACCCCATCCTTCTGGCTGGAGGCTGCACTGTGACCCACCACAGCCCCATCCGGGAAGTTGTGAAACCTGTCCCTACGGGATTGGGTGGCTCTGGCTCCGCACGTCAGCTCAGGGCCTGCTGGACCCTGACCTGAGACCTGGTGACAGGAGCCATGAGGGGCCAGGCCTCAGGTCCCACAGCTCAGTTGCAAGGGCCTAGCACAGCTAGCCCCCTGAGAGGCCTCCCTACTTAGTGGTCAGGTGTTAGGAAGGTTTGGTGGGGACACCTGAGGTGCCCTGGGGTTGGGGTGAAACCCCTCTGCAGCCTAGTCAGCCCAAGGGCATTGTGAAAGTGAGAGCTGCCAGAGGTCTGGGTTCCAGCCCCTGGCTGACATTAAACTTTTCTGAATTTCGGTTTTTCCCTGTAAATTGGGGAAAATTACTTGCCCCAGCTTCAACACTGCCTCCCCTCCACCCTTTTGCTGCTGCCTTATCAGGCCCCAGCTGTAGGCAGGTCAGCCCACGCCCGGCGGCAGAGCCCAGAGAGGCTCGCTCATCTCAGCCGCCAGAAGTGTCATCCCAGGGAAGGTGAGCGAGGCTGTCCACTAGGACTAAATAGGGGTGGAGGTAACAGGTAGCAGGGACTCTGGCAGGAACCGCCTTTCAGACGTTTTCAGGACCGTCTGAGCGGGGCCTCCAAGTATGGGTAGGAGACAGGCGGCCTAGGGATTCCGGTTAGCACGTCGCGTTCTGCCGCAGCAGGGCTGGGAGCATCCCCAGGGCAGGCGGAGGTCGGAGGTGGTGAGGCCTTTCGGCGAAGCTGAGGCCTGGAACAACCTGGTGGGAAGCCACGGAGGGGGTCCCCTAGCGGAGGCTGGGCGCGGGCCGGTGCGCGTGCGCGGCTGGAGGCTCAGCGCGCGAGCGTGCGCGTGATTTGGCCCTGAACGGACGCCGTAGCCGAGAGGTTGGGCGGATGTTGTGAACCGGGTCGCGGCGGCCGAGGCTCGGGGTGAGTGAGGGGCGGCAGGGCTCTGAGCCTGGCGGGTTCCGGCTATTCCCTTCGCGGTCCAGTTTAGTCCAGTGCGAGGGCACCTGCAGCGCCGGGATCTGAGTGCGAAACTCCGAGCGGAAGCTGGTCTGGCAGGTCCTCTGGAGCTTGGGGCCAGGCGGGGGCGACTTGGGGGAGCCATCCTTGGGCTCCCAGACGGAGTAGGTTCAGTTCTGAGCCCGGATACCCCGGCGAGGTTGGACGGGATAGCCGTGACAGGGAGTCCCCGGGCGGGGACAAGGTCCGCCTCTCACCTGGGTCCTCAGCAACTGACACCCGGAGTGGGTGTCTGGAAGGTCTGCTCATCAAATGAATGACTGCATTTAATCAGATCTTCAACTACTCTGGTAGTGAAGGGGCACCGATCATGGAGGCCCACCGAGGGCCCGAGGTCGGGAAAATCACCTTCCCGAGGAGCAGGCGTGGTGCAGACCCACAGGGGTTTGTGGCGGGAGTAGAGGGTCTGTTTGGGGCGAGATAAGAGACTGAACGGCAGAGTAGGGAGTGCTGGCTAAGGCAGTGCTGCAGAGCGAAACTCTAGACCTGCGCTGTCTAATAGAACTTTATATGATGGTGGGAATGTTCTACCTTTGTGCTGTCCAATAGAGTAACCGTTAGCCACATGTGGTCATTGAACTCTTGAAATGTGGCTGAGGCAACTGAGAAATCGAATTGTTAATTTTTAAAACTTTAAATTTAAGTAACCTCACGTGGATGACGGCTGCTGTGTTGGACAGCACAGCTACACATCAGTGAGGCCAGCACCAGGGACTCAGTGCAGGTTTTGGAGCAGCTGCAGCAGCAACATGATGTGAGGGATAGATGCACTAGGAGGACCAATGGAGTTTGCCATGAGGGCTGCGCAAGGGTGGTGCTTGGATGAGGTGGGAGGCCACATGTGTGAGTGGGAACAGTGAAACTATCAGGACCATGGATAAAAGAAGGGAGGAACCCAGGGCTGAGGAAAGAGGCTCCAGCCTTGTGGGGAGTAAGTGGGACTTATGGCTAGAGATGACCAGACCAGTGGTGGTCTGCACTTGGGGGAATGTGTAGGATTGTCGCTTCTGGTTGTGAGCTGGACTCAGTATGGCTTACAACCGAGATGAATACAGGGGCTCTGCCCCTAGGACACCTCACTTTGGACATTTTGGTCTGATTTCCACAGAGCTGAGACATTTTGTTATGGTTTGGCAAAAATATATCTGGTACCTGCTCTCTGCCCAGCCCTGTGCTGGGCACAGGGACACTGGAGAACAAGAAGTGGTCCCTGTTACATGGGCCTAGACCCTGGCTACCCTGCCTGTGTAGGAAGCTGGGAGCCCCTGCATTCCCCTGTCCTATGTGTTAGTGTGCATGCCCCTGGCCTCACCTGCTCCCAAGACTTCCTGCCATGGCAGGACTGAGGTCAGGTGTGGGGGCCCCTGGCTGGCCCTGAGTAGACAGGCTCTGTGTCTGCCTCAGCCTCCAGGACCACTGGCTGCCCATGAGAGACGAAGGATGGCATCCAAGGGGGCCGGCGTGTCTTTCTCCCGCAAGAGCTGTAGGCTGACCTCAGATGCTGAGAAATCCAGGGTCACAGGTAAGGGCTGGCAGAGAAGGAAGGAGGCTCCTCTTGTTGGGAGGAGAAGGAAGGGACAAAGGCCTCAGGCCTTGCTGCACCTGTGGCTGGCCTAGGACCAGAAGTCTCTGGGGCCAGCAGGGGCCAGGAGCTGCACTCATCATGTGGCCCTTTTCTCCCTTCTGACTTGTGGCTCAGGCATTGTGCAGGAGAAGCTGCTGAATGACTACCTGAACCGCATCTTTCCTCTTCTGACCATGCACCCCCAGCAGCCACCGGCAGGTATGGCTGGGTGGGTGGCCCCTCCTCACTCTGCTGGGCCAGAGCAGAATAAGGAGGCTGCAGTTGTAGGGAAAGGGAGCCTGGGCTCTGGACAGATAGGCTTAGGCTCTGTTCTCACTGTGCTCCTGGCTGCGAGATCTCCGGCCAGAGAGTCTGCCTTCCGTACTCTGCTTCTTCCTGTCTCCAGGCAGTGCTAGTTCCTTGTGAGAGTCAGGGAGCAGAGGTCAGGGAGCGGGTGCACATTCATGCCCAGCTAGCACCTGGCACCTACTCCACACCCAGCATCTGCCCCTGCATGTACCTGCCCTCACCTTGGCCCCAGCCTGGCCCCTTGTAGCTTCTGACTGACCTTGTAAAGAACAAACTCCTCCAGGGCCTTTTCTTTACAAGTTTAATACTTTTGAGTGTAGTCAGTGTAAAAGTTACAAGTACATTTTAGCAGAAACTTAGAGGGCCAGGCACAGTGGTTCACACCTGTAATCCCAGCACTTTGGGAGGCCAAGGTGGGTAGATTGCTTGAGTCCAGGAGTTCAAGACCAGCCTGAGCAACATGGCCAGACCCCATCTCTACAATAAAATACAGAAATTACCTGGGCATGGTGGTGTGCACCTGTAGTCCCAGCTGTTAGGGAGGCTGATGTGGGAGGATCACTTGAGCCTAGGAGGTTGAGGCTGCAGTGAGCTGGCCTCTGCATGCCACTGCACTCTAGCCTGGGTGACAGAGCAAGACCCTGTCTCTAAAAAAAGAAGGAAAAGCACCTGCTATCTTGTTATTTTAACATGACTATTCAAATGCGATTCTTTTCTGTTTTCTTTCTTTGTGTTACATTTTTAATTTTTAATTTTTGTGGGTATGTAGCAGGTATATGTATTTATAGGGTATATGAGATACTTTGACACAGGCATGCAATGCGTAATAATCACATCATGGTAAATGGGGTATCCATCCCCTCAAGCATTTATCTTTTGTGTTATAAACAATCTAGTTATACTCTTTTAGTTATTTTTAAATGTACAATTATTATTTACTACAGTCACTCTGTTCTGCTACCAGACAGGTCTTATTAATTCGATTTTTTTGTACGCATTAGCCATCCCCATCTCCCCACAAGCCCTACACTACCGTTCCAAGCCTGTGGTAACCATCCAGTACTTTGCCTCTATGAGTTCAATTGTTTTAATTTTTAGCTCTCACAAATAAGTGATAACATGCAGTGTTTGTCTTTTTCTGCCTGGCTCATTTCACTTAACATAATGACCTCCAGTTCCATCCATGTTGTTGCAAATTACAGGATCTCATTCTTTTTTACGGCTGAATAGTACTCTGTTGTGTATCTGTACCGTGTTTTCTTTATTTATTCATCTGTTGATGGACACTTAGATTGCTTCCAAATCTTGGCTATTGTGAACAGTGCTGCAACAAACATGGGAATGCAGATATCTCTTCGATATACTGATTTCCCTTCTTTGAGGTATATATCTCTTCGATATACTGATTTCCCTTCTTTCAGGTATATACCCAGCAGTGGGATTGCTGGATCATATGGTAGCTCAATTTTTAGTTTAGTTTTTTCTTTTTGAAAAATTTTTTTTTTTTTTGAGACAGAGTCTTGCTCTGTGGCACAGGCTGGAGCGCAGGGGCGCAATCTCAGCTCACTGCAAGCTCCGCCTCCCAGGTTCACGCAATTCTTGGGCCTCAGCCTCCCAAGTAGCTGGGACTACAGGCGCCCGCCACCAGGTCCAGCTAATTTTTTGTCTTTTTAGTAGAGACGGGGTTTCACCGTGTTAGCAAGGATGGTCTTGATCTCCTGAGCTCGTGATCCACCCGCCTCGGCCTCCCAAAGTGCTGGGATTACAGGCGTGAGCCAGTGTGCCTGGCCTTTTTTTTTTTTTTTTTTTTTTTTTTTTTTTTTTTTTTTGAGATGGAGTTTTGCTCTTGTTGCCCAGGCTGGAGTGCAGTGGCATGATCTTGGCTCACTGCAACCTCTGCCTCCCGAGTTCTAGCAATTCTCCTGCCTCAGCCTCCCGTGTAGCTGGGATTATAGGCACACACCACCACGCCCAGTTAATTTTGGTATTTTTAGTACAGATGGGGTTTCGCTGTGTTGGCCAGGCTGGTCTCGAACTCCTAGCCTCAGGTCATCCTGCCACCTCGACGTCCCAAAGTGCTGAGATTACAGGCATGAGCCACCACACCTGATCAATTTTTAGTTTTTTCAGGAACCTCCAAACTGTTCTCGATAGTGATTGCACTATTATAATTTACATTTCCACTAACAGCGTACAGGGGTTCCACAACCTCGCCAGCATTTGTTGTTGCCTGTCTTTTGGATAAAAGCCATTTTAACTGGGGTGAGATGATATCTCATTGTAGTTTTGATTTGCATTTCTCTGATGACCAGTGACGTTGAATACCTTTCCATATGCCTGTTTGCTATTTGTATGTCTTCTTTTGAGAAATGTCTGTTCGTATCTTTTGCCCATCTTTTGATGGAATTATTAGTATTTTTCCTATATAGTTGTTTGCATTCTTTATATATTCTGGTTATTAATCCCTTGTCAGATGGGTAGTTTACAAATATTTTCTCCCATTTGTGGTCTGTCTCTTCACTTTGTTGATCGTTTACTTTGCTATGCAGAAGCTTTTTAACTTCATGTCTGTTTATCTTATAATGTATGTAGTTCAGATTATGCTGTATAGAAAACTTTAAAAAAATTTGTCACCTTCAGTTCTTTTCTTAAAACATTTTTATTGAGCTACGATTAATATACAATAAACTACACACACTTAAAGTGTACAATTTGATAAGTGTTAACATATAGATAAAACCCGTGAAACCATCAGTACCATCAAGGTAATGGACATGTCCCTCACTTCCAGAAGTTTGCATCCTATTTTTATTATCAAATGTTATCCCGTGAGTATTTTTCCACATTATCAATGTATCTTACTGAGCATCTTTAGGGCCAGGGGGTCTGCTGTGGCCCATACAAGTGCCCTAGTTTGGAAGGACTTTTGCCTTTGTAAACAATGCTGTGAGGATGCCCAGGGCTGGAGTCGTGTGGCTAGAGTGTTTGAACTGCAGTCACTTTTAAGACTGTTGCCAGATTACTTCTTCAAAGGATCAAGTAGGTTCTCCGTCCCTGCAGTGAGGCACGGTTGTCCCTGTCTCTCACCCCCTTATCAGCCTTAGCTGTTCTGTCTTTTACGACTTCTGCTCTTTAGGCAGGTCCAAAAGGCAGCATCATTACCTGTTCTATTTAAGCAATTGTGGTGGTCAGAAAGTGCCTGCTTGCAGAGAGTTCCTGCCCACCCCCACCCCATACTCAGTCCTGGCCTGTTCTCAGAGCCATCTGATCCCTACCTCATGTGATACCAGAGATGGTCCTGCTGCTGCTGCTGCTGCTGTGGCCGCCAGGAGAGACAGCAGGTGGTAGGGCCGTCAGTCAGTGGTTGTGGGGATTCAGGGCCCTGAACTGGGACCTAGGAGATCCAAAAAGGTCAGGGAAGTTGCTGGTCTTGGCCAAATGGGCCGTGCTGTAGGCACTCAGTGGTGGCTGTCTCAGGCCGACTGCCCACAGATATGTGCAGTCTGCTCTCAGGATCAGGCACACGACTTTGGGGGTCAGGTACAAGAGTAGCCGCTCCAAGTGTGGGCTTGTTAAGAACTGTTTTCTTTTGAGGCAGGGTCTCGCTATGTCCCAGTCATAGCTCACTGCAACCTCAAAGTTCCAGGCTCAAGGAATCCTCCCACCTCAGCCTCCCACATAGCTGGGACCACAAGCACATGCCACACACCCAGCTAAATTTTTTTTTTTTTTAAGAGGCAGGGTCTTACTGTGTCACCCAGGCTGGTCTCAAACCCCTGGGCTCAAGTGATTCTCCCACCTCAGCCTCCCAAAGTGCTGAGACTACAGGTGTGAGCCACCATGGTTGGCCTGTAACTGCTTTTGAGAAAGGCTCCTTTATCCTTGGTCCACTGGGGTATTCAGAGATGGGGTTGGCTTTAGCCTTCTATGCTACTAGCTGAGCACCCCGACTGCATAGCCACCACCTGGCCTTGGCCTGGGACAGAGCAGCAGTGGGGAGGGGCCTTTGTGCATCTCTGCTCCTACAGCTCAGGGCTGGGAGTGGCTTACACTGGGGGAATATGTGATCCCTGAGCCTGGGTAGTGGCTACTTTGTCAGGGTGCTTTGTGCCACCTTCGTCCCCTTCCAGAGCTTTCTGTCTGTGTGGATGAGTAGGGTAGGAACTGGCATGAAAGGTGGAAGAGCAGGTGGTGGCAGCCTGTGGGCAGCCAGGTGTGTAATGGGCCTCTGTTCTGCCTGAGTCCTGCTGGTTACCACCACCTCACTCCCTGCTATTCTTAGCAGCTGAGCTCAGGACAGCACTGACTGGCATTAGACAGTACCCTTTTCCCTCTAGGCCTGTGTGTTGAGAGGATGAGGGGGCCACCCAGACAGATTTTTCCCAACTCCTTTGGCTCGGGTAGGTGGGCCATGTGCTCTGCTGACCATTTATGGACTGGCGGGTACAGGACAGAGCCATCCAGCAGCTCAGAGGGCTGAGCCTTTCATACTTCCAGGACATGTCCCATTCAACACAGACTCCCCTGGCTGGGTGGTGGCGAGACTGGAATCTGCCCCAAAGGAACCACAGGCCTAGGGGCAAGGGTTGGACTAGGTGGCCTTGGTACTGACCACTTTGGGAACCAGCATTTCTCCCAGCCTTCTTCTTCCAGACATCATCAGCACAGCCACCTTTGAGAGCGGACAGGTTATGTGGTATGCAGACAGCACTTGTTATTCCCTGGGCTCTTCACAGCATCTCTAACATAAGTCATTATTCTGTTTTTACAGATGAAGGAATTAAGACTTAGAGAGGGCTACTTTTTTTTTTTTTTTTTTTTTTTTTTTGAGACGGAGTCTTGCTCTGTCACCCAGACTAGAGTGCAGTGGTGCGATCATGGCTCACTGCAACCTCCGCCTCCCAGGTTCAAGCAATTCTCCTGCCTCCGCCTCCCAAGTAGCTGGTATTACAGGCACATGCCACCACGCCCAGCTACTTTTTGTATTTTTAGTAGAGTCGCGATTTCACCATGTTGGCCAGGCTGGTCTTGAACTACTGACCTCATGATCTGCCCGCCTCAGCCTCCCAAAGTGCTGGGATTACAGGCGTGAGCCACCGCACCCGGCCACATACTTTTTTTTTTTTTTTTTTTGAGACAGAGTCTTACTCTTGTTGCCCGGGCTGAAGTACAATGACACGATCTCGGCTTACTACAACCTCTGCCCCACCAAGGTTCAAGCGATTCTCCTGCCTCTGCCTCCCGAGTAGCTGGGATTATACGAATGTGCCACCACACCCAGCTAATTTTTGTGTTTTTAGTAGGGATGGGGTTTCACCATGTGGCCAGGCTCGTCCCGAACTCCTGACCTCAGGTGATCTGCCCGCCTCGGCCTCCCAAAGTGCTGGGATTACAGGCATGGGCCACCACACCCGGTCTGGACTGGTTATACTTTTGAGTTTAGTGGAGAATTCAGCCTTCTGACCTCCTGCATGCCAGAGTCTAGGACTAGGCACAGCCTTTTTTCTGGAGTCTAGGCAGCCCCCCTGTGAGCTCAGGGGAATGGATGGGATTTAGTGTCATCTGGCTGATTTCAAGGACTTACTTTTAGTTAGTAATCTTTTCTTTTCTTTATGGCTCACTGCAGCCTTGGCCTCCTGGTCTGAAGCAATCCTCCTACCTCAGGTCCTGTGCAGTTGGGACCACGGGTCCATGCCACCAGGCTTGCTGATTTTTTTATTTCTCGTAGAGTCGAGTTCTCACTTTGTTGCCCAGACGGGTCTAGAATTCCTGTGCCCCAGTGATCCTCCTGCCTTGGCCTCCCAAGGTGCTGGGATTACAGGCATGAGAAACTACACCTGGTTTAATAATCTTTTCTTAATATCATCAAATAGCCAGCGTCTAAATTTTCCATATGTCTCATAAATGCCACAGATAGGCCAGGTGCAGTGGCTCACACCTATAATCCCAGTACTTCGGGAGGCCAAGGCGGGCAGATCATCTGAGGTCTGGAGTTCGGGACCAGCCTGGCCAACATGGTGAAACCCCCATCTCTACTAAAAATACAAAAATTATCCAGGTGTGGTGACACATGCCTGTAATCCCAGCTACTGGGGAGGCTGAGGCACCAGACTCGCTTGAACCCAGGAGGCAGAGGTTTCAGTGAGTCGAGATCACACCACTGCACTCCAGCCTGGGTGACAGAGTGAAACTCTGTCTCAAAATAAACAAATAAATAAAAAGTCACAGATAGTCTTGCTTTAGTTTTTTCTTTACAATTTGTTTGAATCCGGATCCATAGACATTCACAAAGTGCGAATGGTTGCTTTGTTTTGTTTGTTTGTTTGTTTGTTTGTTTGAGATGGAGTCTCGCTTTGTTGCCCAGGCTGGAGTGCAGTGGCAGGATCTTGGCTCACTACAACCTCTGCCTCCTGGGTTCAGCAATTCTATGGCTTCAGCCTCTTGAGTAGCTGGGATTACAGGAGTGCGCCACCACGCCCAGCTAACTTTTGTATTTTTAGTAGACATGGGAGCTTCACCATGTTGGCCAGGCTGGTCTTGACCTCAGGTGATCCACCTACCTTGGTCTCCCAAAGTGCTGGGATTACAAGAGTGAGCCACCGTGCCCGGCCCATGCTTTGTCTTTGAAGTCCTTTTTAACTTATTTGTTCAGGAAACTGGGCTAGTTGTCCTTGGAGATTCTCATGGTCTGGATTTTGCTGGTTGCATCCTTATGGTGTCAATTAACATGTTTCTTTATCCCATGTATTTCCTGTAAATTGGATGTTGGATGTAAAGCTAGGTCAGATTCAGGCTCTTCTGCTTGCTTTTTCGTTTGATCAAGACTCCATAAGTAGAATGTGTTCTTCCATCAGGATGTCCCTATGCCAGCTGTCTCTCTTTTCAAGATCCAACCCACTCATTAGAGGCTGCAAAACTGTGAGCTTCTCATTTAGTCACTCCTGTGTATATTAATTAGAATTCTATAATGAGGCACTTTCCCTCCTTACTATTGGATAACCAGTGGTACAGTTCATTCAGGAAAGGAAAGGAAAGGATTTAACCTGTATTATGGACTTAAAATACTTTTTTTTTGAGCCAGTCTCTCTCTGTCGCCCAGGCTGGAGTGCAGTGGCACAATCACAACTCATGTTAGGCTTGACCTCCCAGGCTCAAGTGATCCTCCCACCTCAGCCTCCCAAATAGCTGGGACTATAAGTGTTCACCACTATACCCAGCTAATTTTTTTTTTTTTTTGAGACAGGGTCTTGCTATGTCTCAAGAAATGGGCCACCACGCCTGGCCTTAAAATACATTTTAATTTTTTAAAATACAAATAATTTTTAATGTATTTTAAGGCCAGGCGTCGTGGCTCATGCCTGTAATCCCAGCACTTTGGGAGGCTGAGGCGGGTGGATCACCTGAGCTCAGGAGTTCAAGACCAACCTGGCCAGCATGGTGAATCCCCGTCTCTTCTAAAAATACAAAAATTAGCTGGGTGTTGTGACGTACATCTGTAATTCCAGTTACTCGGGAGGCTGAGGCAGGAGAATCGCTTGAACCGGAGAGGCGGACGTTGCAGTGAGCCGAGGTCAAACCAGCGCACTCCAGCCTGGGCAACAGAGCGAGACTCCATCTGAAAAAGAAACAAAAACAAAAAAAATTTTTGTAAGTAGCCTTTCAAATTTTTATATTTTACTTTTGATTAAGTCACCTATTCACATTTCAAAAGGGTACACAGTAAAATGGCTCCCTCCCACCTCTGACCCCAGATATTCCCATTCCTTCCTTGGAGGCAAGCAGCATCATCAGCTTCTTTTTCTTTTTATATATACAATTATTTTCTTTCTTTTTTTTTTTTTTGGCCACCAAGTTACCGTAAGAAGCATTGTCAGTTTCTTTTTCTTTTTTCTTTCTTTCTTTTTTTTTTTTTTTTTTGAGATGGAGTCTCGCTCTGCTGCGAGTCTCCAGGCTGGAGTGCAGTGGCACGATCTTGGCTCACTGCAACCTCTGCCTCCCGGGTTCAAGCGATTCTCCCACCTCCGCCTCCCAAGTAGCTGGGATTACAGGAATGAGCCACCACACCCGGCTAATTTTTGTATTTTTAATAGAGGCGGGATTTCGCCATATTGGCCAGGCTGGTCTTGAACTCCTGACCTCAGGTGACCCTCCCGCCTCGGCCTCCCACAGTGCTGGGATTACAGGCATGAGCCACCGTGCCTGGCCTATCAGTTTCTTAAGTGACCTTCCAGGGTTATTTTATATGAGCAAATCAGATCACACACGCACACACACACACACACACACACACTTTTTTGTATACACCCCTGGTAAAATTTCATCTTCACAGTTCTTGAAGATGCTTTCTTCACCTACTAGTTATAACTGGGAGGTGGCTCTGGATCAGGCCAGGAAGAACTTCTCCACTGGTTTTTCTTGGCCACAGTTCTCCACTTAAAGGATGTACCATCATGTACTTAGTAGCAGTCCCCTTTTGATAGACATTTAGGTTGTCACCAGGATATCTTACATGAGCAATGCTGCAGTGAACCTCCTTGTCCACAAGCCATCTCCTCTGTGCTGGGGTATATCTGTAGGATCCATTCTTAGAGGAGGAGCCGGCGGGGAAGGTCCTATGCCTGCATAGTTTTCGAAGATCTCCCTCAGTGCCCTCCATTGTGATTGTACTCACCCTCCCACCAGCTGTGTAGGGGAAGGCCTGTTGCCCCAGAGCCTCTCTTTGTGTATTATGTGTCCCTTTTTTTTTTTCCCAATCTGATAGTGGACAAATGGCATCCCAGTGTAGGGTTGTTTTTTTTTTCTTCTTCCTCTTTAGTTTTTGAGATGGAGTCTCACTATGTTTCCCATGCTGGCCTCAAATTCCTGGGCTCAAGCAATCCTGCCTCAGCTTCCCGCATAGCTGGGACTGCAGGTGCATGCCACCGCACCCAGCCCAGTGTAGTTTTATTTATTTTTTATTTATTTATTTTTTTGAGACGCAGTCTGGCTGTGTCGCCCAGACTGGAGTGCAGTGGCATGATCTCAGCTTACTGCAACCTCCTCCTCCTAGGTTCAAGCAATTCTCCTGCCTCAGCCTCCCAAGTAGCTGGGAATACAGGAGTGCACCACCACACCTGGCTAATTTTTTGTATTTTTGGTAGAGATGGGGTTTCACCATGTTGGCCAGGCTGGTCTCGAACTCCTGACCTCAGGTGATCTGCCCGCCTCGGCCTCCCAAAGTGCTGGGATTATAGGTGTGGGCCGCCATACCCAGCCCCAGACTAGTTTTAATTTGTAGTTGGGAGTGAGCCCCATCCCATCCCCATCCTGTGTTCTCTTCCCAAGGGACCCGCTGCAGCTGGGAGGGGAGCTATCCAGGAGGCCGGCCTGGGAATGAGCACAGGCCTGCGGCTGGCAGAGAGCCGGGTCGAGCCAGCCCTGGAGAAGCAGGCCCTGCTGCAGGCCCAGCTGGAGGAGCAGCTGCGGGACAAGGTGCTCCACGAGAAGGACCTGTCCCAGCAGCAGATGCAAAGCGACCTGGACAAGGCTGACCTCAGTGCCAGGAGGGTCCCTGGTGGGTGCTGCATGAGGCAGGCGTCACTGCAGAAGGTAAAACTGGAGAGTTGGGGAGAAGGGAGCATCTGTTCACTAGGAGCAGGGCCTTCCTCTGTGAGCTCAGCCAGCCTTCCCAGGCACCCCACTGAGGTTCCGAAGGCAGTTGCCCAGTGTTTATCATAAACAGCTTAGCCTCCTATGACAGAACTTGTGGCCGGGTGCTGTGGCTCACACCTGTAATCCCAGCACTTTGGGAGGCCAAGGTGGGAGATTACCTGAGGTCAGGAGCTCAAGACCAGCCTGCCCAATAGGCGAAACCCTGTCTCTACTAAAAATACAAAACTTAGTCGGGTGTGGTGGTGTGTGCCTCTAATCCCAGCTACGAGGGAGGCTGAGACAGGAGAATCGCTTGAACCCAGGATGTGGAGGTTGCAGTGAGCCAAGATCACATCACTGTATTCCGGCCTGGACGACACAGCGAAACTCTGTCTCAAAAGAAAACCACAAAAAAACAACTTGTGCCCCTTACTCCTGCCACCTGGATAAGTCCTCCAGTGCTTTCCCATGAGATAAAGCTGGTGGGAACCTCATTCCCATTTCACAGATGAGAAGTGTGAGGTCTGGAGAGGAGCCACAACTTGTTTAAGGTCACACAGCCAGGGAGGTGGATGTTAGGGTCCCTGCCTCGGGTTTGGAGAAGCATGGTGGACACAGAGCTAGTGGATTTGAGAGGCTGGGGTGGTCCCGTATTCACCTCTGTTGCTCCCCCAACTCCAGAGTGACAGAGCTGGGCCTGGCAGTGAAGCGTCTACAGAAGCAGAATCTGGAGAAGGATCAGGTCGACAAGGACCTCACCGAGAAGCTTGAGGCCCTGGTGAGCTTCAGCTGCCCCTGAGATGGGGCAGGGTGGGATGGGGTACCGGCCAGATCCATGGACACAGGCTTAGGGCTGGGCTGCCTGGGCCACCCCCAGCATCCCACTCACACTCAGGTTCAGCCCACACAGGTGTGCAGGCTTTGTGGGAAGCACACTCACTTCCTCCATCCCATTTCTCCCTCCCAGCAGCCCTGTAGAGTAATCCTAATGACACGGATGGGAAACTGAGGCCCAAGAGGGGAAATGCTTGTCCAGTCTCAGAGCCAGTAAGCAGGAGAGTTGGGACTTGAACTCCCATCCACGCTCTCCAGGTCCAGATGCTGCCTTTGGAATCCCAACTGTCCACCCCCACCAGTGGGACACTCACTCCCCCAGGGTCCAGCCTGGTTTAGTCACCCCTCTGTGTGGGGCCTGGCCTGGGTTCTAGGTCCAGCTCTCCTGCAATCGACTGTGTGACCTGGGGCAGAACCCAGCTCTTCTCTGGGCCTGGTCTGTTCATTGAGGGCCTCGGGCCTGCTGTGGGGTCTACCAGGTGGCTGGCCTATGGACATGGCTTCAGAGGCCACCTGATCAGTGGTGGGCCAGGGAGGGAGGGAAAGGGGAGGTTTCAGGTAAGACAGAACCCCGACCACTCTTTGTCTCCCTCACCGCACTCCAGGAATCCCTGCGGCTACAGGAGCAGGCGGCCCTGGAGACAGAGGACGGAGAGGGGCTACAGCGGAGCCTAAGGGACCTGGCACAGGTGTGAGCCCAGAAAGGCGGGAAGACAGGGCCCTGCCAGGCGGTCCTGGGCTCCCCCGCCTCGCCTTTCGGTGGCTTCGGATTGAACTGCAGATGGGTGGGGCCCTGGGACCCAGGCTGTAGCTGCTCAGCACCCCTGCTAGCTCACCCGGCCTCTGCCCTGGGGAGCCCCCAGTCTCAGAGGGGAGGCACGGCCCTCTCGGAGCCCACCTGTGAGCAATGCCAAATGATGTCTTCGCAATAAATGGGATGCCTCAGCGGCGAGCTGAGGACTGAGCTAGTGGAGGAGGTGAAATCAGAAGGCTTCTTGTAAGCGGGAGCATTTGGGATGAGGCGTCCCCCAGCCTCCCCTGGTCGTTTTTGCCAGCTAACCCCGAAGTTCCTAACTCTGCGGCCTCCTGCTTCCCTCCCTTACCCTCAGGCCGTCCTGTCTGACGCTGAGAGCGGCAGCCTGCGTCCAACAGCGTCCGACCGCAGCCTGCGGGGGCTCTCGGGCCAGCGGACCCCGTCTCCACCGCGGCGCTCCTCGCCGGGCCGAGGCCGTTCGCCCCGCAGAGGCCCCTCCCCGGCCTGCTCAGACGACTCCACGCTCGCTTGCCCTGATTCTCTCCGCCCTGCACTTTTGCCAGCTGAAGGTCCAGGTAGGAAGGGGCTTGAGTTTTCTGGGCGCAGCCAGAGGCCCAGGGGGAGGGGCTCGCGCCCTCCAGGTGGGGGTGGGGGCGTGTCTGGGGGAGGAGTCTGAGCGCCCTGGGGTGCAGCCAGAGCCCTGAGAAATAGTGTCTGAGGGTGTCAGGACCCCCAAGGAGGTGGCCGAGGGCTCTGCGCTGAAGCCAGCCCAGAAGTGGGGGTGCTTGGGCAGCTGGGGGTGGGTGCTTGGGCAGCCGGTGGAGGGAGGAGGCTGCGGCAGTGTTAGGGTCCTGGTAGAGAGGGAGACAGGTCCCTGGTCATACAGAGCCAGGACCCTGGGAAAAGGTCTAGCAAGGGAAATCACAGCCTAGGATGAGAGCTTGGGAACTAGGGGCAGAGCCAGGGTAGGGAGGAGTGTGAGAGTGGAACCAGGATGCAAGGGGGAGGAGCCTGGGAGCCCTGGGGGTGGGATCAGAACCCAGGAGACGAGTGTGCCTGGGAGTTTGTCTGGCATCCCGGGGGCTTTGATAGGAGTTGTCCGGGACCCCAGGGAGATGAGGGTTCAGAGGGTGGTGAGGGCACATAGGAGGGGAGTGGAAGCCTGGCTCTCAGGCCTAGGCCCCTATCCTGCCCCAGGGCAGGTCCAGGCCCTGGACCCCGCCTAGCGTAGGCTAGTGTGTATCCCTGGAACCAGAAGAGAGTAGGTGGGCTCTGGAGGCCTCAAAGGACCCCCGCTAGACTCTGTGATCCCCACGCCCCAGAACATGCGTGGGCGCTATGAGGCAAGCCAGGACCTGCTGGGCACCCTGCGGAAGCAGCTTAGCGACAGCGAGAGTGAGCGGCGGGCCCTAGAGGAACACCTGCGTGGCGCCGTCGGTCTTGTCCCGCAGGCACTGGCCAACATGGCGAAACCCCATCTCTACTAAAAATTTAAAAAATTGCCCAGGCACAGTGGCTAACGCCTGTAATCCCAGCACTTTGGGAGGCCGAGGCGTGCAGATCACTTGAGGTCAGGAATTTGAGACCAGCCTGGCCAACATGGTGAAACCCCACTTCTAAATAAAAATGCAAAAATTAGCTGGGCGTGGTGATAGGCGCTTGTAATCCCAGCTACTCGGGAGGCTGAGGCAGGAGAATCGCTTGAACTCTGGAGGTGGAGATTGCAGCAAGCTGTGTGGAGTGCAGTGAGATTGTGTCACTGCACTCCAGCCTAGGCAAGAGTGAGACTGTGTGTAAAAACAAAAAAATTGCTGGACGCGGTGGCCCACGCCTGTAATCCCAACACTTTGGGAGGCCGAGGCGGGTGGATCACGAGGTCAGGAGATTGAGACCAACCTGGCTAACAGGGTGAAACCCCATCTGTACTAAAAATATAAAAAATTAGCCGGACATCGTGGCGAGTGCCTGTAGTTCCGGCTACTCGGGAGGCTGAGGCAGGAGAATGGCATGAACTCGGGAGGCAGAGGTTGCAGTGAGCCGAGATGGCACCACTGCACTCCAGCCTGCGTGACAAAGCGAGACTCCGTCTCAAAAAAAAAAAAAAAAAAAAAAAAAAAATTAGCCAGGCGTGGTGGCGGGCGCCTGTATTCCCAGATACTCGGGAGGCTGAGGCAAGAGAATGGCGTGAACCCAGAAGGCGGAGCTTGCAGTGAGGAGAGATCGTGCCACTGCACTCCAGCCTGGGCAACAGAGCGAGACTCCATCTCAAAAAAAAAAAAAAAAAAAAAAATCACGTCTTGAAGTTTTTTGCACCTACCACCAGTGGGGAAAGTGGCAGCTCACAGCAAGTCTTTGGGGTCCTAGTTGTTCCCTTCTCCTCCCTCCCCTGCCGTGGCCACCATGTGCCTGTGTAGCAGGAAGCTGTGGGATCTGCAGACTCAGCTCTATCAGGCTTCCCAGAATTGAGGGGCATGGGGTGTTCTAGGGGACATTTCCTGGTCACATGGCCTAGCAGAACTGGTGGCACAATTGCCTGTGTGTCCCAGGAGCCTAGCCTGGCCTCTTCTACGTGGTAGAGTGCTTAGAGATCACGCCAGCACCTCCATCCACTCTAAGTGGGCGGGCTGGGGAGAAGGAAAGCCAGGTTCTTCTGCTGGAGTGTGTGAGTGAAATGAGTCTGCTATGGGCAGGGTCAGGGAAGGCTTCCTGGAGGCAGGTGCCTTGGAAGACGGGAGGATGTAGCTCATGGCTAGAGGAGCAGCCAGCCACCTTCCCTGGAGAGAGCAGCCCCAGCATCCCCTCTGCTCCCGCTCCCCTTGTCCTGAAGGGAGAAGAGCAACCTGGCCCACAGCCTGCAGGTGGCCCAGCAGCAGGCCGAGGAGCTGCCGCAGGAGCGGGAGAAGCTGCAGGTTGCCCAGGAGGAGCTGCAGCGCCAGCGGGACCGGCTGGAGGAAGAGCAGGAAGAGGCGGTGCAGAATGGCGCACGGGTTCGCCGGGAGCTTGAGCGCAGGTTAGCAGCATCTCACCTCCCTGCCAGGACCCTTCAAATGTGCCTCGGGTCCCCTGACAGTGCCCCCATGGGGTTAGGTGACACCCACTGGGTCCTGGGCCTCCTACCGTCTGGACCCCTCTGATGTCGGGTTTTCTAACCAGACCCATTTCAGGAAACTGGGGCTCAGGGAGGTATAGTCACTTACCTGGAGTCAGAGAACTAGTTAAAAGGTAGAACTTGGATGATAATAACAAGAATAATTAAAATAACAGTAGTAATATTAGTAGTAGTATTTTAAAAATTTAGTTAGAAGAATAATAATATCCTTACTAATTTCACTAAGTGCCAGATACCATTTTAAGCAATTCAGTTCTCTCATTTAACTCCATGATAACTCTGTGACATAGAAGCTGTTATCTCCATTTTGTGGATGGTAAACTGAGGCACAGAGAAGCCATGTCACTTGCCCCAGGTCACACAGTTAGCAGAAGAGCCAGGATTTGAACCCAGACATTCTGCCTTCAGAGTTAACCTCTTCACCACTGCGCTGCTTACCTCTCAGGGACGTGATCGCTGATGATGTTTAGTAGACTGTGGTGGAGCATGTTATTCTTGTTTCTGAAGGTCCTTGGGGAGATGTGTCAGGCACTATTTTAAGCACATGTGAAGTTTGTATCCTTAAAACAGGCTGGGCACGGTGGCTCACGCCTGTAATCCCAGCACTTTGGGAGGCCGAGGCAGGCGAATCGCCTGAGGTCAGGAGTTCAAGACCAGCCTGACCAACATGGGGAAACCCCGTCTCTACTAAAACTGCAAAAATTAGTCAGGTGTGGTGGTGAGCACCTGTAATCCCAGCTACTAGGGAGGCTGAGGCAGGAGAATTGCTTGAACCTGGGAGGCAGAGGTTGCAGTCAGCCAGGATCGCACCACTGTACTCCAGACTGGGCGACAGAGCAAGACTCTGTCTCAAAAAAACAAACAATGTCACGAGGCAAGTGTTACCTCATTTTGCAGATGTGAAAACGGAGGCCCAGGGTCATGGAGCTAAGCGGTAGTGGGCTTGGTTGCCCTGTGGCTCAGGCTGTTTCTCTGCAAACTCGTGCCTCAGGCCTGGTCCCCGGCCCAGCATCTTGCTGGCTACAGGAGGTTCGGGGCAGGAAAGTGACATGGGCCACCCACCCACCCTTTGTCCCACAGCCATAGACAACTAGAGCAGCTGGAAGGGAAGCGCTCAGTCCTGGCCAAGGAGCTGGTGGAGGTGAGGGAGGCGCTGAGCCGCGCCACGCTGCAACGGGACATGCTGCAGGCCGAGAAGACCGAGGTGGCCGAGGCGCTGACCAAGGTGGGTCCCTGTCTGCTGCACAACCACAAACCTACCTCTGACCCCCAGCCCCAAGCCTTGTCACTCTGGCACAGACTGGTCCCAGTGTCAGGCAGACCTCTGAGCCTGGTCACAGACTGACCCCTTCCTTCTGGATACAGGCTGATCTTTGTCACAGGCCACAGACCTCTGGACCTCTGGTCCCAGCCATAAGTGGACTGACCTCTCTTTATGGCCGTATCCCTGCTGTTCTGGATGCTCCTGGGGGCAGTGCCTATAGCTCAGGGTCATCCTGAGATTCAGCTCCTGGAGTCTGAGAGTTGTGGCCACAGCGCAGAGGGTCCTTGGCGGGGGGGCCTGCGCTGTCCGCTGCAGCCTGGGCTCTGAGCAGTGCTATCCCTAGACCTTACTCAGGGGATCCTCTGAACTCTGGCCCTGCCCTGCAGCTTGAGCTATTTTTGCACAGCTTTGCGGTGCATGGCTTTTAAATGGCTCCATAAGCAGCAGGCTTTCTGCGGTGATTTTTTTTTCCATCTCACACCGTATCCCCTCCTTGTCTCCCCTCCCCTGTCTCCGAGGGTCCATCTCTCTGGGTCTCTTCTTGTCTCTCCTCACCTCCTCCCGACCTTTCTGCCCTTCCTCATCTCTTGGGGCCTGACCCTGCAGGCTGAGGCTGGCCGCATGGAGCTCGAGCTCTCCGTGACCAAGTTGAGGGCAGAGGAGGCCTCCCTGCAGGACTCCCTGTCCAAGCTGAGCGCCCTCAATGAGAGCCTTGCTCAGGACAAGTTGGATCTGAACTGCCTTGTCACCCAGGTACACTGTGCACCTGCGGGCCCACCTACCTTGCCCACCCGTCCTCCCCACTCAGTGAGGCACCCTGGGCCCGGCCCTGCACCTGTCTTGGCCCCTGCCTCCCTTTCTGTCTCTGGTTCTCTGTCTATCTCCGTCTGTCTGTCTATCCTCTCTAGGAGTCAAAGCACCGACGCTCCATGGGCCCTCCTCATCTCCCCCTCCCCAGTGTCCCACACACCCAAGGGCACTGTCCCTCATTCCCTGGGAGCCTCCCCTGGGCTATCGTGGCTGGTGGGTGGGTGGAGGAGGCGTCCTGGTCCTGGGAGGGACGCCCTGCTCATGAGGCCCCACTCCTTTCTGGCCCACAGCTGGAGGAAGAAAAGGCCACGCTGCAGGGCCGGCAGCGGCAGGCGGAGCAGGAGGCCACAGTGGCGCCGGCAGAGCAGGAGTGGCTGGAGGAGCTGTGGTTGGAGCAGGAGGTGGCACGGCAGGGCCTGGAGGGCTCCCTATGAGTGGCGGAGCAGGCCCAGGAGGCGCTGGAGCAACAGCTCCCCACACTGCACCATGAGCTCAGTTGGCTGCAGGAGCAGCTAGCACAGGTGGGCCAAACTGTGTGTGGGGTGGTCTGGAGAGCATGTGGGGCAGGCCAGGCTCGCAGCCTCCTGCATCCAGTCCTGGGTTAAGTCACAGGCACTGGAGCCTGCTTCTGGGTTAAATCCAGTCCCACTTCTCCTAGCTGGGGACCTTGGACAAGCTGCCCAACCTCCCATACCTCAGTTGCCCCATTTATAACATGGGGCTAGCCGGGCGCAGTGGCTCACGCCTATAATCCCAGCAGTTGGGGAAGCCGAGGCGGGTGGATCACCTGAGGTCCGGAGATCAAGACCATCCTGGCTAACACGGTGAAACCCTATCTCTACAAAAAATTAGCTGGGTGTGGTGGCACGCGCCTGTAGTCCCAGCTACTCAGGAGGCTGAGGCAGGAGAATCGCTTGAACCCAGGAGGCAGAGGTTGCAGTGAGCCAAGATCGTGCCACTGCACTGCAGCCTGGGCAACAGAGCAAGACTCCGTCTCAATAATAATAATAATAATAATGATACAGATTAATAATAGGTGGAGACTTTTTAGAATTGGAATCTTAGACTTTTGGGAACATCACATCTGGAAGAGACCTTAATGTTTCAGGGATCCAGGGACCTTCATGCAAGGTCCATCCTGGAGGGCCTGGGTTTCTGGGAGGTGCCTCTAGAGGATGGGGTAGGGAGTGCAGGAAGCAGGGTGCAAGTCTCCACCTTGAGGCCTGCTGAGCAGCTGCATTTGGGTCTGGTTTATATATTCAGCTTCTCTGCTTAGAGTAATACAAGGGTTCTGTTACTTCCAAAGCTGAGTGAGGACCCTCATTTTTCTTTTCTTTTCTTTTTTTTTTTTTTTTTTTTTTTTTTTGACAGTCTTGCTCTGTTGCCCAGGCTGGAGTGCAGTGGCACGATCTGGGCTCACTGCAACCTCTGCCTCCGGGGTTTAAGCTGTTCGCCTGCCTCAGCGTCCCAAGTAGCAGGGACTACAGGCGTGCACCACCATGCCCGGCTAATTTTTGTATTTTTAGTAGAGACAGGGTTTCACCACGTTGGCCAGGCTGGTCTTGAACTCTTGACCTCAAGTGATCCACCTGCCAAAGTGCTGGGATTATAGGCGTGAGCCACCGTGTCCGGCCGGGCCCTGGTTTTTGTACACACGTGCATTGCAGATCTAGAGAAGGTCATGACTTGCCCAAGTACATATAGCACATCAGGGCAGACCCTGGGCTCGAACCCAGGCCTTCTGCCAGGACTGGGTTAGGCCCAGAGTTGGGGTGCTGCACGATGAACAAGCTGGGGGATGCTGGGAGTGCTACTCAGTCTCTGGGTGGGAGCCAGCTCTCCTGGCAGCTGAGCAGGCGGGAGCAGGAGCTGGAGCAGGCCCGGTGGGAGGCCCAGTGACAGGTGGAGACGCTGGGGCAAGTGGCCCGGGAGAAGGAGGCGCTAGCCAAGGAGCACGCTGGCCTGGCTGTGCAGCTGGCGGCCTGCGGAGCGTGAAGGCAGGACCGTGTCAGAGGAGGCCACACACCTGCAGTAAGGCCTTGGGCTCTGCCCAACCCGCCCTGGGCGGTCCTCCTGGGGCCACGCCATGAACAGCCTCACCCAGGCACGGGCCCCCAGGGGCAGTTACTAAGGAGTCTGGCTTGCCAACTCGTCCTAGCTGTGGGCTCAGGCTTCCCCAGGGAGTGTGGGCCTGGCCAGGCAGGTAGATTGGCACTTGGCCCATGCCTGGCCACTCCCTGAGATCCACAGTTTCCTGGGGCCAGGGAGGCTGAGTCCCAGGGCCTCACGCACTGTATGTGCTGCAGCTTGGAGAAGGAAGCCCTGGAGGGCAGCCTGTTTGAGGTGCAATGGCAGCTGGCCCAGCTTGAGGCCCGCCGGGAGCAGCTGGAAGCCGAGGGGCAGGCCCTGCTGCTGGCCAAGGAGACCCTGACTGGTACGAGTGGCTGGGGACTTGGGGGGAACACCAGGTTCCAGCCCAGACTGCAACCTCCCAATGTCTGTAGTCTCACAGAAGTTGGGAGCACTGGAGTAGGAGTCTGGCTGGCCTGGGTTCCAGTCCTGTGCCACCACTTAGATCTCACCTTCCCTTGAGCAAGCCCCTTTCCTCTCTGGGCTGCAGATTCCTCAGCTGATGATTGGAGGTGGCAATGCCCACCTTCTAAGCCTGTTGCCAGGATGACATGGGAAAAGCGTGTAAGGCCGTGGCACGGTGCCTGGCTGAGTCAACAGTAACTGCTGTTCATCGGTCATCAGGCCTGTTAGTCTGAGTTCTCTGTGCTTTTCAGATGACTCTCTTGGCCCCAGAATCCGAGCCCCACTTCCCTGCACCGTTCCCCATCGAATCTCTGAACTCAGGGCTTCTTTCTGCTCATCTAACATTAACTAAGCACCTACTTGGGTCATGGAAATTAATTTTCCTGTCCATGTACACCTGAGCCAGACAGAACCAGGAAGGGAAATGCTGGTGGGTTTCCAACCCGGGAGATGGTTTTTAGATGATGGCTATACCATTTCCATTCCCTGTAGTCGTTTCCATTAATGCTGATAGTTAATGCTTGACAGGTATGTTCATGTCAGTCATTAAAGGAGATGCTTTATGTGTAGCTGTGCAGCTGTGGGAAGTTGCTGCTGATCTCCTCTGATCCTCCATTTCATCATCTGTTAAACGGGGATGAGGATAAACTACATAGGCATGTTATGAAGACAAAATGAGGTTATGTCTAAAATACTTAGCTGGGTGCTTGACGCATAGTAAGTGCTGAGTCAGTAATAGGGTTTTTGTTTGTTTGTTTGTTTTTGTTTGTTTGTTTTGAGATGGAGTTTCACTCTTGTTGCCCAGGCTGGAGTGCAATGGCGCGATTTTGGCTCACCTCAACCTCCGCCTCCCAGGTTCAAGCGATTCTCCTGCCTCAGCCTTCCAAGTAGCTGGGATTACAGGCACGCGCCACCATGCCTGGCTAATTTTGTATTTTTAGTAGAGACGGGGTTTCACCATGTTGGTCAAGCTGGTCTCGAACTCTCGACCTCAGGTGATCTGCCCACTTCGGCCTCCCAAAGTGCTGGGATTACAGGCATGAGCCACTGCGCCCAGCCTGTTTGATTTTTTGAGACAGAGTCTCACTCTTGTCGCCCAGGTTGGAGTGCAGTGGTGCGATCTGAGCTCACTGCAACTTCTGCCTCTTGGGTTCAAGCGATTCTCCTGCCTCAGCCTCCCAAGTAGCTAGGACTACATACGTCCGCCACCATGCCCAGCTAATTGTTGTATTTTTAGTAGAGACAGGGTTTCACCGTGTTGGCCAGGCTGGTCTTGAACTCCTTACCTAAGGTGATCCACCTGCCCCAGCTTCCCAAAGTGCTGGGATTACAGGAGTGAGCCATGGCACCTGGCCTAGGGTTGTTATATGTTTGACATCCGTCCCATTTGGGAGGCCTTCTCATCAGTCATTTTATGCCTTTAATGCCATTCTAGGTAGGCAGGAAAGGGGTCAGGGCCAGTGGGCCCATGTAGCAGATAGGGAAACTGAGGCCCAGAGAGGACAAGCCACTTCTTCAAGAGGACCCAAACTGGATGCCAGGCAGGCCCTCTGCCTCTGGGATTTTGCCCATATGGCTCAACTGGCCTAAGTCTGCTGGCCCAAGGAAAAATTTCAACCCAACCCTGCCCTTTCCCCCATTCCTCTCGTGCAGGGGAGTTGGCGGGCCTGCGGCAGCAAATAATAGCTACGCAGGAGAAAGCCAGTCTAGACAAGGAGCTGATGGCCCAGAAGCTGGTGCAGGCTGAGCGGGAGGCCCAGGCCTCTCTGCGGGAGCAGTGGGCAGCCCACAAGGAGGACTTACAGTGACTCCAGCGTGAAAAGGTTCAGGCAGCTGGGGAGGGGTGGGCAGAAGTCTGAGCCAGTGTTTCATCATCGTTCTTGCTCTGCCTCGGTCTGTACATCTGTGAAATGGGACTCCCTCTCTGTTGTGGAGGCCCTGGGGACAGCTGGGAGGACTGGAGGGGTGGTGGGGAGGTTGTGGTCCTTATTAGACATTCAGATACCCAGGTCCCAAATCTGGTCCAGCCCTGGTAATCCTGATGCAGAGGGTCCACAACCACATTTGGGAAATGTTGACCTAATGCACAGCAGGAAAGCACTTTCATTTGCTAAGAAGTTTCCATATGAAGGGCCACGCAGACCTGAGCATGTAGAAAGGCAAGGGGCCAGGGAAGTTACTAGAACACTGACTCTGGGGTTATATTGCCTGGGTTTGAATCTAATCTTGGTCGCTTACTGGTGATGCTACCCAAGGTGTCTGTACCTTCATTTCCCCACCTGTAGAAATAGGGATAGGATAGTGGAAGGTATTGAGGATGAGCTGAGACCATCTGCATAGAGGGCTTAACATAGTGACTGGTACTTAGCAAATGCTCCATGAGTTATGATTGCTGGCACTGGCATGCTCTCCAGAGTGGCCCTCAGGACAGGGGCCCTCAGCCACCAAATCCTAGACAGGGCTTCCTCTGACAGAGGTGCAGGCTATGACTACATGGCTCCAGGGCATGCCACTCACCCTGCAGTCCCCATGGCCTTGGGTGGTGGTTATCACGCTTCTCCATCAGGGGGCGGTAAAGCTCTTTCCGAAAGTGCTGGGATTCCAGGCATGAGCTATGGTGAAGCTCTTAAAGAAGGGGTGGCTTGGCCGGGCGTGCTGACTCATGCCTGTAATCCCAGCACTTTGGGAGGCTGAGGTGGGCGGATCACGAGGTCAGGAGATCGAGACCATCCTAGCTAACACAGTGAAACCCTATCTCTCCTAAAATCACAAAAAATTAGCTGGGCATGGTGGCACGCGCCTGTAGTCCCAGATACTTGGGAGGGTAAGGCAGAAGAATCGCTTCAACCTGGGAGGCAGAGGTTGCAGTGAGCCAAAATCACGCCACTGCACTCCAGCCTGGGTGACAGAGCGAGACTCTGTCTAAAAAAAAAAAAAAAAAAGAAGTGGCAGCTCTGTCTGCTTCTCACAGAGTTGCTAGGGACAACTGCTGAGGCAGGCACCTGCCCTCGGGCTCCCCGGGTGGGCTGCTATTTGCCTGTGGGCTCTGCCTGCCCGCCTGTCCAGTCCCCAGGGATCTGAACTGTGACCTCCCCCTTGCTCTTCTTGCCCTTTGCATTGCCTGGCTTGGCCTCATTAATGTCCCCAAATCTGTGTTCTTCTCTCCAGCTCCTCTGGCAACCCCTGACCCCCTTCATTCCTCACAGCCAGTCCTAACTCTCCTCCATCCCAACCCCAATCCCTCTTCCACAGCTGTCGGAACATCCCCTAAGCTAAAAATCAGATTGCTCCTTGTCACCTTGGCTCGAGTCCTCTCTCCCACTCCCCTCACTGTCCTTAGAATCCCCATGGCCCACACGGCCTGTCCTGGCCCAGCCACTGCCTGGGGCTCTGGCCCTGTGACTCACCGCGCCCTGTTTCCCTCTGCACCCTGCATCCTGTAGTCCTTTCCAGGGGCTGTGCTCTTGGCCTGGGGTGGTCTTTTCTCTCCTTACCTGGCTGACAGTTACTTGTCTCTCCGCAGGGGATCATGTTCGGACCCCCAGGCCAGCCCACTGCTGCTCCTTGGCACTTTCACGGCCCTGGCGTGTCCCCGTCATAGTCCTTATCAGTCCCTTGTATTTACCTGGTCACCCTCCATCTCTGAGGGTATGGGGGCCAGATGGCTCTTGCTGCCCTGATGTTTTGGGGGGTCTGCCTGGGCCCCTCCTGGTGTGTCACACGCGTCCAGTCCTGGCCCCCTAGGAGGCAGCATGGCGGGAGCTGGAGGCCGAGCGGGCCCAGCTGCAGAGTCAGCTGCAGCGTGAGCAGGAGGAGCTGCTGGCCCGGCGGAAGGCTGAGAAGGAACAGCTGAGTGAGGAGATTGCTGCCCTGCAGCAGGAGCATGACGAGGGCCTCCTCCTGGCCGAGAGCGAGAAGCAGCAGGTTCGTGAGCCCTGGCGTGGCCTCTGCTGCTCTCTGAGCTGCTCCAGTTCTGGGGCCGGGCCCTGCTCTGCCACTTGGCAGCTAGGAGCCCTGGGGCAGGCCACTGCCCTCTTGGGGGCCTCAGTTTCCTTACCTGCAGGAGGGGAGGATTAGAAGGGGGTTCGTGAGGCTTTGCTCTGCTCCATGCCTGGCACACGGTGAGCACTTACTGAGTGACAGTGACAGTCGTGACACCAGGAAAGCTGTTCCATATTCTCCCATGCCTCGTCCCACCCCACGCTGGGCATGGATCCTCATGGCTGCCTTCTGAGCAGTCCCCACGATGCCCACAGGCATCAGCTGACGTGTCCCCCCAAATAACAAATCCCTAACTTTCCTATAATGTAACGGAGACAGGGCAGACTGTGCCCATCTCCTCTCCTCACCAGCTGTGTACCTGGGCGAGTCACTTTACCTCCTTGAGCCTCAGTTTCCTCATCTGTAAGATGGGTAGAAAGAAAGACTCTGCAGTCAGGGTGCTGTGGCGGGTTAGTGAGCTCTATGAGTGGTATCCACGTCCGGGATTCTTGTGACTGCCGTTGTGCCCTTTTCCAGGGCTGCATGTCTGCCCTGGGTCCACCTGCAGTGGCACACTCAGGCCTCTAAGCCCCCAGTGGGCACATTTCCTAGGCAGCAAGAAGCCTGAGCATGCCCCCAGGACCAGCCCATCCCCCAAGCCCTTTGTCCCCTGCCTCTGCCCAGGCCTTGTCTCTGAAGGAGTCTGAGAAGATGGCGCTGTCAGAGAAGTTGATGGGTACACGGCACAGCCTGGCCACCATCTCCCTGGAGATGGAGCGGCAGAAACCAGATGCCCAGAGCCGGCAGGAGCAGGACCGGGTAGGCCTGCCGTCGTAGGGAGGCTTGCGGAGCAGGAGCGCCCTCTCTCCACCGAGCTATCCCGCGGTTTCCAGCATCCCATCTGGCGGACTCCTCTTCCTCTCTCTTCTCCTACTCTGGGTCTTCTATCCTGGTGTTCCTTGAATGCCTATCTTCCTTTTGTGCCTCGGAACCTCTCACGCCTGCCACAAGTTACTCTTTTCCTTGGTAGTTCTGAACTTTAAATAAGGTAATGCCTGTAAGAATGCCATAAATGCTCAATAATTGTCATCTGTTATTATTTTCATCAGTAACATCATCTGAATCATCAGTATTGTCTGCTTTTAACAGCTGCATTTTTCATTGTCCAAATATAGTCACATACATTTGACCATTTTATAATTATTGAATAATAAATTCGTTCTGCTATTTTACAATGAAAAATAATGCTGCAGAGAGCATTTTTGCACATGTATCGTGGCAGATGTAGGCCAGAGGCTCTTCTTTTATCCATCCTATGGCCAACCTATGAATGTATACACGTTTAATGAGATTTTGCCAGCAATCAAAGCCTTCAGGGAAAATGTCCCTAGCTCTTTACTACATCAGATCAAGGACTCTGGATAATTGGCATAACATCCTGGAATAGCTGAAACAGAGATATTATTCTCTGCTGTCCTCTGTTGTCTTTGTCTTTTCACGTCTTAATAAAAGTGCTGGTGACAAGAGTGTAACTATGTCAGTGTTCTCCTGCTGTCCTTGCCTGTGTGGGTCTTCTCCCAAACCCGACTTTCCTCCAGCGGCTTCACTGAAAAAGAGGAGGGGGCTGTGGGGGGTGGGTCGGGGAGCAGAGGAGGAAATAAACTGAATAGGGAGGAAGCTTCTCACAGGCCCGGAGAGGGTAAGGAAGGGAGTCAAAGACAGAATTTTCTTCAGCAAACAGTAAAAGGGGAAATCTGGGGATGCTAAGAGTTTTTAAACCCTTTGCTCCATCACATAAGTAATCCATGATTTTCTGTTCCACAAATCAGGACTCCTACTCCTCCCTCCCTCCCCATCCCCAATCCTGATTCCTGTTTACAAAGAATGTTGAAAAACAAGGAATTATGTATAACAGTTCCCAGTTTGCTCAGGAAATTCTCAGATTATAAAGAGACATTACAAATGAACAAGTGAAGAGAAGAACCTTGGTGGTTCCAACATAGTATGGCCATTGTTTTATACTCAAAATATAGAAAGACAACCTCAGAATAAGAAAACTTTTGGAATGGAATAAATCAAGTTTATCATTAAAATGCAAAGAAAAAAACTCTCCAAATGTTGCTGATCTTCTGTTTTAAACTACTGTTAGACCGGAGAAGCGGAGAGCAGGGGAATCCGCCAAAGAGTTTTGGATGAAAATTAATCAGCCCTGTCTACCGTAGTCACACCCCACTGCCCTTGAGACCCAATCCTTCGGAAGGAGTGTCCAAGAGGTATAAAGCAAAACCGAAAAAACAGTTCGCAAATTCCAGAGTTCGTTTTCTCTCATTAAAAATATAAATATCAGGCTAACACATGTTGACACACAATAACAGGGACACAGAATCCCTCCTGGAAGACCGACGGGCCCACGGACCCCACGGGTGCCACGGTGGTGGACGAGGTTAAGTAACTTGGTTCAGGGTGTCTGGGCACACCTCTGCGTGAGACTCTGTCTCTGCTGCTCCTCTCATCTCTACGCCGATTCCTCCCCACAATCCTCCCTTTTCCTTGGGCCCCCGACGCCTCTCCGACCAACAGTCTCCCCAGCCCCGCAGCTTCTCTCTTTCAGACCTTTACTTCTTGATCCTCACTCCATAGTGAGATGTGGCCTTTCAGCAAATAAATTGTGCTCAGGGAGACTGAAAGAAAGGGGTAAACTAGGATTAGTGCTGCAGGGTCAGAGCTAATGACACAAGCTTCTCTCCTCAGGCCTATTCATTTGAGATGCATCTCAGGCACTTAGGCACAGCAGTGCTAAGTTAGTACCAATTATATACATGCACACATAAATATATAAAAGCATATAAATATTACATATGTAAATATAAATTGTACCAATAAAATCGACATCAAGCTTGTTTTTAATCATTCACTCAAAATACATTGAACAGCTACTGTGCAAAGTCTTGGGACTGCTTAGAAACTTAAGACAAAAATATTGGGCCTGTAGTCCCAGGTGAAGCCTAGGCAGGAGGATGGCTTGAATGAAGGAGTCCAAGTCCAGCCTGGGCAGCATAGTGAGACTCAGTCTTTTTTTTTTTTTTCTCTGAGATGGAGTCTCACTCTGTCGGCCAGGCTGGAGTGCAGTGGCACAATTTTGGCTCACTGCAACCTCCACCTCCCAGGTTCAAGCGATTCTCCTGCCTTAGCCTCCTGAGTAACTGGGATTACAGGCACGTGCCACCACACCTGGCTAATTTTGTATTTTTAGTAGAGATGGGGTTTCACCATGTTGGCCAGGCTGGTCTCGAACTCCTGACCTCAAGTGATCCACCCACCTTGGCCTCCCAAAGTGTTGGGATTACAGGCATGAGCCACCGTGCCCGGCCGAGACTCAGTCTTTAAAATAATGAAGTAAAATAAAAACATAAACCTCAAACAAAAAGACAAACTATGATTTCAATCATTGTGAAGCTCTTGATCTAGTAGATGATATATATATATATATATACATATACCAAAAATACTATAATTTCAGAGAAGTGCTATAGAGTCTAATGTTTAACAACTTCTGGCATTTGACTGATGGTGTTTAAAGCTCTTCCCGCATTTTCCAGGGGTATAAATCGAGGCAAGTTATTTGGTATTTACTGCATTTTGGCTTCTTCATATGCAAGGGGGTTATGATAATAATACCTACCCCATGAGGACGGTATGAGGACTAAAGAAAATCGTGTATGTATAGCCTCGGCCAATGCCCATAGACACTGAGTACTCAACTAGGTGTTAGCTAGCAGATTTTAAATTTGCATTTATTTGTATAGTTTTTAAGGTAAAATTTACATTCATTGAAATGTTAACTGTATGTTTTTTGACAAATGAATACACTTATATAACTCATATCCCTATCAAGACAGAGACCATTTTTACCACCCAGAAATTTCTCTCATGTAACTTCCCAGTCAATCCCCTGCCAGAGGGAACCACTGCTATGATTTTTTCACCACAGATTAATTTTCCCCTTCCTAGAATTTCAAATAAATGGGAAGGTATGTGCTCTTTTGTGTCATTTATCTTCACAGACTTTGAAATAAAAAAGTTACAATTTTAAACCTTTTGGGCATTTAGTAAAAATCTCCTTCCCACCAGTAGCCACCAGTCACCAGTCTTCATTTCTCTCTCTCTCTCTCTCTCTTTGAGACAAGATCTTGCTCTGTCATCCAGGCTGGAGTGCAGTGGCATGATCATGGCTCACTGCAGCCTCAACCTTCTGAGCTCAAGCAATCCTCCCACCTCAGCCTCCCAAATAGCTGGGAGTACAGGCGCCCGCCACCACGCCTGGCTAATTTTGCTTGTATTTTATGTAGAGACAGGGTCTCACCAAGTTGCCCAGGTTAGTCTCAAACTCCTGAGCTCAAATGATCTGCGGGCCTTGGCCTCCCAAAGTGCTTGGATTACAGGTATGAGCCACTGTGCCTGGCTCAGTCTTCCTCTCTTAAAGCAACCAATGTTATTAGTTTTATGTGGGCCACCCCATGGCTTATCATTATTAATTCAGGTGTTTATACAAGGCTCTTTGAGAACTCAGTTTTAAAGGTTACCCAAAGCATCCTAAGACAACTCAGCCTAAAACGATATAAAATCAGTTTTAATATAACTGAAGTTTCTACATTCTGACTCCAACTGTCAGATTGTGACATTTTCTCTTTCTCTGACTTTATGCCAAATTTACTTCAACTTCTAGCATCCATCATTCTCATTTATGAACAAATATGTATTTAACAAATGTGGAAATACAAATCATGAAGCAAACAAAACCAAACCCTGGGCTTACGTAGCCGATAGTAAAAAATTCACCAAAATAACCACCCGATTACAGTTTCATGCAATGTGATAGGAGTAAGGGACCACCATAGGGAGGTCAGAAGGTGCTTTTCAGAGGTGGAGACTACAGCTGTTCTCAGAAGAATAGGGGTTAGAAGAACCTTCCAGGCACAGAGCAAAGCATGAGCAAAAGCTCTGTGGAGGCCAGGAAGCTGGTAAATAGGGAATAAAAGAGGCCAGTTTGGCTGGAGCAGAGAGAGCAGAACGGAACTGGTCTGAGTAGTGAGAAGAGATGAAGAAGTGGGCAAGGCGCCTGGCCATTCGGGGCTTGGTTAGTTAGGAGGTTTTGTCTAAGAGAATGGGAAGGTGTTTAAGTGCTTTAGGCTGGGAAGTGACACGGTCACATTATATTTTGGAAAAGCCACTCTGCCTGTTGTGTTGAGATTAGAGAGGCGATAAAGGGGATATGGGTAAACCACAAGAAGACTAGGTCAGTAGTCCCTCGACCCTCACTCCCCAGGTGAAGGCAGCCTAGACTAGGGTGGTGATGGAGGAGATAGAAGAGGACAGATTCAAGGAAAATTTGGAAGGTAAAAACCAGTAGGATTTGCTGACGGATGGAGTATAGGAGGGGAGAGGTAGATTATCAGGGATGTATCTTAGTTTTCTTATACAAGATAGATTCAGTTGCAATGAAATTGTTAATTGAAATTGACTTTAAATAATGGCATGACCTAAAGTTATGCAAACATTTGCCTTAGATAAAATATCAAGTTTTCAAAGTTTTTAGCTGGGTGGACGGCATGGCTTTACTTCCTATTTCTTGGTATTCTAATCCTGTTGAAAAAAAAAGTTTTTCTTTTTCTCAAAGGCTTATTTCAGTGGAAGCCCATCTGCAAAATCTGTTAATAAATTTAAATTAGAAAATAACTACAAGTGCCATTGACACGTTGGTTATTCTTTTTGAGAGTGACCTAAGGCCACCTCTGGGAGAGCTGGGGGCTCTTCTGAAGCCTGCCCGACTGCACCGCGTGCCCGTGCCTGGAAGTCAGACTCGGGGCGGTGCGGCAGCGCGAGGCCTGCAGTCCTAAGCGCGGGGTCGCTCCAGCCCCAGAGGGGGTGTGTCTCCTGCCTCTTCAACCTGGCAGGGGCTGTTCAAGTGGCCGGGGAAACCAGCGATTTGGAGGGTCGAGGGCTGGTGCTTTGAAAGACAGGCGGAGGGGAGAGAGGGATTTCCCCGTCCCCGCTGCACTCGGTCCTTCCCCTGGGTTACTCCTTTTCTCCGCCTGCGCGGCCCCTAACCTGCTCGAACCCGTTGTGCAGAAGAGGCCGCCGGGTCCCTTTAAGGCCCCGCCGCGCCTGCGCCTTGGGTTATCCTGACACGCCCATCGGGAGCCTGAGGAGCCAGTGGGCTGCAGGCGCAGGCGCAGGCGAGGGGCTGGGTGGCGGTTGAGACAGCGGCGGTACTGGGAGGCGTAGGTGAGGGTCGCGAGGCTGCCCGAGCTTCTGAGCGAGCGCGGTGCTTTTGGGAACGCGGGACGGGCGATCTGCGGCGCCAGGAGCTGGGCCGAGGCGCGGCGGCGCGGCTGCCGGCTGCCCTGTGAATGGGAAGTTACGCGAAGTCCACCCAGCGTTTCTGAGGTGAGGGCGCCGCGCCAGGCTGGGCGGGCGGTGAATCCGGGACCCGCGGGCGCACAGCTGGGTCGAGGCGCGGCCGTGGCAAGTTTGGTTGCGCGAGCGCGGGGGCGGGTGGGGGGTGTGGGGGGTCATGCACCGCCGGGGCCTGTGTTCCCCGCGCTGGATTCTTCGCCTGCCGCTGCCGCCCGCAGCCCAACTCTCGTGGGCGCTGGGGAAGAAACTCGCTGGCGGGTGTTCTGTGGCATCCCAGGGGGTGGAGGGACGGAGCAGCTTCGGGGGCACGTCCTCCTATATCCTGTAGAGGACACTGACCCCGCACCCCACCCTCCAGGCCAGAAATCCGTTCCCTCTGCGGACCTGAGAGGCGAGCGCGCTCGCGCCCCTGACTTGCAAAGTTGGGGTCTTTACTGGCCTCCGGGCTTCTGCTCCTGGCGGTGTCTCCAGGCTGGTGATGGGCAAGCCAGGTGTGCCAGCTCCAGGATGCACATGAGCAGCATTTGTAGCCATCGCTGAATCACCTCCTGACTAGCGGGGCAAGCCTCAAATGAACCGCAGGATTTCGGGTAGATTGGATTGTGGGGTTGCTGTTTGCACTCCAAAGAGTTGCTGTGATTTCCCTGCGTCTGGCTGGCTGGCTGGCTTCTTAGATCATCTCATGTGGCGTCCTTTCAGCGGAGAGTTAACCAAGACGTTTGGCCTGGCTTCCTTGTTTTCCTCCTATCTTTTGCTTAGAGCTGCTTTCGAAAAGAAGTCTTTTCTGGCAGTGGTATCTTTTCTTTGGGTTACAGTGTTGTTCATCCTTTCTTTGCCAAAAGAATGAATCCCAGTGCTTCAGGAAGTTAAAGAAAAGATCTGCTGGTAGTGTTCTGAGCTGATATGCGTTAGTAGCTTTTTGTTTTTAAATTCTATTGGTAAAATTTCACTAGTGAACCAGAAGCTACTTTTTCTATTCTGAAATGCTAGCTTTAAGATTTCTGAGAACTTTGCGTCAAAGAAATCTTGGAAAAGTTACTGAAGTATACAGAAGTTCACAATTTTACATGTGCAGGTGGCCCGGGCGCAGTGATCACACCTGTAATCCCAGCACTTTGGGACGCCAAGGTGGGTAGATCACTTGAGCCCAGGATTTCCAGACCAGCCTGGGCAATGTGGCAAAACCCTTTCTCTACTAAAAATACAAAAGTTAGCTGTGTGTGGTGGCGTGTGCCTGTAGTCCCAGCTACCCGGTAGGCTGAGTTGGGAGGATCACCAGAGCCCGGGAGGTTGAGATTGCAGTGAGCCGTGATCATGGCAGTGCACTCCGACCTGGATGGCAGAGTGAGACCCTGTCTCAAAAAAAAAAAAAAAAAAAGTAATGAATTTTTACCAAGTGAACCACCACAGATCAAGAAATTCAACATTACTAGTCTGGGGTATATTTGTAGGGGTGGCATTGTTGGTTTTAGAGGTATATGAATGATAAAACTTTAGTATTACATATTGTTGAACATTTTCCCAAAGTAGTTGTACCATTTAGCAGGGATATGCTGGTTACCCCACATCCTCGCTGATACCTGTCAGTTAAAAATTATTTTGCCATTCTAGTAGGGGTGCAGTAATATATCAGTGTGGTTTCATTGAGATTATCTTTTATTGCCATTTATATGTCCTCTTTTGTGACGTGCCTGTTAAATCTTTTTATCCAGTTTTCATTGATATGCTTGTTTTCCTGTTGATTTGTAATACTTTATTCTGGATATGCCTCCTTTCTAGGATTTATATGTATTGCATTTCCCTTTTTTCAATCTGTAGCTTGCGTTTTCACTCTTTTATGGTGTTTTTTCATGAAGGGAGATTCTCTTTTTTTTTTTTTTTCTTTTTGAGACAGGATCTCACTCCATCGCCCAGGCTGGAGTGCAGTGGCACAATCACAGCTCACTGCAACCTTGACCTCACAAGGCTCAGGTGATCCCCCTGCCTCAGCCCCCAAGTAGCTGGGACCTACAGGGGAGTACCACCACACTCAGCTGTTTTCTGTATTTTTAGTAGAGATGGGTTTTGCCACGTTGCATAGGCTGGTCTGGAATTCCTAGGCTCAAGTGATAACCTGCCTCGGCCTCCCAAAGGGTTGGGATTACAGACATGAGCCACTGCACCCAGCCTGAGATTCTTCATTTTAATGAAATTATACTTTATCAATCTTTTCCTTTATGGTTACTGCTTTTTGTGTCCTGTTTAAGAAATCAATGCCTAACCTAAGAGTATGAACACATTTTTCTGTGTTAACCTTATAACGATTTTATTTTAGTTTTTGCATTTTTTTTTTCAGACAGGGCCTCAGTCTATTGCCCAGGCTAGAGTGTGGTGGCAGGATCTCAGCTCACTCAACCTCCATCTCCTGGCTCAAGTGATCCTCCCACCTCAGCCTCCTGAGTAGCTGCGACTATAGGCATGTGCCACCATGCCTGGCTAATTTTCATATTTTTTGTAGAGATGGGGATTCAACATATTTCCCAGGTTGGTCTCGAAGTCCTGGGCTCAAGTAATCTGCCCGCTTCAGCCTCCCAGAGTGCTGGAATTACAGGTGTGAGCCACCCCACCTGGCTATGATTCACTTTTTACTACATGGATGTGTCTGCTTGATCCAGCACCATTTATTGAAAAGACCATCCTTTTCCTTCCGCACCATGTGGCACTTTTTTTCATAAATCGAATGACTGTATGGTCATCTGATTTATGAAATTAGTGTGGGTCTGTTTCTGTTTCTGGACCAACTTGGGTAACATAGTGAGATCCCATCTCTACAACAAATAAAAATAATAAATAAACGAATAAAATTTAAAAAATAAGTGCGTAGAGCAGATGGAGTCATAGGTGATAATTTATAAATGATTGCCAGTTTCTTGGCTACATATGGGTGTTGGTAATTCAGATGTGTTGGGTGTTCAGGCAAAACGTATTAAGTGAATTATATGGTGTTCAGAATGATTGCTAGATGTTCATTGTGACTTGAGTTAGATGTTATTTGAGCCTCACAGAGCTACAGTTTTGACTCTTTTATTTATTTGTCTTTTTAAAATTTTTACAATCTTCCTGTCAAGGCAGTAACTCTTTTATACTTAATTGTTCTTAAGTATACTTAATTACCAGAAAAGCTTTATGGATCATACCTAAATAAGTGTTAAGCCATTTAAAGGGCTCACGTGCTGTGATATAAACAATAGTATTCTACATAATAGTTTTAGGACTACATCAAATAATTTTTTTTTTTTCTTGAGACAATGTCTCGCTCTGTCACCCAGGCTGGAGTGCAGTGGTATGATCATGGCTCTCTGCAGCCTTGATCTCTCAGGCTCAAGCACTCCTCCCACCTCAGCCTCCTTAGTAGCTGGGTCTACAGGCATGCACCACTGTGCCCGGCTAATTTTCTCCTTTTTGTAGACAGGGTTTTCCTGTAGTGCCCAGACTGGTTTCAAACTCCTGGGCTGAAATGATCCTCCCACCTTGGCATCCCAAAGTGTTGGGATCACAGGCATGAGCCATCACACCTGGCCATTTTAGTTTTAATAATTTTTATATTTTTCTAATTTAAAAGATGTACTAAAATCTCTTACAGCTATTATTTATGAATATAGTATTCATTGTTGTTATTATGATGATTTTGTATGTGTTTAATCTGATTTTCAACATAAGCTCCTGGCAATTAGAGATTTTGTCTCTTTGATTCACCAGTGTATTCTCAGTACTTGACCTTGCCTGGCATGAAACAGATATTGAATAAATATTTCTTAAATGAATGAATGAATGAATGAACATACTAATACCATATTCAACAACCTCCGAGTATCACAGTTTTCACCATCTAACAAGTAAAGTAGCTTGTATAGAGTAGAGTCACAGTCAACCTGCCATAAAAGGACATGTCAATGAAAAATAAACCTTCGTATGTGCAGCTGCTAAGATTTTGGGGCTTTTGTTACCGTAGCATAACCTAGCGAAAGCTCAGAGAGACAGCATATACAATATACGTGTACAGATAGACCAGCTAGACCAGTAGATGAGATTCCAACGATACCTTAATAAGCATTAACTAACGACACCCACACTCTCTTAATTCCCTAACAGAAATAATGGAATTCTTGTTCACTAAGATCTGCCTCAAATATTACTTACTTTGTGAAAACTTCCCTGGCTACTCTAGTATTTAGTCAGGACTCTTTATTTTTTTCCCCCCAGGCTGGAGTACAGTGGTGCCATCATAGCTCACTAACCGCTAACTGAAGGCTCAAGGAATCCTCCTGCCTCAGCCTCCCAAGTAGCTGAGACTACAAGTGTGCACCACCATGCTCAGCTTATTTTTCCTTTTTTCTTTTCCCAGACGGGGTCTTACTATGTTGCCCAGGCTGGTCAGGACTGTTGATTACATATGACAGAAACCCAACCACCTCTAGTTCCCACCACCTTTCAACCTGCTCTTCCCTGGGTCTTCCCAGTCTCCGTAAATGGCAGCTCCATCCTTCAAGTTACCGAAGCCCTAAATCTCAACGTTAACCTTGATTTCTCTCTTTTGTCTCACAGGCAATCTGAAGGCAAATCCTGTTTAGACCCAGGCGAAGGTTCCCGGTGACCCGGGCTCTCACCAGCCAATTGTCCCTTGCCGTCCTCCTGAGGGTGCCTGGAGCTTAAGCACTGTGTGCTCTTGGCCTCCACACTGGGGATGCCGCTGACTCCCACTGTCCAGGGCTTCCAGTGGATTCTCCGAGGCCCTGATGTAGAAACTTCCCCATTGGGTGCACCAAGAGCAGCCTCACATGGTGTGGGCTGACATCAAGAGCTGCCAGATCCAACAGGTAAAAATCCCGAGGCATTGCCAGCTCAGTGGGGTCAGAGAGTCCTCTTTGTATTATGACTCAGATGTGAAGGGAAGATGTCAAGGTCCCTAAACATCGCAGGGCCTTGCTTGGCATGCAACAGATATTAAATAAATATTTGTTAAATGAATGAACAAATATCCACAGCATGTGCTGCCCATGAGCTGCAGTGCCGTGGTCAGGTAGAAGTGATTTTACTTCAGGAGAGGACAGTGTTCTCTCCAGGACTTTTCCTTACTAGCTAGATCTGCATCCCTCTCCTCACTCTTCCCCTCTCACCCCCCATTCTCTGCCCCCATTTCTCTCTGTTTCCACCCTACTGTCCCCTTTCACCTGCTTTCTGCTCTTCAGCTTTGGTGGCTCACCCCCTCCCTGTCCACCTGCATCCCCCAGGCTAAGGCTCCTACACTGTCCTGGGTGGGGAGATGTGTCTGGTTTTAGGCAGTGCCCTCTGGATGTGTCCAGGATGGGGAAACATGGCTCAGTTGCCAGTATAATGGGTTAAAAGTGGCCACTTTTGAAGGCCTTTCCCATCTCCCATTCCAGAATCCTGTAGACTTAGAATTTATGGGCCACAGTGGAATTCTTGGTTCCCCAGGACCTTGTGGTGGACGTCTTCTTTCACTGAGCATTCATGGGGTGACTATGAGGTAGTAGGCCCTGCTCTGGGCTAGAGGCCCCACAATGAGTAAATCTCAGGTCACTACCCCATGGAACCCACTACTGCAGGCATTGAGAGGGGGAGAAAGAAAGGGGCATGGCCTGTTTGTGTTCTTCTCATGTGGTCACCCACAGGTCCTGGGAGAGTAGGAGCCAGTGCAAGGAGAGAAGTCCATTGAGAAAGGCAAATGGATGACATCAGACCCAGGGGCTGAGGTCCCCAACTGCAGCTGGGTAGCTTCTGGAGTGGACAAGGAGCAACAGGGAAGTTCGTGGCCTGGTGTTCTGGGATCCACTGTCTCATCTCATTCTTGTGGGCACCAGAACGTATCCAAAGACAAGACTCAGTGTCTCTGGCAACAGTGAGCCAGAGATAGAATGTGTTTCAGAGGAGGAGGAAGGGGTTGTTGTACCCCATGGAAACAGTATATTGTTTTACAGTAGCGTGTCTTTCTCTAATAACTACTTAGCGTGTTCCTGTTAATGGAAAATATTGGTGGTGTAAGTTTCCCCACTGTTCTCATCTTCATGTAAATTTGTTCATTTCCTTCCTTCCTTCCTTCCTTCCTTCCCTACTTCCCTCCAACTCTCTTTCTCTCTCTTTTTATTCTTTCCCTCCTTCCCACCCGCCCTCCATCCCTCCCTTCCTTCCTCCTTCCCTCCTTCCCTCCCTTCTTTCCTTTCTTCCTTTCTTCTTTTCTTCTTCTTTCTCTCTCATGCTCTCTCTTTTTCTTTCCTTTTCATTCTCTCTACTTTTTTGAAGAGATCACACTGTACTGAAACCTACATTATTTTCCAAAATCTCTGGATCTGCTTCTGTCTTGCAGGCAGAGAGCTCATCCAGTAGCCCTTAGCTCTTCCCAGCCCCCTCCTTTGATTTGTGGGTGCCACTGCGGCAGCTGCTGAGTCTCAGTGGTTTCTAGTCTTCACCAAGTTCTGCCCACCCAGATGGTTTTTACCTGTCCTCACCAGAAACCTGCACTGTCTAGATTGCTGAGGCTGCTTCTCCTTAACCGATCTGCTATCTGTATTCCAGGGGCACCCCAGGGTTAGAGGTAAATGGCACAGGCCTTGAAATCTCCAACTGCTCTGACTCCAGGTTGGTGCACTTCAATGCCAAGTACTAACCACACAATTACAGGATGCCACCAAAACCTTGATATGGGGCTGCTGCATCCTAATTAAAAAAAAAGTTAATAGACATTATTTTTTAGAACAGTTCTAGGTTTACAGAAAACTTGAGTGGATAATACAGAGAGTTCTCCTAGGCTCCCCTGTCCTCCAGCACACAATTTTCCCTACTAGTATGTTGTATTAGTGTGGTCCATTCATTACAATTGATGAACCACTGTTGATACGTCATTATCAACTAAAGTCCATAGTTTACATTAGAGTTCATTCTTTGAGTTTCACAGATTATGGGTTTTGGCAATTACATAATGTCCTAAATCCCCAATACAGCGTCATGCGAAAGAGTTTCACTGCTGAAAATTCCCTGTGCTTCACCATTTCACGCGTCCTCCTCTCCTCCACCCCTGACAACCACTCACCATTTTACTACTTCTATCTTTTTGACTTTCCAAGAATGTCCTAGAGTTGGAGTGGTACAGTATGTGGGTTTCCAGACTGGCTTCTTTCTAGCATTATGTACTTTAAGTTCCTTCATGTCTTTTCATGGCTTGATAACTTGTTTTTTAAAATCAGTGAATCAGATTTCCTTGTATGGCTACAACAGTTTGTTTATTCTTTCGCTTGGTGAAAGACATCTTGGGCACTTCCAAGTTTTGGCAATGATGAATAAAATTGCTGTAAGTACTTCTGTGCAGGATTTTGAGTGAACTTAAGTTTTCCAAAGTGACTGTACCCTTTTGATTTCCACTAGCGATGGAAAGTTCTGGTTGCTCCTCATCTTTGACAGCATTTGGTGTGTTCACCTTTTTGAATTTTAGCCATTCTAAACAGCTTATCTGCCCCTACTGTGGAATGATGTGACAGACATAGAATAACACTTACAGTGATTCTAGTTCAAAATGAGGCAACATGGAAGGGATAAAGAAGTCACTGACCCAAAATAGTTTGGAAATGGAGCTGGGCAAAATCCAGCAGAAGTTTCTTAATTAGGATCGACAGCCTGGGACCGGCCCGCCGTCCTGTGGGTCTTTGCCTCTGGGCTGTCTGCTGTGCATTTCTTGGAACCATTATTATTTATCTTTTTTTCTCACACTTTTTTGGGTATGGCTTCTATCGCACTCCAAATGTTTTTGAGATTCATCCATGTTGTTCTGTGTGTCACCAGTTTGTTCCTTTAGCCATTCCATGGAATGAGTGTATCACAGTTTATTGATCCATTCTTGTATTGACAGATACTTGAATGTTTCCAGTTTTTTGTATTATGAATAAAACTGCTATGAACATTCTTGTATAAGTCATTTTCTGGACATAGGTTTTAGTTTCTCTTGGATAAATGCTTAGGAATTACTGAGTCATAGAATAGGTAGTTGTTTGTTTCTGTAAGAATATGCCAGATATTTTTTCCCAAAGTGCATATGCTGTTGTACCTTCCAACCATTAGTGTACGAAGGTGAGAAAGCTTTTGCTCCTTCCAAAGAGGCCTCTCTATATACATGTAAATTTTTCTAACTGGAGATAGGCTGGTGACTTCAGGGACATGAGCATGGGATACAGGACACCTGTCATGACCACCACCATGAAATTGGGATTCAGGAAGGAGGCTAGTCATATAAGGAATCCTGTGACCAGCATGAGCTTCTATCAGGCCACACAGGGCACTCAAGTGAACAGGGCATATGGGGTCCTGGGGTCATGGTGAGAAAGTGTCTCATTGGTAAAACCTTTTCCCTTGGGGAGGTAAATAAATTCTTGGTTCCTTCTTGGTAGCCCTTGAAGATAAGGATGGTCAAACAAAATAATATTATATCTGCAGAAAGTCAGATCTTGGTAAGATTTACTAGTTGGGAATCCAATGTTAATGCCAAGAAGCAGCTGCCAGTTGGGATCAAATGTGAGCCTATGGATCAAGGTGCGTACTCAAACACAGAGAGCTTTTTAAAAGATGCTACCAGCAGTTTTTCCAGGGCAGAGATGGGTCCTTTATTTTTCTCTCTAATCTAGCCCATATGCTTAGCTGAGAAGGTTTCTTCATATCACTTTAAATGATGATGTCCTTGTACAACAATTTTCGAAACATTCTTTAGATAAGAATTTTATGGGCATCCTTTATTGCATTAGGCTCAAATTTCATGCATCTTAAGGTTTTATTGCAAAGTGTTGCCTTGTTTCCTTTTTAAGATGATACAATTTGTAACACGCAAGTTTGCTGTCTGTCCCCTCCCTTTATGTACATATAAAATGAGCAAACATGTGGCCATGAAACAGATGGTCATAGAATTGGTTCAGTGGTTGTGAGTTCAGCAACCCAAGAGAGTCTTATCTGAAATACCACCAGGAATGCCTGGACACAGTAGACAAAAGTTGTTCAACTGGACGCCTTAGGATACACACTACCAAAAACAAAGTAGCCAAAAAGGAACCAGAATAACAGAATATCAGAGCCAGAGGAACATTTGGAGGTAATTCAGTACCTCCTCCTTTTCAACCTACAGGAGAGATAGTGGAACAGAAGCAGAAATGGGCCTGCCTGCTGTGCCCAAAATTCATTGGAGATTGTTGTGGTGAAGAATTTCATTTATGATGAAGGAGAAATAAACCCTGTCAGCTTAAATTCAGGCAGGTTTATTGAAAAGGTGAAGAAGCGTCTTGCAGAAGCAAAGCATGGCTGAGGCTTGTGGGCTCTGTCTGGGAAAATGAGCAGCTGACAGTGGCTGATGCTGCCCCTGACTCTGGGGCCATGTGGTCTCTTGTTCCCTGAGAGCATCTCTTCTATTCTCTTGCATCTTCCCTCAGCCTGGCAGTCTCTGTGTACTCTGCAACACATAATTGAGCAAGGCTGTGCCAGCCCCAGTGCCACCTGGCACTTTAGGTCAAATTAGAAAGGCATGAAATAAAGTGGCCCTTTATAATACAGCTGTTGGAACAACAGTTGGAAGTACAATATCTTGACTCCTTATTTAGTGCTTTATGCTGAACTTTCTTTTCTGAATATGAGCACAGACTTCGGAATATTAATGTCACCTAGCGTTCTTAGCTAGTATTCTCCTTTTGTTTTCCCATAACATCCCCTCCTTCTTCCCACAGATCCACTGTCCACTCATTTCCATCCTGTCTCATGCCACTCGGGGCTCGTCCCTCCTAGAATGCATCCCTGGCTCCCGTGCGTGCACACTTCTAGTTAGGTTTAGCAATGGAGGGCCCCCGATGGATCCTGGAAGTGAGAGGAAGGTGAGGTCCGTATTTCTTCCCTGTCCCTCCCTGCTCTGGCACTGAGTATCTGGCAATAGCTGCATCTGTCTATTACTTCAGTGGCCACTCTTCCACAGCCCCAGTTCTCAGTGGGTCCCATAGCATTATTTACCTTTGTTCCTTTAGCTCCCATCAAGGAAGATCCAGAGACATTCTCCTCACCAAGGCGTTAAGAAATGCACAGGTGAGGGGAACAGCGGCATGCGTTTAAAAGTCCTGTGGCGCCCATCCTCTGCAGGCTGGAGGTCATGGCGGGAGCTGCTGCATGGATTTGCCCTCCCTGCTGTCAGTGAGAACAACAGGGTTCTGGAAGAGTAGAGGACAGGCCGTGGGACTTGGCCATCTAGAGACAAGGCGGGAGGGATTTCCCTGAGAGGCAGGGATATGTGGTGGTTACTAATCATTCGAATCATTGTGAGGTGTCTGGGAATGTAATGGATGGGACATCTACTAAGAAATCAACTTACGTTACACTTAGAAAAGCTCTAGTTCTGAGGACAGAGACCTGATGGAGTCACCATAGTGGGAATTTATGACCTGGCATCCAGTTCAGATACCTGGAGCTTCTTGACTGAGGGGAGATTGGATCCCTTGAGGAAGAGTGAAGCCTTCAATGCTGCCACAAGTGTATGCTGTAAATCTTCCTTCAGGCCTTCCCCAGAAGGCCCTGAAGCCATTTATGTGGGTGACTGAAGAAAGGGAAATACTCAGAGCTTCTGTGGCTTGTTGGATGCTGGCTCTGAAGAATGCTAAACTGAGGGCCCTGCGGTGGCCATGAAAATGCACTACTTGCATCTCCAGCTGCAGGAGGCCTAACGAATCAGCAGCCTCAGCTGCTACCCTCCGAATGGAGGACTTGATGACATTTCCCCTGGATCTGCACTAGCCCGTGAGGAGGAAAGCCTCCTATCAAGTCCTCCCAACAGAACACCCATGATGACTCATGAGGATGTTGAAGGTGTTTTCCTGTGGCAACTGTGAGTGTCTTTCTTCAAAGTCTGTTTTGTTCCTGCACATTAACTGATTTATATAAAATAAGAGAATAAATGCCTAGACTCCCATGAGTCTATCTTTTACTGATAAACTCTAGTTCTGAGGACAGAAGCCTGATGGAGTCAGTATAGGGGGAATTTATAACCTGGCATCCAGTTCAGAGACTTGGAGCTTCTCGACTGAGGGGAGATCGGGTCCCTTTGGGGAAGAAAGAAGCCTTCAATGTTGTCACAAGTGTATCCTGGAAATCTTCCTCTAAGCCTTCCTAGAGGGACCTGATAACATGACTTATGATACAGTGACCCCAAATTCAGGGTGTTCTTGTCTACTGTCAAGAATGCAATATCTTATTCCTCTGAATTGAACGTAGTACCAATATTTGTGTGTAGCTATGCACCTTAATAGACCATAGCTAATTAGATGAGGAACGGTAGACCCAATTCAACCATACAGGCATCAACCATATCAGCATACAGGCATCCCTCTCCCACCGTTTCCTTCTTGTCCCCACTCCAAAGCCTTCTCCATTTTATTTGTATTAATTTTCTATTGCTGCATACTAAATTACTGCAAGCATTAGCGGCGTAAAATAAGAATGATTTATTTTCTTGCAGTGTCCACAGATCAGAAGTTCAGGCCTGGATTCTCTGGGTCTTCTTCTCAGGGCCTCACAGGCTGAAATTAGGCTGGGTTTCTTTCTGGAGGTTCTGGGGAAGAACTTCCTCTCAAGTTTCCTCAGGTTGTCAGCTGAGTTCAGTTCCTTGTGACTGTAGGACTGAGATCTCTGTTTTCTTGCTGGCTGTCAGCCAGGGGCCTCTCGCTGCTCCTAGAGGCCTCCCATGTTCCCACTGCATGCTTCCTCCAGCCAGCAGAGGAGGATCGCCCTGCATGGAAACCCTCCTGCACTTCACATCTCTCCAGGAAGTCCTCAGTCCCTCCAAGGAACTCACGTTCACTAGGTCAAGCTCATCAGATAATCTGTCTATCTTAAATTGGACCGATTTGGGATCTCGATTACATCTGTTAACTTGTTTTTGCCATAAATTGTAACACAATCACAGGAGTGACATCTCCTCAGTAGCTTTGTCTACACTCAGGAGGAAGTGATTATATAAGAGCAAAGATCACTGGGGGTCATCTTAGGATTCTGTCTACCATAATATTATAAAGACACAGTAATTAAAAGAGTATAACAGATTTCTGCTTCTGTCTGTTAGAATAAATCATATCAGACTAACCCTGCCTCCATAAACAAACGTAAAATTGTTTTCAGCAGTGTACAACAGGCAGTCCAAGAGAAAACTTAAGGGGGAAGCCCCATGATTTCCTAGTTGTTTGGGGAGAATTTCTCAGCAGCTGCATAGTGAGCTAGAGTCCACTCAGGGCAGGGCAGCTCACTGAGCTGAGAAGGCAGAGATCAGAGTTCAAGACGGCTGAAGCAACTGCAATCTGCAGGGCAGGGCACCAGTGAGGAGACAGCTGATCAAAGGTGCAGCTCTCAAAGTCTATGTGGGGTTCCATGTGCATACTTATCAAGGAGTGGACTCTACCTGCACAAGGAAAAGACTAACAGATTTAACAGAGGGGTGGCTGCTATGAAATTGAGTTTGGACCAGAGGTACTTGAGGTGGAGGAGGGTTGGGGAATGTATGATGGAGTTTCTGCCATCCATGGTGGGAAGAACTGATGCACACCTCATTAGCACCCAGGTATCCAACTGAGACACTAGAATGGATGTGCTTTAGGAATAAGTGTCACACTTTTCAATAAGGCCTATTGTAGACCAACCTGCTAAAGCCTAAAAGCAAACCCTGACAAATTCACAAAGGGGTGGATTGGTGATTGAGTCCTGCCAAATTAGAGGGTCTTGGGAAATGCTGTGGGCTTTCCATGAATCCGTTGTAATAAAACATAAACCAGTCCACATAAGTCCAAAGTGATCAGACAGTAATTTTACTGCCCACTAGAACAAAATTAATTCACACAATCAATGACACATGTTAGCCAGGTCGATATTTAAGCAAAATACATCTAAGAACAGCTAACAAATAACTCTTCTCAAACTCACATAGAGCATTCAGCAAGATAGACCACATGTGCTGAGCCATCGTTAGTATTTTCTGTCCTTTCTCTTTGACTCGTGTATAGTGTGCTCAAACTCTTAAAATTATACACTTTAATGATTATACACTTTCATGCATCTCAATTGCATGTAAGTTATATTTCAATATATTTGTTAAAAGTTTATAATTAAAAAAACTGTCCTAGCTTGATTCAAGAAATCTTTTTTATATTTAAGAAAATGTAATTTATGTATTATCAGGGCAAAAGAGAAAAACCATATGATTACCTTGTCATACACAGTAAAAGCATTTGGCACAATTGAAAACTTTTTTCATGATTTATAAAAACAAACCCCAGAAAACTCTCAGCATGATAAGAAGAGAAGGCAACACTTTCAACCCTATTAAGGGTAGATTTGAAAAAAACTCAGAGGTAACATTATATTAAATGGCATAGGATTGAATGCTTTTCTATTAAATCAGAGAAAAAAGTAGAATATCTGTTGTTATTCTTTCAATTCAGCATTATACTAGAGATCTAAATCAATGCAATAAAGTAAGAAAAATAAATAAAAGTATTGAAAAGATTGAAAAGAAAGAATTGAAGCTGTCTTTATTCACAGATAATGACTGTGTATGTTAATAATCCTAGAAATCTATAAAAATCTGCCAAAAGTAATTAGTGAGTTTGGTAATGTTGCAGAATATAAGCTCAATAGAAGTAGTCTTTTGTATTTCTGTGTATTAGCAATGAGCATTTGGAAAATGAAATAAAAATACAATTTCATTTCAAGTAACATCTAAATACATGTTGTGCTTAGAAATAAATTCAACAGGCTGGATCCGGTGGCTCACGTGTGTGTGTGTGTGTGTGTGTGTGTGTGTGTGTGTGTATGTGTGTGGGTGGGTGTGGGTGTGTATATTCACCTTTTTGAAGATTATCTATCGTTATCTCCAAACAGGGAACATTAAGAGAACATTAAAAGAAACCACAATATAGGAGATATATTTATTTCCAACAAAGGGGTTTTTTAGAGTGTATTTGTATATATATATGTATGTATATATATATAAGTTTAATAAGATAAACAGCACAATGAAACAATTTCTCAAAAGAGTTGAATAGGTACTTAAGAAAAGAAGATACATGAATGGTCAATTAGCATAGGAAAAGATGCTCTACAGTTTAGCCATCAGGAACATCAATCAATACAACAATGAGATACCAGTACATGTCCTGTACATATGAGATACCAGTACATATCTGGTGCCTGGGATTACAGGCACCGGCCACCATGCCTGGCTAATTTTTTGTATTTTCAGTAGAGGCAGGGTTTTACCATGTTGGCCAGGCTGGTCTTGAACGCCTGACCTCAGGTGATCTGCCCGCCTCAGCCTTGCAAAGTCTTGGGATTACAGGCATGAGCCACCAGGCCCAGCCAAAATGATTCCATTTTTATGAAGCACATGATCAAGCAAAATGAATCTATGGTGGCTGCTAAGTTTAAATATTGGTCCCCTCCAAATCACATGTTCAAATGTGGTCCCCAGTGTTGGAGGTGGGGGTAAATGGGAGGTGTTTGGGTCATGGGAGTGGATCCCTCATGAATAGATGAATCCCCACCCTGGGAGAAGGTAGTGAGTGAATTCTCACTCTCTTAGTTCCTGTAGGAGCTGGTTATTAAAAAGTGCCTCTCACCTTTCCTTGCTCTCTTTTGCTTCCTCTCTCGCCATATGATCTCTGCACACCCTGGTTCCTTTTCACCTTCTGCTGCAAGTGGAAGCAGCCTCAGGCCCTCATTAGGAGCAGATGCGGGGGCCATGCTTCTTGTACAGCCTGCAGAACTATGAGCAAAAGGCACCTCTTGTCTTGATAACTTACCCAGCCTCTGGTATTCCTTTCCAGCAACACAAAGGGGCTAAGGCAGTGACAACATTCAGAATATATTCTTCATTTGGGGGATGAGTATTGACTGGCAAGGACCACATCAGAACTTTGTGGCATGGGGGAAAATGTTCTCTGTCTTTAACTGGGTGTTACTTTACAATTATAATTATATTAAAATTTATTAAGCTGTGCCTTTAGGTTTTTTTGCAGTATACTCTACGCAAATTTTACCTCAGTGAAGAACTGTTAGCATACAACAGACAGATAACAAACACTCAAAAATGTGAAAATTGACAGAAAATAGGTAACAAATATTTAGCATATAAATAAGAGGGATCCGTTGAGAAGAAACCAAAAGCAACGGAATAGAACAAAGACAAAAAAGTATAATAAAAAGAGTTTTAAATTTCAAAGTTTGAAACGATATTAAAGTGGCACACTGTTTCCTTGGGAAAATCAAGTGAGAACCACAAGTCTGAGACTAATTCCAGCAAAAGTATGTAAATCAGTTTGATCTAATGGTACAAGGTTAGCTTTGAAGGCCAAAAGGAACGGATATCTAATTCTTACTCCTCTCCTCACTAGTTTTGTGACCTAGGGAAATTTTGCAATCTTTCTGAGTTTGTTTTCTCATCAGGAACAGGATAATACCTAAGTAACAGGATAGTTGACAGATTTAAATATGATCGCATGGCGGTGGACATGAGCCGTAATTAGTTGTTAAGAATATATTGACACTGAACTCTCCTTTATCCATGTTAAAATTGTAGATAAACAACAATTGACAAAGAATAGACAAAATGTTCTAACATAAATATTCTTCCCTTGTTTCTAGAAAGAAGTCACACATACGGTAAAAATAATTAGAGAGGACCTAGTTCATATTGAACAATCTTCCCCAAAGCCTGAAACAGGTCTTCTTTCTAACACCAGAGATATCTTGAGTGAGTCCAACCCCTGCAGTCCCCTCTGTCTGGAATAGATGGAGGAAGTTTGCTCCAGCCTTAGAAGAGCATGGGCTGGCAAGCGTTCTCAGAGAGGTCTCGACTTCAACTCTAAAGGGCCTGAGGAATATGTGCAACTGGGTCGGGTTAAGGCCAAGCTGAATCACATGACCAGGGCTCTCACCAGCGCCAAAGTCAGTGGAAGGATATCAGTCCCCAGAGCTCTGTCACAGGCCATGGATGCTCCATGGAGGGGTGGTGAGCATATGAATAACAATCAAGAGAAACATCGGTAATGGACAGGAGGCATCAATAAACAATGTCCACCCTCCTCTAAAACCCAGGAAAGTTCTCATTCAAAAGACGATGTCTTGAAGGAAACCTAGGTACAAATCTTTGTGATTTTGGATTAGACATTTTTTAAGTAGGCACAAACAACCGAAAAATAGATAAATGGACTTCATTAAAATAAAAAACTTGTATGCTTCAAAGGACACTGTCAAGGAAGTGAAAAGATAATCCACATAATGGGAGAACTATTTCCAAATTGTATGTTTGACACAGGTCTAGTACCTAGAGTGTATAAGGAATTCATATAACTGAGCAATAAACGACAACCACATTTAACAATGGGGAAAAAAAGCTGTGAGTAGAGGTTTCTCTAAAGGAAACACACAAATGGCCAAGAAGCACATGCAAAGATGTTCAATGTTTTTCGTCATTAGGAAAATGTAAATTTAAACCAAAATGAGATACCACTTCACACCCAGCAGTATGACTTAAGAAAACAATAAAGACAACACATGTTTCAAAAGTGATGGAGAATATGGAATTCTCATATATTACTATTGGGAATCTAAAATGATGTAGCTACTGAAGTTAGTAAACAGTGTGTGAGTTCCTCAAAAAGTGAAACATAAAGTGACATATGATGCAGCAATTGCACTCCTAGGTTTATAACCAAGAAAATGAAAAACAGATGTTCACTCAAAAACCTGTACAAAGCTGTTCACAGCAGCATTATTCCTAATAGTTAAAAAGTGGAAACATCTTAAACCACCATGAGTTGATGAATAAACAAAATGTGGTATAACCATATAGTGGAATATTATCTGGCCATAAAAAGTTGAAGTACTGACGCAGGCTAGAAAGGATGAAACTTGAGAACAATATTCTAAGAAGCAGATAGAAAATACCACACTTTGTTATTCCATATAGAGGAAGTGCCCAGAACAAGTACATCAATATATAGAGAAGGTAGATTAGTGGTTGTCAGAGAGCGCAAGAAGGGGGGAATTGGAGAGTGTCTGCCCATAGGTACAGGCATGCTTTTTGGCATTATGAAAATATTCTGGAATTAGGTAGTGGCGATGGTTGCGAAAGTTTTGGAATATGGTAAAAGACACTGAAATGTATGCTTAAAAATGGTGAATTTTGTGATGTATAAATTCTACTGTAGAAATAATAATAACAACAAAAGTAATAAAGCAAGGTGTCTTTCCACATCTCCATGTCCAGTATTTTCATTAAAAAAAAGAAAGAAATAAAAGCATTTCAGGGCCAGGTTCAGTGGCTAACTTCTGTAATCCCAGCACTTTTGGAGGCCTAGGTGGGAGGATCGCTTGAGGCCAGAAGTTCAAAACCAGCCTGAGCAACATAGCAAGACCTTGTCTCTATGAAAAATATAAAATTAGCCAGAAATGGTGATGTGTGCCTAGAGTTCCAACTACTTGGAAAGCTGAGGCAGGAGGATCGCTTGAGCCCAGAAGTTCAAGATTGCCGTGATCTATAATCACCAGTGCACTCCACCCTGGGTGACAGAATAAGACCCTGTCTCAAAAAAAAAAAAAAAAAAAAAAGCATCTCACTTTAATAGTAAGTGGCCAAAATATGATGCTGGCTGCATGTTGTGAGGAAATGTGTTAGATGAAAGAAGTCAAATTCCAGAAGATTTCCTTTTTCTCAGAAATGAGGTATAGGGGAGAGAAGCACTGGTCCACCTGAGATCTGGCTCCAGGACTTACAACAAGGGGAACTTGGGCAAGTTACAGACTCTGTGTGCCTCAGTTTCTTCATCAGCAAAACAGAAAGAATCATCCCATAAACTGTAAGGTCAATGCTGTCAGTGAGTCCCCAAATTGACTGCACATCTGAGTCATGTTAACAAACACATTCCAGGCCCCACCTGAGCCCTCTGAATCAGAATCCCTGCAAGGAGGACAATGAACTTGTATTTGCACTGACTTTCCCAGCTGTTTCTTACTTTGATCAAGTTGGGGGTGGGACCCATTGAGCTGCATCACATCATTCCAAAGCCAAAACACAACAGCAGAACAAGAATATTTTCAATGCGGTCTCTAAAGCGGAGGAGAAACTGTTGAGGGAACCTAGAAGTAAAGGACATCTGGCTTGCTGGGCTCCATTTAAACTTTGAGTATAGCAGAGACACGAGCCCTTCGGGACACATGCCTGTCGCAGTGACACTCCAACTTCGGAAGAGTGGAAGCCCTGATTCCAAATTCAAGCATGCTTTGAGTAGAAATTAAGTTTGCCTCTTTTTGCACAGGAAGATGGCCAATCTTTCCTAAGCTGCTCACCTTACAAGAAAACGAATCGTACTGCTAAGAATTCAAACTTCAGCAGTCATGGGTAAGTAAGGAAGTCTTATAAATCTATTTTAGCCACCTAACAAGAAACTAGAAATTTAGCAAGTTCTTTCACATTCAGGACAGTTGTGTTGACTAGATCAGAGGCACTGAGACATGAAGAACAGACCCCTAAAAAGGGAAAGTGTTCCTTTCAGTTTGAGGACATCACTGGAATATTAGGGAAGTGGAAACACAGCTGCCCACTCTACAGTATGGGTTGCCTTTGTGTCCGGAATGTGCCTAATGTCCTGATCTCTGTGCCCTTTTCAGGGAGCCTTGGAAGGAGCCCGAATCACTGATGGAATTGGACAGTGCATGGAGATGGTTCAGCAGGACAAGGGTAAGTGCAGGGGCAAGTCCAGGTCATACTGAGAGACAACGAGTGGCGCTGACAGAGACAGACAAAGATAAAATCAAAAGTTTGTGCTTCATCTTCAAAAACTCAAACTAATAACAAACTTGGCCTTATGAGAAATAATAAGTATTTTTCTATTTACATGAGAATTTAATCTCAAAACAGGAATCAGAAACATATTAAGTCCAGGGCATAAAACCTAAACCACTGCTCATATTTATTCTTTCTAAATAGAGCAAAGTGTAAAATCTTCTCCATAAAATGCACATTGTGCTTATGAAAAGGCCAGTCTTAGTGAGAATCATTGGTATTCCATAGAAGAGTGAATTAAACACAGCCAAGGGAAGACCCAAGTCTCATACTTCTCTTGTATATTCCAGAGTTCCAGGGGAATTCCAGGTGATAGAGGTGATCTCCCATACTGTTAAAGCAAGGTTGCAGACACTTGGGAATTTTGGTCCCAGTACTCTAGGAGGTCACACCTCTGTCCTGCAAAATACTACAGGAATGTATACTCTTCCTATGACTCATTCTGGTCATTCTTCCAGCATCACAAAAACCAAAAAAAAAAAAAGGAAATATGTCCAAATACATGATTTGCTATCCCTCCTCCAGGTTTCTTACCTGTTACTTACGGATAACAGCATTACCACAGGATTATGATGAAGATACAATGTCCAAATATAAGCACAGTTTTGAGCAAAATGCCTTGTACGAATTGGTCAATGAACAACTAGTAAATAATTATGTGAATATTTACTGAATTATATGGATCCTATGAATAATTACTGAATAATTAATGTGATTGCTTTTATTGGCAGTGCTGAAAACTCATCCCCGTGTGACCTCAAGTAAGCCATGTAACTCTGTGAACCTGCAGTTTTATCATTTTTAAAATAAAGAAACATGACAGATTTTCATTATGACACAGAATGTCAGGTCTCCCAGATGCCAGAAAATACATTTACTTAAAGCCGTTGATACGTCTTAAAGCGGTTTCCTTACAGTGTCATTGGAGGACAGTGTGGAGTGCAGAGAGACATGCTTTGAAATGGGATTGATCCAGTCCTCCTTCCTTCACTACCACATGAATGCTGGGCAGCCCAGGGTCAACCCACCGCACCCTCAACTCAGGCAAGTCCAGCAGCCAATCTTAGGAGACCTGGGCTACAGAACAGTCTCCCAAGTTCCAGGCTCACAAAACCTAGGTGGGGTGAAAGCTGAGAAAGCGAGGAGGTGGTTCAGGGGATCACTCTTTCCTACTCATTCCTCTCATCTCAAACTCACCTTCTACTGCAACACTGAGGATCACCAACCAACCGTGACCATAACCTTGATCTTGCCATGTTCTGTTAGTGGAATGCAACCCAAAATCAATGGTGTTAGGTCATCTCAACAAAATATATATCAAACCATATTGCATAAGAACCGCTCATGGCCCTGTTCTTTTCAGTATATGGGAAAACAAAATGGAAACAACAAAATAGCATCAGGTTTATGAAACTTCCCAAGATAGATGGTCACACATGTTTTCAGGAGATCTCTATATAAATGATTTTGATCACTTGATACCTTGAAAAGAGCTCTTGTGACACTAGAATGACATCCATAAGTGACAAGTATAAAATGTAGCGCTCAGTGACATCAAAAACCAAATCAACCCACATAGAGGAAGAGCTCTGGACATAGGGATGTCAAACTGGTCTAGAGTGTAATGAAAAGCAAAGATGGTGCCCCAGTGAGAAAAAAGAAATCAACATAACAATGGGAAACAGCAAGAAGAATACTGAGACAGGCAAGACAACATTTTTTACAAATGAATTATTCATTCACTTTCTAGTGGATACAGACAAAACTGCAGAAGACCCAGAGGAAATCAGGGCAGGCTAAAAGTTTGATATCTTACACCTGTGGAAAGGCCTTAAGCTCTGTTTTAACTGAGAGCAGGTGGGGTGACTTCATGACTACCATTAAGAAAATACAACCTGTTGGGAAACTGTTTCTGCCTTGATGATGTTGTACAGACAAGAGATAAACAGTGAGGAATATGCTTAGATGTATTGGGAAAGACACGGGTCTGTGGCATCGTCACAAGGGTACACGAATACTGAGAGTGAATGCTGAAGGAATGATCCCCATTGGTGGTGACCCTCAGGTGAGACTAGGGTGCCTGTGTTTCAGGAAAGCCTGGGCAATTGGAATGCAGGGCTCCTAAGATTCCATGACACCCCCACCTTCTAATTCTGTTATTGCAACTGCAGACGGTTACCTGGCACGCTGGCCACAGTCTACCTCACTCTTATCAGAGTCTGAGCTACTGGCAGTGCTTTCAGCTCTGAGTTCAGGCACCTCGAACCTTGTTTTTGTGGTGAAGGATCCTAAAGTGCTGTGGGGAGTGATCACATTTTTCACAACAGTAAGTTAAGAATTTCAGTTACTGACATCCCTCAGTCCTGATGAAACCTATTTGATTTCACCAGTTTTTAACCCATCATATGTTTGGGTTTCTTCTCCCCAGTCCCTGGCTCCACCTCTTCTGCCACAAACGTCAGCATGGTGGTATCAGCTGGCCCTTGGTCCAGCGAGAAGGCAGAGACGAACATTTTAGAAATCAACGAGAAATTGCGCCCCCAGCTGGCAGAGAAGAAACAGCAGTTCAGAAACCTCAAAGAGAAATGTTTTGTAACTCAACTGGCCGGCTTCCTGGCCAACCGACAGAAGAAATACAGTAAGATCTATAGGCTCACCATCATGAAAGTGATGAATGATGTCCTGTCTTCTCTCTGAGACACTAAATGCTCTCTCCATCAAAAATAATTTCATCCTTCCTGTACTTCTAGGAAAACAGAAATGGGTATTTTAACATTTTGTTAAAGTTGGAAGACAGAGGTACCAAAGTATTTAGCAACTTTCCATGTTTGCAATCAGGTGGGGGTGGGACTAGAGTTAAACTCACAGTTATTGATTTCTAACACAGACACAGAACGACCTGTTTTCTCCAAGAGGCTCAATCATGTTTTCAAGAATCCTCTCTGTACCATATAAGATCCTGCAGACAAATAACATCTAGTCTGTTGTTCTAAATGTCTGAGACTAGTGAACTTTTATTCAGTTCAAGTTTCTGTTGAGGCCCAACAGGCAAAGCTCTGTTCTAGTGACTCTGAGGGAAACTTGGTGATAGTAGCCAGTACCTGCTCTGAGGGGCTTCAAGAGGAGTCTGCTCCTAATAGAACCTGTGCTATCTATAAGTGACAGCATCAAGAGCAGGGAGTAGGGGCCGTGCAACGTGGCTCACTCCTGTAATCTCAGCACTTTGGGAGGCTGAGGCGGGCAGAGCACGAGGTGAGGAGTTTGAGACTAGCCTGGGCAACATGGAGAAACCCCATCTCCACTAAAAATACAAAAAGTAGATGGGCGTCGTGGCGGGCAACTGTAATCACCACTAATCGGGAGGCTGAGGCAGAAGAATCCTTTGAACCCAGCAGGCAGATGTTGCAGTGAGCCAAGATTGCACTATTGCACTCCAGCATGGGTGACAGGGCAAGACTCATCAAAAAACAAACAAACAAAAAGATAAATAAAACAAAAATAAAAATAAAAAGCAGAGAGTACCTTGGTGAGAGTGAAGTCCTGCTTCCTGGTGCACAGGCTCTTGTTCCTAAAGAGGAAGAAAGATCACACCCGAGAATGTGTGGAAGCAGCAGTGCAGTGTGCAAAGCAGGGACCCTCAGCCTGTCTCCTGGGCTCCATCCAAGTTGCTTGTCTTGTCTGTCCCTCAGTTTCCTCATCTGTTCAGAGGGTACTACAATAATACCTACCTCTGTAAATTGCTGCAATGAATTACATGAGGTATTTCCTGTCAATCTCCTTGAACATTAATTGGCACAGTGTAAACACTATCTATTAGTTCTTCATTCTGATGTTTCTAAATTAACACAAACTAATCTTATGCTGTTTCTAAATTAACACAACTAATCTAAATCTTGATGCTGCCTGTCATACTAATAAAGTATTTGGGCATATTTCCTTCATGACCTTATGGTGTTATGTGTCACAGTTTATGCTTCAGATATGATTCTTAAAATCATAACTGAAGATATGATTTAAAAATCAAAGATTTTTAAAATCTTTCGCATACTTGTCTTTGAAATTCCCAGTAAAAGGGAAACCGTCAGTCCCATAGTCCTAGGGGCCTTCCCGACTGTACAAGAAATCACTACTTCATGCCCCAGTGCAGTGTTTCAGAAGAGAGGCTGCAAGTCTTGGGAAAGTGGCCCCGCATTCAGAGTCAGACCTCAGGGGCTGTGAGTTCTGACTCCACTTCGTTGTGGTTGAATCATCTTGTCAACTTCCTTGATGTGCCTTGAATTTCTCTTTCTTCGTCTTTAAATTTTGGAGGATAAGATGCCAGAAAGTCAGGAGACTGAAGAGTAAAGATGTGGAAATCCCTGCCTAGAGCCTGGTACTGGGGACAGTTTTGTCCTTGGGATGGACCTGGCTTCTGCCCTGTAGGCAGTGACCACAGCAGCATGTCCAGCCTTCCACTGAGGCAGGCGTGTCTGTCTTTTCTCAGAGTATGAAGAGTGTAAAGACCTCATAAAATTTATGCTGAGGAATGAGCGACAGTTCAAGGAGGAGAAGCTTGCAGAGCAGCTCAAGCAAGCTGAGGAGCTCAGGTGAGGGGACCCCATGGGGGCAGGCAGGGGAGCAGGTGTGTAAATCTCTGAAGTACAGCAGCTCGGTGGGGAGACGTAAGAGCTAAGCTGGGCCAGGGGAAGGGCAGGAATTGCCATGGCAGGCTCGCAACACACAAGTATTTATCAAGCAGAGAAGAAGGATAATAAAAATTTATGGGTTGCAGTTGTTTCTTAGAGCCTTGTTTTCTCTTTTTCAAACAAGTAATTGTTGATGTGAAATTTACATAACACAAAATTAACCAAAGGAGTGTGAACCACACAGCAGCATTCAGTATACTCAAAATGGTGTGCCATCGCCACCCCACTTACCCTTAGTGAGAATCACCTTCTGACTGACTGCGTCTTCTCATTCTTTCACTCAATCAATGTTGCCTTCTCGACCCTGTCATTCTTTTCTTCTTTCGTCTTTTCAATTCGCCCCATCTGCACCTGGCCTCATTTCTGTACATGGCTTTGTATCTAGTGGCCGCAAGATGCACTATGTGTATTTTCACATGGAAATGTCCATGGCCAGAGTGAGGAACTGAAAGGATGTCTTTTTGAAACGGAATTAGGAAGACACCTACTTTTGTTTACAGAAGGGAAAGATGAATGGAACATCATCGAGGATCTTGCAGGAGCCCTCTCTGATACAGAGGAAGCCTGTAAACCATTTTCTATTCTTTCTCTTGGCCACAGTCATTCCTTTCAACATGTGCTGACCTTCTGCTTGGAGGTCTCCTTGAGGACATTGTCTCAGAAATCTCTGTTGCAATATTTGAGCGGATCACTCAACCCTTTCCACTCTTAAATTTTCTCTACCGTCTCACCTTAGGCAATATAAAGTCCTGGTTCACTCTCAGGAACGGGAGCTGACCCAGTTAAGGGAGAAGTTACGGGAAGGGAGAGATGCCTCCCGCTCATTGAATCAGCATCTCCAGGCCCTCCTCACTCCGGATAAGCCAGACAAGTCCCAGGGGCAGGACCTCCAAGAACAGCTGGCTGAGGGGTGTAGACTGGCACAGCAACTTTTCCAAAAGCTCAGCCCAGGTAAGGTGGCCATAGGCCCTGATGACCCAAAACCCCAGGCTTATGAGAGGCTCCAGACCTCCATACTTTCACAATGACAGTTGTATCAGTGGGGTTATTTTCTGCTACACATATGTGGCCATGACATGACCAGGACTTCCTGGGTAAGAACAGAGATGGGAAACCCATGGGGTTGGAGGTCACAGTATTGCAAGTGTCCCTCCTTCCTTGATGGAAGGTGGTCTTTGGAGCAAGAGGCAGCATCTGTCTAGTTTTAAAGGACAGGAAGGAGGCTGTGATGGGAGGGCGCTTGTTGGAGTGAAAAGAGCTCTGGGCTAAGAATGAAGGTTCCCAGGCTGTCTTTTTGGCAATGTTCTTAGTAACTGTCGGTGAGTGAGTGATTTATCTTTCCAGAGTTTCTCTCTCTCCATCTGCAAAGGCAAACAAATTGTCTCTTGCAAGGGTCTGAAGCATCCAAATATGGGAACACTTACGAATGCTTTTTAAAATGAGATGCAGCCCCTCTCCGTTTGGTGTTGGAGAAGGCACTTGATGTGGGGGCATTTGGTGGTAGGAAGTGCTTCAGACTGGAGCACTCCCCATGGATAGAATGTCCCTGAATAACACAGCAGAAGCCACATGGAGGGCCTGTGCAGTCTCATGACACATAGAGGACTGTGGGACAAGTTTGTCCTCTCCTAAGAGAAAGAATGAGGTTTGAAATGCGAACTGTGACAGGACACCAAACCTGTTCCTGGGAATCAGATCTGTGGCAGGATGGGGGAGACAGCTGCCAAAGTCCAGAGAGAGGCTGCACAAGCCTCCAGTGATATGGGAAGCAAAAGGTCTTTTCAATATTTGGCCACATCTTGATGGTGGCCCTCCAGATCAGAAATGCATTGCCCGATGGACCAGGAAACCATGCCAGGGCATTTTGTGAAAGATAAAACATGACAGTTTTCAGTACAATGCTGAACCACACATAGATGTTCATGTCTCTGTGCACATTGGGCTGACTGTGCTTGGAGAATGGGAAGTGGGAAATATCTGAACGAACATTTTGTATTTACAGAAAATGACGAAGATGAGGATGAAGATGTTCAAGTTGAGGAGGCTGAGAAAGTACTGGAATCATCTGCCCCCAGGTAACACTGAATACTCAGGAGCAAGTAATGGGTGGTAACATATGAAAATGTCTAGGAGGCACACCCTCTCTGGCATCTATGATGGGCCAAAAGCCCGCATTCGCTTGGCCACAGTATGTGAAATTCAACCCAGCTTAGACACAGGGTGCGGCAGCTGTCGTGTTTCTCTATGTGTGCCAAGTGTCATGTCTGTACCATACAGGGATAGCTGAGTCTTCATCCTCCTCAGCTCCTATCTGTCCAGTGCACTGAACACCAGCTGCTCTCTTCCTCTCTGGCTCCCATGGCAGCCATGCTCTGTTGCAGAGAGAAGAGGATTGCCTGTTCCCCCTTAAAGGGAACCTCCATTTTGCTTTCTGGGACCACTGTCTTAATGCCGCCTGTCAAAACCAGCTAGGACTCCCTGGGGTCCAATCCCTCTGTGTTTAATCTTCTGTCATCTCTGTCCCACCTGGCTCATCAGGGAGGTGCAGAAGGCTGAAGAAAGCAAAGTCCCTGAGGACTCACTGGAGGAATGTGCCATCACTTGTTCAAATAGCCACGGCCCTTGTGACTCCAACCAGCCTCACAAGAACATCAACATCACCTTTGAGGAAGACAAAGTCAACTCAGCTCTGGTTGTAGACAGAGAATCCTCTCATGATGAATGTCAGGATGCTGTAAACATTCTCCCAGGTAGCCTCTATTTTCCTTGTGTCTCATACCTCTGTCTAGGCTATGGAAGATCAATTCTGAGGACAGGCTGTATACACACATATTGTTTTAGTCAGAAACTAGGATGGAGCTAGGTTCTGTGACTCACACATATAATCACAGCACTTTGGAAGGCCCAAGTGGGAGGATGACTTGAGTTCAGGAGTTGAAGACCAGCCTGGATAATATGGTGAAACCCATCTTTACAAAGAATACAAAAAATTAGGCAGGCATGGTGCTGCGTGCCTCTAGTCCCAACTGCTCAGGAGACTTAGGTGGGAGGATCGGCTGAGACGATCCTCCCACCCTGGTTCACTCCTCTCAGGCTAGACTCTCTCTCCTTTTCATTGGCTTGTCTTAGCTATTAATAAGAAGTCTCGGCCGGGCGCGGTGGCTCACACATGTAATCCCAGCACTTTGGGAGGCCGGGGCGGGTGGATCACGAGGTCAGGAGATCGAGACCATCCTGGCTAACACGGTGAAACCCCGTCGTTACTAAAAATACAAAAAAAAAAAAATTAGCTGGGCACGGTGTTGGGCGCCTGTAGTCCCAGCTACTCGGGAGGCTGTGGCAGGAGAATGGCATGAACCCAGGAACCGGAGTTTGCAGTGAGCCTAGATTGTGCCACTGCACTCCAGCCTGGGAGACAGAGCGAGACTCCATCTCAAAAAAAAAAAAAAAAAAAGTCTCTGACCGGGGGTGCTGGCTCACATCTTAATCCCAGCACTTTGGGAGGCCAAGGTGGGCGGAACACCTGAGGTCAGGAGTTCGAAACCAGCCTGTCCAAGATGGCGAAACCCAATCTCTACTAAAAATGCAAAAATTAGCTGGCATGTTACTTGGCGCTTGTAATCCCAGATGTTTGGCAGGCTGAGGGATGAGAATCACTTGAACCCGGGAGGCAGAGGTGGCAGTGAGCTGAGATTGCGCCACTGCACTGCAGCCTGCGTGACAGAGTGAGACTCCGTCTCAAACAAAAAACAAAAAACCAAAAGAGAAAAATATCGAAAAAGGAAAATGCAATCTTTTGTGCTACACAGAAACATTGGCCACTCATGGGGTAAAAATCTCAGGGCCCAGCCTTGCTTTATAGAAACTTATAAGCAAGAAAAGTGTAGAAGTGTTTATGTCCTGGTTTCAAGGTGACTGCATAGCTAAGACAAGTTGACTTAAAGGAGATCAAGACTGGAAATGACAAGAGTGAAACCAGGGAAACAACATCTTCAAATAAGTAGACAAGGCTGCCACTGACATCCCTCAGTGTGATTAAACCTATTTGATTTCACCAGTTTTTAACCCATCATGTGTTTGCCTTTCTTCTCCCCAGTCCCTGGCCCCACCTCTTCTGCCACAAACGTCAGCATGGTGGTATCAGCCGGCCCTTTGTTCAGCGAGAAGGCAGAGATGAACATTCTAGAAATCAACGAGAAATTGCATCCCCAGCTGGCAGAGAAGAATCAGCAGTTCAGAAACCTCAAAGAGAAATGTTTTGTAACTCAACTGGCCTGCTTCCTGGCCAACCAGCAGAACAAATACAGTAAGATCTATAGGCTCACCATCACGAAAGTGATGAACGAAGTCCTGTCTTCTCTCTGAGAAACTAAGTGCTCTCTCCATCTAAAATAATGTCATCCTCCCCATACTTTTAGGAAAACAGAAATGGGTATTTTAACATTTTGTTAAAGTTGGAAGAGAGAGGTACCAAAGTATTTAGCAACTTTCCATGTTTGCAATCAGGTGGGGGTGGGACTAGAGTTAAACTGCCATTTATTGATTTCTGACACAGGCACAGAATGACCTGTTTTCTCCAAGAGGCTCAATCATGTTTCCAAGAATCCTCTCTGTACCATGTAAGATCCTGCAGACAAATAACATCTAGTCTGTTGTTCTAAATGTCTGAGACTAGTGAACTTTTATTCAGTTCAAGTTTCTGTTGAGGCCCAACAGGCACAGCTCTGTTCTAGTGACTCTGAGGGAAACTTGGTGATAGTAGCCAGTACCCGCTCTGAGGGGCTTCAAGAGGAGTCTGCTCCTAATAGAACCTGTGCTATCTATAAGTGACAGCATCAAGAGCAGGGAGTAGGGGCGGTGCATGGTGGCTCACTCCTGTAATCCCAGCCCTTTGGGAGGCTGAGGCGGGCAGATCACAAGGTCAGGAGTTTGAGACCAGCCTGGGCAACATGGAGAAACCCCATCTCCACTAAAAATACAAAAAGTAGATGGGCATGGTGGCAGGTGACTGTAATCACCCCTGCTCAGGAGGCTGAGGCAGGAGAATCCTTTGAACCCAGGAGGCTGAGGTTGCAGTGAGCCAAGATTTTGCCATTGCACTCCACTCTGGGTGACAGGGCAAGACTGGTAAAAATAATAATAATAATAATAATAATAATAATAATGATAAATAAAAATAAGAATAAGAAGCAGAGTGTAGCTTGGTGAGAGTGAAGTCCTGCTTCCTGGGGCACAGAGTCTTGTTCCTAAAGAGGAAGAAAGATCGCACCTGAGAATGTGTGGAGGTAGCAGTGCAGTGTACAGAGCAGAGACCGTGGGCCTGTCTCCTGGGCTCCATCCAAGTTGCTTGTCTTGTTTGTCCCTCAGTTTCCTCACCTGTTCAGAGGGTACTACAATAATACCTACCTCTGTAAATTGCTGCAGTGAATTACATGAGCTATTTCTTGTCAATCTCCTAGAACATTTATTGGCACACAGTAAACACTATCTATTAGTTCTTCATTCTGCTGTTTCTAAATTAACACAAACTTTATTAGCATTTGGGCATATTTCCTTCATGACCTTATGGTGTTATGTGTCACACTTTATGCTTCAGATATGATTCTTAAAATCATAACTGAAGATATGATTTAAAAATCAAAGATTTTTAAAATCTTTCGCATACTTGTCTTTGAAATTCCCAGTAAAAGGGAAACCGTCAGTCCCATAGTCCTAGGGGCCTTCCCGACTGTACAAGAAATCACTACTTCATGCCCCAGTGCAGTGTTTTAGAGGAGAGGCTGCAAGTCTTGGGAAAGTGGCCCTGCATTCAGAGTCAGACCTCAGGGGCTGTGAATTCTGACTCCACTTCGTTGTGGTTGAATCATCTTGTCAACTTCCTTGATGTGCCCTTGAGGTTCCCTTTCTTCATCTCTAAATTTTGGAGGATCAGATGCCAGAAAGTCAGGAGACTGAAGAGTAAAGATGTGGAAATCCCTGTCTAGACCCTGATACTGGGGAGAGTTTTGTCCTTGGGATGGACCTGGCTCCTGCCCTGTAGGCAATGACCACAGCAGCATGTCCAGCCTTCCACTGAGGCAGGCGTGTCTGTCTTTTCTCAGAATATGAAGAGTGCAAAGACCTCATAAAATCTATGCTGAGGAAAGAGCGACAGTTCAAGGAGGAGAAGCTTGCAGAGCAGCTCAAGCAAGCTGAGGAGCTCAGGTGAGGGGACCCCATGGGGGCAGGTGGGGGAGCAGCTGTGTAAATCTCTGAAGTACAGCAGCTCGGTGGGGAGACGTAAGAGCTAAGCTGGGCCAGGGGAAGGGCAGGAATTGCCATGGCAGGCTCGCAACACACAAGTATTTATCAAGCAGAGAAGAAGGATAATAAAAATTTATGGGTTGCAGTTGTTTCTTAGAGCCTTGTTTTCTCTTTTTCAAACAAGTAATTGTTGATGTGAAATTTACATAACACAAAATTAACCAAAGGACTGTGAACCACACAGCAGCACTCAGTATACTCAAAATGGTGTGCCATCACCACCCCACTTACCCTTAGTGAGAACCACCTTCTGACTGACTGCGTCTTCTCATTCTTTCACTCAATCAATGTTGCCTTCTTGACCCTGTCATTCTTTTCTTCTTTCGTCTTTTCAATTCGCCCCATCTGCACCTGGCCTCATTTCTGTACATGGCTTTGTATCTAGTGGCCGCAAGTTGCACTATGTGTATTTTCACATGGAAATGTCCATGGCCAGAGTGAGGAACTGAAAGGATGTCTTTTTGAAACGGAATTAGGAAGACACCTACTTTTGTTTACAGAAGGGAAAGATGAATGGAACATCATCGAGGATCTTGCAGGAGACCTCTCTGATACAGAGGAAGCCTGTAAACCATTTTCTATTATTTCTCTTGGCCACAGTCATTCCTTTCAACATGTGCTGACCTTCTGCTTGGAGGTCTCCTTGAGGACATTGTCTCAGAAATCTCTGTTGCAATATTTGAACGGATCACTCAACCCTTTCCACTCTTAAATTTTCTCTACCGTCTCACCTTAGGCAATATAAAGTCCTGGTTCACTCTCAGGAACGAGAGCTGACCCACTTAAGGGAGAAGTTACGGGAAGGGAGAGATGCCTCCCGCTCATTGAATCAGCATCTCCAGGCCCTCCTCACTCCGGATAAGCCAGACAAGTCCCAGGGGCAGGACCTCCAAGAACAGCTGGCTGAGGGGTGTAGACTGGCACAGCAACTTTTCCAGAAGCTCAGCCCAGGTAAGGTGGCCATAGGCCCTGATGACCCAAAACCCCAGGCTTATGAGAGGCTCCAGACCTCCATACTTTCACAATGACAGTTGTATCAGTGGGGTTTTTTTCTGCTATACATATGTGGCCATGACATGACCAGGACTTCCTGGGTAAGAACAGAGATGGGAAACCCATGGGGTTGGAGGTCACAGTATTGCAAGTGTCCCTCCTTCCTTGATGGAAGGTGGTCTTTGGAGCAAGAGGCAGCATCTGTCTAGTTTTAAAGGACAGGAAGGAGGCTGTGATGGGAGGGCGCTTGTTGGAGTGAAAAGAGCTCTGGGCTAAGAATGAAGGTTCCCAGGCTGTCTTTTTGACAATGTTCTTAGTAACTGTCGTGAGTGAGTGATTTATCTTTCCAGAGTTTCTCTCTCTCCATCTGCAAAGGCAGACAAATTGTCTCTTGCAAGGGTCTGAAGCATCCAAATATGGGAACACTTACGAATGCTTTTTAAAATGAGATGAAGCCCCTCTCCGTTTGGTGTTGGAGAAGGCACTTGGTGTAGGGGCATTTGGTGGTAGGAAGTGCTTCAGACTGGAGCACTCCCCGTGGATAGAATGTCCCTGAATAACACAGCAGAAGCCACTTGGAGGGCCTGTGCAGTCTCATGATGCATAGAGGACTGTGGGACAAGTGTGTCCTCTCCTAAGAGAAAGAATGAGGTTTGAAATGCGAACTGTGACAGGACACCAAGCCTGTTCCTGGGAATCAGATATGTGGCAGGATGGGGGCGACAGCTGCCAAAGTCCAGAGAGAGGCTGCACAAGCCTCCAGTGATATGGGAAGCAAAAGGTCTTTTCAATATTTGACCACATCTTGATGGTGGCCCTCCAGATCAGAAATGCATTGCCCGATGGACCAGGAAACCATGCCAGGGCATTTTGTGAAAGATAAAATATGACAGTTTTCAGTACAGTGCTGAACCATACATAGATGTTCATGTCTCTGTGCACATTGGGCTGACTGTGCTTGCAGAATGTGAAGTGGGAAATATCTGAACGAACATTTTGTATTTACAGAAAATGACGAAGATGAGGATGAAGATGTTCAAGTTGAGGAGGCTGAGAAAGTACTGGAATCATCTGCCCCCAGGTAACACTGAATACTCGGGAGCAAGTAATGGGTGGTAACATATGAAAATGTGTAGGAGGCACACCCTCTCTGGCATCTATGATGGGCCAAAAGCCCGCATTCGCTTGGCCACAGTATGTGAAATTCAACCCAGCTTAGACACAGGGTGCGGCAGCTGTCGTGTTTCTCTATGTGTGCCAAGTGTCATGTCTGTACCATACAGGGATAGCTGAGTCTTCATCCTCCTCAGCTCCTATCTGTCCAGTGCACTGAACACCAGCTGCTCTCTTCCTCTCTGGCTCCCATGGCAGCCATGCTCTGTTGCAGAGAGAAGAGGATTGCCTGTTCCCCCTTAAAGGGAACCTCCATTTTGCTTTCTGGGACCACTCTCTTAATGCCGCCTGTCAAAACCAGCTAGGACTCCCTGGGGTCCAATCCCTCTGTGTTTAATCTTCTGTCATCTCTGTCCCACCTGGCTCATCAGGGAGGTGCAGAAGGCTGAAGAAAGCAAAGTCCCTGAGGACTCACTGGAGGAATGTGCCATCACTTGTTCAAATAGCCACAGCCCTTGTGACTCCAACCAGCCTCACAAGAACATCAACATCACCTTTGAGGAAGACAAAGTCAACTCAACTCTGGTTGTAGACAGAGAATCCTCTCATGATGAATGTCAGGATGCTGTAAACATTCTCCCAGGTAGCCTCTATTTTCCTTGTGTCTCATACCTCTGTCTAGGCTATGGAAGATCAATTCTGAGGACAGGCTGTATATACACATATTGTTATTCTTTTAGTCAGAAACTAGGATGGAGCTAGGTTCTGTGACTCACACATATAATCACAGCACTTTGGAAGGCCCAAGTGGGAGGATGACTTGAGTTCAGGAGTTGAAGACCAGCCTGGACAATATGGTGAAACCCATCTTTACAAAGAATACAAAAAATTAGGCAGGCATGGTGCTGCGTGCCTCTAGTCCCAACTGCTCAGGAGACTTAGGTGGGAGGATCGGCTGAGACGATCCTCCCACCCTGGTTCACTCCTCTCAGGCTAGACTCTCTCTCCTTTTCATTGGCTTGTCTTAGCTATTAATAAGAAGTCTTGGCCGGGTGCGGTGGCTCACACATGTAATCCCAGCACTTTCGGAGGCTGGGGCGGGTGGATCACGAGGTCAGGAGATCGAGACCATCCTGGCTAACACGGTGAAACCCCGTCGTTACTAAAATTACAAAAAAAAAAAATTAGCTGGGCACGGTGTTGGGCGCCTGTAGTCCCAGCTACTCGGGAGGCTGTGGCAGGAGAATGGCATGAACCCAGGAACCGGAGTTTGCAGTGAGCCTAGATTGTGCCACTGCACTCCAGCCTGGGAGACAGAGCGAGACTCCATCTCAAAAAAAAAAAAAAAAAGTCTCTGACCGGGGGTGCTGGCTGACATCTTAATCCCAGCACTTTGGGAGGCCAAGGTGGGCGGAACACCTGAGGTCAGGAGTTCGAAACCAGCCTGTCCAAGATGGCGAAACCCCATCTCTACTAAAAATACAAAAATTAGCTGGCATGTTACTTGGCGCTTGTAATCCCAGATGTTTGGCAGGCTGAGGGATGAGAATCGCTTGAACCCGGGAGGCAGAGGTGGCAGTGAGCTGAGATTGTGCCTCTGCACTGCAGCCTGCGTGACAGAGTGAGACTCCGTCTCAAACAAAAAACAAAAAACCAAAAAAGAAAAAAATTAAAAAGGCAAAATGAAACCTTTTGTGCTACACAGAAACATTGGCCACTCATGGGGTAAAAATCTCAGGGCCAAGCCTTGCTTTATAGAAACTTATAAGCAAGAAAAGTGTAGAAGTGTTTATGTCCTGGTTTCAAGGTGACTGCATAGCTAAGATAAGTTGACTTAAAGGAGATCAAGACTGGAGATGACAAGAGTGAAACCAGGGAAACATCATCTTCAAATAAGTAGACAAGGCTGCCACTGACATCCCTCAGTGTGATTAAACCTATTTGATTTCACCAGTTTTTAACCCATCATGTGTTTGCCTTTCTTCTCCCCAGTCCCTGGCCCCACCTCTTCTGCCACAAACGTCAGCATGGTGGTATCAGCCGGCCCCTTGTCCAGCGAGAAGGCAGAGATGAACATTCTAGAAATCAACGAGAAATTGCATCCCCAGCTGGCAGAGAAGAAACAGCAGTTCAGAAACCTCAAAGAGAAATGTTTTGTAACTCAACTGGCCTGCTTCCTGGCCAACCAGCAGAACAAATACAGTAAGATCTATAGGCTCACCATCACGAAAGTGATGAACGAAGTCCTGTCTTCTCTCTGAGAAACTAAGTGCTCTCTCCATCTAAAATAATGTCATCCTCCCCATACTTCTAGGAAAACAGAAATGGGTATTTTAACATTTTGTTAAAGTTGGAAGACAGAGGTCCCAAAATATTTAGCAACTTTCCATGTTTGCAATCAGGTGGGGGTGGGACTAGAGTTAAACTGCCATTTATTGATTTCTGACACAGGCACAGAATGACCTGTTTTCTCCAAGAGGCTCAATCATGTTTTCAAGAATCCTCTCTGTACCATGTAAGATCCTGCAGACAAATAACATCTAGTCTGTTGCTCTAAATGTCTGAGACTAGTGAACTTTTATTCAGTTCAAGTTTCTGTTGAGGCCCAATATGCAAAGCTCTGTTCTAGTGACTCTGAGGGAAACTTGGTGATAGTAGCCAGTACCTGCTCTGAGGGGCTTCAAGAGGAGTCTGCTCCTAATAGAACCTGTGCTATCTATAAGTGACAGTATCAAGAGCAGGGAGTAGGGGCTGTGCATGGTGGCTCACTCCTGTAATCCCAGCCCTTTGGGAGGCTGAGGTGGGTAGAGCACGAGGTCAGGAGTTTGAGACCAGCCTGGGCAACATGGAGAAACCCCATCTCCACTAAAAATACAAAAAGTAGATGGGCATGGTGGCAGGTGACTGTAATCACCCCTGCTCAGGAGGCTGAGGCAGGAGAATCCTTTGAACCCAGGAGGCTGAGGTTGCAGTGAGCCAAGATTTTGCCATTGCACTCCAGCCTGGGCGACAGGGCAAGACTGTTAAAAAAATAATACTAATAATGATAAATAAAAATAAGAATAAGAAGCAGAATGTAGCTTGGTGAGAGTGAAGTCCTGCTTCCTAGGGCACAGAGTCTTGTTCCTAAAGAGGAAGAAAGATCGCACCCGAGAATGTGTGGAGATAGCAGTGCAGTGTACAGAGCAGAGAACGTGGGCCTGTCTCCTGGGCTCCATCCAAGTTGCTTGTCTTTTCTGTCCCTGTTTCCTCACCTGTTCAGAGGGTACTACAATAATACCTACCTCTGTAAATTGCTGCAGTGAATTACATGAGCTATTTCTTGTCAATCTCCTAGAACATTTATTGGCACACAGTAAACACTATCTATTAGTTCTTCATTCTGCTGTTTCTAAATTAACACAAACTTTATTAACATTTGGGCATATTTCCTTCATGGCCTTATGGTGTTATGTGTCACACTTTATGCTTCAGATATGATTCTTAAAATCATAACTGAAGATATGATTTAAAAATCAAAGATTTTTAAAATCTTTTGCATACTTGTCCTTGAAATTCCCAGTAAAAGGGAAACCATCAGTCCCATAGTCCTAGGGGCCTTCCCGACTGTACAAGAAATCACTACTTCATGCCCCAGTGCAGTGTTTTAGAGGAGAGGCTGCAAGTCTTGGGAAAGTGGCCCTGCATTCAGAGTCAGACCTCAGGGGCTGTGAATTCTGACTCCACTTCGTTGTGGTTGAATCATCTTGTCAACTTCCTTGATGTGCCCTTGAGGTTCTCTTCATCTCTAAATTTTGGAGGATCAGATGCCAGAAAGTCAGGAGACTGAAGAGTAAAGATGTGGAAATCCCTGTCTAGACCCTGGTACTGGGGAGAGTTTTGTCCTTGGGATGGACCTGGCTCCTGCCCTGTAGGCAATGACCACAGCAGCATGTCCAGCCTTCCACTGAGGCAGGCGTGTCTGTCTTTTCTCAGAATATGAAGAGTGCAAAGACCTCATAAAATCTATGCTGAGGAATGAGCGACAGTTCAAGGAGGAGAAGCTTGCAGAGCAGCTCAAGCAAGCTGAGGAGCTCAGGTGAGGGGACCCCATGGGGGCAGGCAGGGGGGCAGGTGTGTAAATCTCTGAAGTACAGCAGCTCAGTGGGGAGACTTAAGAACTAAGCTGGGCCAGGGGAAGGGCAGGAATTGCCATGGCAGGCTCGCAACACACAAGTATTTATCAAGCAGAGAAGAAGGATAATAAAAATTTATGGGTTGCAGTTGTTTCTCAGAGCCTTGTTTTCTCTTTTTCAAACAAGTAATTGTTGATGTGAAATTTACATAACACAAAATTAACCAAAGGAGTGTGAACCACACAGCAGCATTCAGTATACTCAAAATGGTGTGCCATCACCACCCCACTTACCCTTAGTGAGAATCACCTTCTGACTGACTGCGTCTTCTCATTCTTTCACTCAATCAATGTTGCCTTCTCGACCCTGTCATTCTTTTCTTCTTTCATCTTTTCAATTCGCCCCATCTGCACCTGGCCTCATTTCTGTACATGGCTTTGTATCTAGTGGCCGCAAGATGCACTATGTGTATTTTCACATGGAAATGTCCATGGCCAGAGTGAGGGACTGAAAGGATGTCTTTTTGAAATGGAATTAGGAAGACACCTACTTTTGTTTACAGAAGGGAAAGATGAATGGAACATCATCGAGGATCTTGCAGGAGCCCTCTCTGATACAGAGGAAGCCTGTAAACCATTTTCTATTCTTTCTCTTAGCCACAGACATTCCTTCCAACATGTGCTGACCTTCTGCTTGGAGGTCTCCTTGAGGACATTGTCTCAGAAATCTCTGTTGCAATATTTGAACGGATCACTCAACCCTTTCCACTCTTAAATTTTCTCTACCGTCTCACCTTAGGCAATATAAAGTCCTGGTTCACTCTCAGGAACGGGAGCTGACCCAGTTAAGGGAGAAGTTACGGGAAGGGAGAGATGCCTCCCGCTCATTGAATCAGCATCTCCAGGCCCTCCTCACTCCGGATGAGCCAGACAAGTCCCAGGGGCAGGACCTCCAAGAACAGCTGGCTGAGGGGTGTAGACTGGCACAGCACCTTGTCCAAAAGCTCAGCCCAGGTAAGGTGGCCATAGGCCCTGATGACCCAAAACCCCAGGCTTATGAGAGACTCCAGACCTCCATACTTTCACAATGACAGTTGTATCAATGGTGTTTTTTTCCACTAAGCTTATGTGGCCATGACATGACCAGGACTTCCTGGGTAAGAACGGAGTTGGGAAACCCATGGGGTTGGAGGTCACAGTATTGCAATTGTCCCTCCTCCCTTGATGGAAGGTGGTCTTTGGAGTAAGAGGCAGCATCTGTCTAGTTTTAAAGGACAGGAAGGAGGCTGCGATAGGAGCAGGCTTGTTAGAGTGAAAAGAGCTCTGGACTAAGAATGAAGGTTCCCAGGGTGTCTTTTCGGCAATGTTCTTAGTAACTGTCAGTGAGTGAATGACTTGTCTTTCCTGAGTTTCTCTCTCTCCATGGCAAATTGTCTCTTGCAAGGGTCTGAAGCATTCAAATGTGGGAACACTTAAAACTGCTTTCCAAAATGGGATGAAGCCCCTCGCCGTGTGATGTTGGAGAAGGCACTTTATGTGGTGGCGTTTCGTGGTAGGAAGTGCTTCAGACTGGAGCACTCTCCATGGATAGAATGTCCCTGAATAACACAGCAGAAGCCACTTGGAGGCTTGAAATCTTCTGATGCATAGAGGACTGTGGGATAAGTTTGTCTGCTTCTAAGAGAAAGAATTAGGTTTGAAATGCAAACTGTGACAGGACACCAAGCCTGTGCCTGGGAATCAGATCTGGCAGGATGGGGGCGACAGCTGCCAAAGTCCAGAGAGAGGCTGCACAAGCCTCCAGTGATATGGGAAGCAAAAGGTCTTTTCAATATTTGGCCACATCTTGATGGTGGCCCTCCAGATCAGAAATGCATTGCCTGATGGATCAGGAAACCATGCCAGGGCATTCTGTTAAAGATAAAACATGAGAGTTTTCAGTTGAACGGTGACCCATGCCTAGATGTTCATGTCTCTGTTGCACATTGGGCTGACTGTGCTTGCAGACTGTGAAGTGGGAAATATCTGAACGAACACTTCTGTATTTACAGAAAATGACAATGATGACGATGAAGATGTTCAAGTTGAGGTGGCTGAGAAAGTGCAGGAATCGTCTGCCCCCAGGTAACACTGAATACTCAGGAACAAGTAATGGATGGTAACATATGAAGAATATCTAGGAGGTACACCCTCTCTGGCATCTATGATGGGCCAAAAACCCGCATTTGCTTGGCCACAGTATGTGAAATATAACCCAGCTTAGACACAGGGTGCGGCAGCTGTCATGTTTCTCTATGTGTGCCGAGTGTCATGTCTGCACCATACAGGGATAGCTGAGTCTTCATCCTCCTCAGCTCCTATCTGTCCACTGCAATGAACACCAGCTGCTCTCTTCCTCTCTGGTTCCCATGGCAGCCATGCTCTGTTGCAGAGAGAACAGGATTGCATGTTCCCCCTTAAAGGGAACCTCCATTTTGCTTTCTGGGACCACTCTCTTAATGCCGCCTGTCAAAACCAGCTAGGACTCCCTGGGGTCCAATCCCTCTGTGTTTAATCTTCTGTCATCTCTGTCCCACCTGGCTCATCAGGGAGATGCCGAAGGCTGAAGAAAAGGAAGTCCCTGAGGACTCACTGGAGGAATGTGCCATCACTTGTTCAAATAGCCATGGCCCTTATGACTCCAACCAGCCACATAGGAAAACCAAAATCACATTTGAGGAAGACAAAGTCGACTCAACTCTCATTGGCTCATCCTCTCATGTTGAATGGGAGGATGCTGTACACATTATCCCAGGTAGCCTCTGTTTTCCTTGTGTCTCATACCTCTCTCTAGGCTGAGGAAGATAAACTCTGAAGACAGGCTCTATAAACACAAATTCATTTGAATAAAAACCTATGATGGGTTTCTAAACAGATATCAGGGAGTTTTTTTGTCCTTCTCAGCTAATGTCATGCCTTTGTCTGCCAGTCCCCAGTATCAAGTTACTCGACCCCAGGCAAGTGTGACAATCTCATAGTCACCTGAGTGCAGGAGGTGCACAGGCAGTATCTGTCAGGCCTCCTAGCTTCGATTCAGTATCTCTTGTCATCTGTGATTAAGTCATCTGTCCCTGAACAATGTCCATGGAGTTTCTATGCCTGTTTCAGGAAGCTGGCAGCCTTGCCTTTGTATTTGGAAATATTGTTCCCCAGGCTTCACTGCTCTCAGCTTTCATCCGGATCTCCTTTAAGTCAGCTTGCTTAGCTGCACAGTCACCCTGAAATCAGGACGGAAACTTTTCTTCTTTACTTTGCTGATATATTTCCATAAAGCAAGGCTGGACCCTGGTTCTCCACCCTGTCAATGCAATGGCTGATCCAATGTTTCTTTGTAGCATCGTGGATTTTTTTTTTTTTTTTTTTTTTTTTTTTTTGCGATGGAGTCTTGCTCTGTCACCCAGGCTAGAGTGCAGTTGCACCATCTTGGCTTGGTGCAACCTCTGCCTCCCAGATTCAAGTGATTCTCCTGCCTCAGCCTCCTGAGTTGCTAGGACCACAGGTGCACAACATCACATCTGGCTAATTTTTGTATTTTTAGTAGAGACAGGGTTTCCCCATATTGGCCAGGGTAGTCCTGAACTCATGACCTCAAATGATTCACCTGTCTTGGCCTCCCAAATCACAGATTCTTTTTAAAGCAAGAGTTGTTCAAATTTATCTATCATGTGTGTTTCATGTATAGATGCCTCTAAACATTTAATGTCCATGTTATCTGGTGATATAAGTCCGTATTGCAGCAACACTCTTAGAAAATGGACCAATTTTTGGAGATTTTTTTGGGGAAAAAATTTTGTTTAACTTTGACTCAGGCAGGGAATATGGCATTATGGTGTACACGTAGAGGGAGATTTTGGCCTGTGGGTCTGGAAAGCAGGGTCATCTAATTCTCACCAAAGTTAATCTAGGGCACCCTAGAATATTCCTGTCAGAATCCTTATTCTTGCACTGAGAATAGTTATGTCCTTGTGCTATGACTGGACAGTGATTTGGTCATATGTGAAGTATGAATTGCTTAATGTGACCTGCTTCTCTGAATTTATTTACAGAAAATGAAAGTGATGATGAGGAAGAGGAAGAAAAAGGGCCAGTGTCTCCCAGGTAATGTTGTGGAATTGTTGGCTGTTAATTCAGTAGTGACATCTGGAGATTGTAGATTTAGGGAAAATGAGGAAGTGATGAATAGAACTATTTCTTCCATTCACCCAGCTACAAATTGTGCTGATTTACAATGTTGTATGTTATTTGTGGCACTTGTATTGGTTTTAATTTCATAGTCCTCTCAAGATAGGAACTTGCCATCAGATGAGCCAGGTGAACTAGCCAAACAGGGTTTTCTTGTTGATCTTTTCAAAAAACCAGCCCTGGATTCATTGATTTTTTGAAGGGTTTTTTGTGTCTCTATCTCCTTTAGTTCTGCTCTGATCTTAGTTACTTCTTGTCTTCTGCTAGCTTTTGAATTTGTTTGCTTTGCTTCTCTAGTTATTTTAATTGTGATGTTAGGGTGTCAATTTTAGATCTTTTCTGCTTTCTCTTGTGGGCATTTAGTGCTATAATTTTCCCTCTACACATTGCTTTAAATGTGTCCCAGAGATTCTGGTATGTTGTGTCTTTGTTCTCATTGGTTTCAAAGAACATCTTTATTTCTGCCTTCATTTTGTTATTTTCCCAGTAGTCATTCAGGAGCAGGTTGTTCAGTTTCCATGTAGTTGTGCGGTTTTGAGTGAGTTTCTTAATCCTGAGTTCTAATTTGATTGCACTGTGGTCTGACAGTTTGTTGTGGTTTCCATTCTTTTACATTTGCTGATGAGTGCTTTACCTCCAACTATGTGGTCAATTTTGGAATAAGTGTGATGTGGTGCTGAGAAGAATGTATATTCTGTTGATTTGGGGTGGAGAGTTCTGTAGATGTCTTTTAGGTCTGCTTGGTGGAGAGCTGAGTTCAAGTCCTGGATATCCTTGTAAAGCTTCTGTCTCATTGATCTGTCTAATATTGACAGTGGGGTGTTAAAGTCTCCCATTATGATTGTGTGGAGTCTAAATCTCTTTGTAGGTCTCTCAGGACTTGCTTTATGAATCTGGGTGCTCCCGTATAGGGTGCATATATATTTAGGATAGTTAACTCTTCTTGTTGAATTGATCCCTTTACCATTATGTAGTGGCCTTCTTTGTCTCCTTTGATCTTTGTTGGTTTAAAGTCTGTTTTATCAGAGACTAGGATTGCAACCCCTGCATTTTTTTGCTTTCCATTTGCTTGGTAGATCTTCCTCCATCCCTTTATTTTGAGCCTATGTGTGTCTCTGCATGTGAGATGGGTTTCCTGAGTACAGCACACTGATGGGTCTTGACTCTTTGTCCAATTTGCCATTCTGTGTTTTTTAACTGGGGCATTTAGCCCATTTACATTTAAGGTTAATATTGTTATGTGTGAATTTGAGCCTGTCGTTATGATGTTAGCTGGTTATTTCGCCCGTTAGTTGATGCAGTTTCTTCCTAGCGTCAATGGTCTTTACAGTTTGGCATGTTTTTGCAGTGGCTGGTACCGCTTGTTCCTTTCCATGTTTAGTGTTTCCTTTAGGAGCTCTTGTAAGGCAGGCCTGGTGGTGACAAAATCTCTCAGCATTTGCTTCTCTGTAAAGGATTTATTTCTCCTTCACTTATGAAGCTTTGTTTGGCTGGATATGAAATTCTGGGTTGAAAATTCTTTTCTTTAAGAATGTTGAAGATGCTGGAGAGGATGTGGAGAAATAGGAACACTTTTACACTGTTGGTGGGAGTGTAAACTAGTTCAACGATTGTGGAAGGCAGTGTGGCAATTCCTCAGGGATCTAGAACTAGAAATAGCATTTGACCCAGCCATCCCATTACTGGGTGTATACCCAAAGGATTATAAATCATGCTGCTGTAAAGACACATGCACACATATGTTTATTGCGGCACTATTCACAATAGCAAAGACTTGGAACCAAGCCAAATATCCAGCAATGATAGACTGGATTAAGAAAATGTGGCACGTGTACACCATGGAATACTATGCAGCTATAAAAAATGATGAGTTCATGTCCTTTGTAGGGGCATGGATGAAGCTGGAAACCATCATTCTCAGCAAACTATCGCAAGGACAAAAAGCCAAGTACCGCATGTTCTTACTCACAGGTGGGAATTGAACAATGAGAACACATGGACACAGGAAGGGGAACATCACACACTGGGGCCTGTTGTAGGGTGGGGGGAGGGAGGAGGGGTAGCATTAGGAGATATACCTAATGTTAAATGATGAGTTAATGGGTGAAGCACACCAATGTGGACATGTATACATATGTAACTAACCTGCACGTTGTGCACATGTACCCTAAGACTTAAAGTATTAAAAAATATATATACATATATATACATACACACAAAAAATAATAAAGGAAAACTATACATATGGAAAAAAAAAAAGAATGTTGAATATTGCTCCCACTCTCTTCTGGCTTGTAGGGTTTGTGCCAAGAGATCTGCTGCTAGTCTGATGGGCTTCCCTTTGTGGGTAATCCGACCTTTCTCTCTGGCTGCACTTAGCATTTTTTCCTTCATTTCAACCTTGGTGAATCTGACAATTATGTGTTTTGGGGTTGCTCTTCTCGAGGAGTATCTTTATGGTGTTCTCTGTGTTTCCTGAATTTGAATGTTGGCCTTCCTTACAAGGTTGGGGAAGTCCTCCTGGATAATATCCTGAAGAATGTTTCCCAGCTTGGTTCCATTCTCCCCGTCACTTTCAGTGCACCAATCAAACGTAGATTTGGTCTTTCCACATAGTCCCATATTTATTGGAGGCTTGTTCATTTCTTTTTACTCTTTTTTCTCTAAACTTCTCTTCTCGCTTCATTTCACTAATTTGATCTTGAATCACTGATACCGTTTCTTGCACTTGATCGAATTGGCTACTGAAGCTTGTGCATGCATCACGTAGTTCTCGTGCCATGGTTTTCAGCTCCATCAGGTCATTTAAGGTCTTCTCTACACTGTTCATTCTGGTTGGCCATTCGTCTAATCTTTTTTCAAGGTTTTTAGCTTCCTTGCGATGAGTTCGCACATCCTCCTTTAGCTCAGAGAAGTTTGTTATTACCGACTTTCTGAAGCCTACTTCTGTCAGCTCATCAAAGTCATTCTCCATCCTGCTTTGTTCCATTGCTGGCGAGGAGCTGTGATCCTTTGGAGGAGAAGGGATGTCAGGTTTTTGGAATTTTCAGCTTTTGTGCTCTGGTTTCTCCCCACCTTTGTGGTTTTATCTACCCTTGGTCTTTGATGATGGCGACCTACAGATGGGGTTTTGGGGTGGATGTCTTTTTTGTTGATGTTGATGCTATTCCTTTCTGTGTGTTAGTTTTCCTTCTAACAATCAGGTCCCTCAGCTTCAGGTCTGTTGGAGTTTGCTGGAAGTCCACTCCAGACCCTCAAACAGGGATTTCTTGGTGTTGCCTATTCTCTCCCATGTGTTTAAATCCAGGGAGAGATGTATATATGCTTTCTTCCTATTCGTTGGTAGTATGTTGGCTAGTATTTTTGCAAGAAAAGAAATTGAAAAGGTAAATATATTATATCAAAATATTGGGAAAATGGGGCCCTTAATACACAAGATCTGTGTCTGCACTGCGTCAAGAACTCTCTTCACTTGAATGCTGCATGTAAAATTCAACCCAATTTATGCAAAGTAGTTGAAGCCCTGTGTCAGTTCTCTGTGCTGCAAGTCATGATGGTAGTTTACAGGGAGAGTCTGGGTGCCCTGAGTTGGCTCATCTGTGGCAAATGTACTGAGCACATGCTGCCCATTTTTGCTCTGTCCCCAGAGCAGTCACCCTCCACCCTGTATTTAGAAGGCTAGTTTTATTTCTCTTGAAGGAAAAATGCCTTTGGTTTCTGTGACCACTCCATTCTGTCTCCCATCAGATCATCTGGGAGGTTTTGTTGTCTAATGTCTGTTGGTTAAATCTTCTATCATCCCTGTCCTGCCTGGCTCATCAGGAATCTGCAGGAGTCTGAAGAGGAGGAAGTCCCCCAGGAGTCCTGGGATGAAGGTTATTCGACTCTCTCAATTCCTCCTGAAATGTTGGCCTCGTACCAGTCTTACAGCGGCACATTTCACTCATTAGAGGAACAGCAAGTCTGCATGGCTGTTGACATAGGCGGTGAGTACTCCATTGTGAAGGTGATAAAGCTCCAGTTCATGGCCCAGGTAGACCCCATAATCTTTGGGCCTTGTGCCCCTTGTTGGGCTGAGATTTGCCATCACTGTGGGCTGAACCTATATATCAATGTAGATTTCAATCACTCTGGAGTCGAGTCTGAAGCACAGGCATGGGGTGGGTGAGTGAGCTTTGCTCTCTTCCTAGTCTCAGGCCATGCCCGTGCCAACCTGGACTGACTGTCACGACATTGAACTCAAGGCAGGTGTGGCAAGCTCACACCAAACTATGCAGCACATGACCAGGAGTTGTCTGTCAGATCAGCTCATCTGAATTAAATGTCTCTTGCCAGCTACAAAATTCCTTATGAGTTTTGTTCCCAAAGCATGTCTGTGTGGTTCTTTACCTGCCCAAGGCAAGTGTCACCCTTGTCTACCTCTCAGTGAAAGATGTGGCCCAGGTTTCACTGAATTTATTCCCATTTTCTGTGTCTTCTAAGTTCGCTTGCTTTAGCTCATCTGTCCGTCATGTTCCTGGTATATTTTCTAGATAAATGGCTGACTTTTCACCCACAAAAGCCATAATAGCTGATGCTTCTGTGTAGAACCAAGTTTCATTTTGACTCAAGAGCTGGTACATTGCACCCCTTCATCAAATCTCTGTGTCCACAATCTCATAAACTATCAAATTCTGGGTATTTGATGAGAGAAAGCTTAATATTGAAGTATCTCTCCTATGAGGTGTTAGAACTATTTGCCTACAATTTATTGGGGAAAAAGTTGCTCATTTGTGTACACAAACCTAGGACAGAGCACATAGGGAAGATAACATTCCAAAACAGGGTAATTTTGCCCAAGGCTCATGAAAGAACCCAAGCCAGTTTTCTCAAGACTTGACCTCAGGCCTACTGGAATATTTCTCTCAAAGTCTCCTGTTCTCACACTGACCAGACTGATGTACCTGTGTTAGGATTGGACAGAGGAATGTTTCTGTGTGCAAGGAAGAACTGCTTAATGTAAGAGGCCCCATCTGAATTTATTTGCAGGACATCGGTGGGATCAAGTGAAAAAGGAGGACCAAGAGGCAACAGGTCCCAGGTGAGTCTGAGAAATTGTGGACAGTTAATTTGATGTTGACACCTGGAGATGCCAAGTCCAGGGAAAACAGTACATGCTGAAAATAATGATTTTGTCTTGTCAGACAAGTCTAAATTATGCCTACTACATTGCTTTTTGGTTCTCATTAGAGTAAATGTTTAGGTTTCCATTTCTTCCTACCCTTATCATTTACTAACCTAGTGAAGGTTGACCATACCTCAAAAGCTGTATTCTCATGGTGGCTGCAGGGAAACTTGAGCACATTTTATGCAAAATTATTGAGGCCATGCTTTTCATGATCACTGTTCACTGTGTGTCCTGAGAGCACAAATAGAGAATGACCGTTGACTCCCTCATCAGTGTGTCACCTGGCCAATTCACTGAGCTCACTCTGTGTGTGTGTGTGTGTGTGTGTGTGTGTGTGTGTGTGTGTGTGTGTGTGTGTGTGTGTCTTTCTCTTTCATCCTTTTCTACCTGGCCCTAGTCTATCCCAACATAAAGGCAATAATTTGTTACCTCATTAATGGATCTGTCCTTTTTCTTTTCAAACTCTTCCTTATGTTAGCCATGAAATCTAGCTGGGGCTGTGTGGTTTCTGATTCCCCCTGGCTTATTCTTTACTTTTTCCCACTGTTCCAGGCTCAGCAGGGAGCTGCTGGATGAGAAAGGGCCTGAAGTCTTGCAGGACTCACTGGATAGATGTTATTCAACTCCTTCAGGTTATCTTGAACTGACTGACTCATGCCAGCCCTACAGAAGTGCCTTTTACATATTGGAGCAACAGCGTGTTGGCTGGGCTCTTGACATGGATGGTGAGTACCTTTCTATGAAGGTGATAAGGATCCACTGAGTCTTCTGGTTAGGGTCATATTCCTACTGCAAATGGCTCTTACTGAGCTGAGAGATGTCATTGCCACAGGGAGGACCTATAGGCACATGTAGGTTGAATGAAACTCTAGTTCCACTTGGAAGCCCAGGCAAGGGATGGGTCAGTGAGCAGGGCTCTCTTCCTAGTCTCAGGCCATGCCTGTGGCACCCTAATCCCACTCTCAAGATGTTGGATCTGGGCAGATGTGACAAATTCACACAACTCTGATTTTGTCTCAATTTTGTAGATCTTGTAGATTTCATCCTTCACTCTAATTTCAGCATCTAAAATCCTCGCTACCATGAAGAATCTGAGTATTTGATGAGACAGGGCTGAATATTGCAGTTTTTCTCCCAGCAACCATTTGGGGGCATTTGCTTTAAATCGATTGGAAAAATATGGCATAACCATTTGCACAAACTTGGGACAAATGATCTTGGGATAACGATCTACCAGAATAGGGAATTTTACCCACAGTTTCTGGGACAAAAACCCAGGAATCTCTATCATGATCAGCCTTCAGGCCTCCTGAAGAAGATCTCTCACAGTGTCCTATTCTCATGCTGAGGAGCCTGAAGTCCCTGCGTGAGGATTAGACAGTGGATTGTTATGTGTGTAGGAGAACCAGCTTAATATGTCTGTCCATGTCTGAACTTATTGCAGAAATTGAAAAGTACCAAGAAGTGGAAGAAGACCAAGACCCATCATGCCCCAGGTAACTTTGAGCAATTATGGATGCTTAATTCTGTGTTGACACCTGGAGATGCCAGGTCCAGGGAAAACAAGAGTATGTTCAATTTCATGTTTTCAACGAAGGTTGAATTACTCCTACTGACATTGCTGTTGGTTTTCCTTGCAGTAGATGTTTAGGTTTCCATTTCTTCCTCCCCTTATCATTTACTAACTTACTGTAGGTTGACCATACCTCAAAGGCTGTATGGCAACTGCATGGAATCTTAAGCAAGTTTATGGAAAATTATTGAGCCCACTCTTTTCATGATCACTGTTCTCTGTGTGTCCCGAGGGCACTAACTCAGAGTGTCCTTTGACCCCTTCATCAGTGTGTCACCCGGCCAATTCGCTGAGCTCACTTTCTCCTCTGTCTCTCTCTCCCTCTCCCTCTCCCTGTCTTTCTCTTTCATTCTTTTCTACCTGGCCCTGGTCTATCCCAACATAAAGGCAATAATTCATTACCTCATTAATGGATCTGTCCTTTTTCTGTTTAAACAGTTCCTTATGTTAGCCATGAAATGTAGCTGGGGCTGTGTGGTTTCTGATTCCCCCTGGCTTATTCTTTACTTTTTCCTACTTTTCCAGGCTCAGCAGGGAGCTGCTGGATGAGAAAGAGCCTGAAGTCTTGCAGGACTCACTGGATAGATGTTATTCGACTCCTTCAGGTTATCTTGAACTGCCTGACTTAGGCCAGCCCTACAGAAGTGCTGTTTACTCATTGGAGGAACAGTACCTTGGCTTGGCTCTTGACGTGGACAGTGAGTACCTTACTATGAAGGTGATAAGCCTCCACCTGGTCTTCCAGATAGGGGTGATATTCCTGTTCCCAGTGGCCCTTACTGACCCGAGAGATGTCATTGCCGCAGGCAGGACCTATGGGCGCATATAGGTTGTAATGAAACTGTAGTCTCCGCTGGAAGCCTAGACATGAAATGGGTCAGTGAGCAAGGCTCTATTCCTAGTCTCCAGCCATGCCTGTGGCAACCTGAGCCCGCTCTCAGCACATTGGACCCAGGCAGATGTAAAAAATTCACAGAACTATGATTTGGACTCAAGGGTTTGTAGATTTCCTCCCTCATTCTAATTTCAGTGTCTAAAATTCTTGCATCCATGAACGAGCTGGGCATTTGATGAGACAGGGCTGAATACTGCAGTTTTCCTCCTAGAAATCATCTAGGGCATTGTCTTTGAACTGATGGGAACAATCAGGCATAACTGTTTGCACAAACTTGGGATAAATGATTTTGGGATAACGATCTACCAGAATAGGGATATTTCACCCTTGGTTCTGAGATGCAAACCAAAGAATATCATGACCAGCTTTCAGGCCTCCTGAAGTATATCTCTCACATTGTCCTGTTCTCTTGCTGAGGAGCCTGAGATCCCTGTGTGGGGATTAGACAGTGAACTGTTACGGGTGTAGGTGAATTGGCTTATTTTGTCTGTCCCTGTCTGAATGTATTGCAGGAATTAAAAAGGACCAGGAAGAGGAAGAAGACCAAGGCCCACCATGCCCCAGGTAACTGAGCAATTGTGAACAGCTACTTCTGTGTTGACATCTGGAGACTCCTGGTTCAGGGAAAACAGGGCGGGCTGACATTATCGATTACATCTTTTCAACCGAGCCTGAATTATTCCTACTAACATTGCTGTTGGTTTTCATTGCAGTAGATATTTAGGTTTCCATTTCTTCCTCCCCTTATCATTTACTAACCTACTGTAGGTGGACCAGACTTCAAAAACTGTATTCTCATGGCGACTGCATGGAAACTTGAGCACATTTTATGGAAAATTATTGAGCACAGTCCTTTCCTGATCACTGTATGCTGTGTGTCCTGAGGGCACTAACTCAGAGTGTCCTGTTACTCCCTCATCAGTGTGTCACCTGGACAATTCACTGAGCTCATTCTCTGTGTGTGTGTGTGTGTGTGTGTGTGTGTGTGTGTGTGTGTCTTTCTCTTTCATTCTTTTCCATTTGGCCCTGTTCTGTCCCAACATGAAAGCAATAATTTGTTACCTCATTAATGGATCTCTCCTTTTACTTTTTCAACCACTTCCTTATGCTACCCATGAAACCTAGTTGGGGCTCTGTTGTGTCTGATTTCCCCTGGCTTATTCTTTACTTTTTCCTCCTTTTCCAGGCTCAGCAGGGAGCTGCTGGAGGCAGTAGAGCCTGAAGTCTTGCAGGACTCACTGGATAGATGTTATTCAACTCCTTCCAGTTGTCTTGAACAGCCTGACTCCTGCCTGCCCTATGGAAGTTCCTTTTATGCATTGGAGGAAAAACATGTTGGCTTTTCTCTTGACGTGGGAGGTGAGTACCTTTCTATGAAGGTGATAAGGATCCACTGAGTCTTCCATATAAAGATCATATTCCTGCTCCAAGTGGCCATTACTGAGCTGAGAGATGTCATTGCTGCAGTGAGGACCTATAGGCACATGTAGGTTGAATGAAACTCTAGTTCTAACTGGAAGCCCAGACATGGGATGGGTCAGTGAGCATGGCTCTCTTCCTAGTCTCAGGCCATGCCTGTGGCACTCTGATTCTACTCTCATGACATTGGACCTGGGCAGATGTGACAAATTCAGAGAACTATGATTTTGACTCAAGGGTTTGTAGATTTCCTTTTTCACTCTAATTTCAGTGTCTAAAGTCCTCACAACCATGAACAATCTGAGTATTTGATGAGACAGGGCTAAATATTGCAGTTTTTCTCCTAGAAATCATTTGAGGGTATTTGCTTTAAATTGATTGGAAAAATATGGCATAACTGTTTGCACAAACTCGGGACAAATGATATTGGGATAACGATCTACTAGAATAGGGACATTTTACCCACAGTTTCTGGGAGAAAAACCGAGGAATTTCTATCATGACCAGCCTTCAGGCCTCCTGAAATATATCTCTCACAGTCTCCTATTCTTATGCTGAGGAGCCTGAGGTCCCTGTGTGAGGGTTAGACAGTGGATTGTTATGTGTGTAGGGGAATCAGCTTAATGTGTCTGTCCATGTCTGAATTTATTGCAGAAATTGAAAAGAAGGGGAAGGGGAAGAAAAGAAGGGGAAGAAGATCAACGAAGAAAAGAAGGAGAAGGGGAAGAAAAGAAGGGGAAGAAGATCAAAACCCACCATGCCCCAGGTAACTTTCAGCAATTGTGGATGCTTAATTCTGTGTTAACACCTGGAGGCAACAGATTCAGGGAAACCAGAGTGTGTTTGATTTCATGTTTTCAACGAAGGCTGAATTACTCCTACTGTCATTGCTGTTGGTTTTCATTGCAGTAGATGCTTAGGTTTCCATTTCTTCCTCCCCTTATCATTTACTAACGTACCATAGGATGACCATACTTCAAAAGCTGTACTCTCATGGCCACTGCATCGAATTTTGAGCATATTTTATGGAAAACTATTGAGCTCACTCTTTTCATGATCGCAGTTTGCTGTGTGTCATGAGGGCACTAACTCAGAGTGTCCTTTTACTCCCTTACCAGTATGTCACCTGGCCAATTCACTAGCTCACTTTCTCTCTGTCTCTGTCTCTGTCTCTGTCTCTCTGTCTTTCTCTTTCATTGTTTTCTACCTGGCCCTGTTCTATCCCAACATAAAGGCAATAATTTGTTACCTCATTAATGGATCTGTCCTTTTTCTTTTCAAACTCTTCCTTATGTTAGCCATGAAATCTAGCTGGGGCTGTGTGGTTTCTGATTCCCCCTGGCTTATTCTTTACTTTTTCCCACTTTTCCAGGCTCAGCAGGGAGCTGCTGGATGAGAAAGGGCCTGAAGTCTTGCAGGACTCACTGGATAGATGTTATTCAACTCCTTCAGGTTATCTTGAACTGACTGACTCATGCCAGCCCTACAGAAGTGCCTTTTACATATTGGAGCAACAGCGTGTTGGCTGGGCTCTTGACATGGATGGTGAGTACCTTTCTATGAAGGTGATAAGGATCCACTGAGTCTTCTGGTTAGGGTCATATTCCTACTGCAAATGGCCCTTACTGAGCTGAGAGATGTCATTGCCACAGGGAGGACCTATAGGCACATGTAGGTTGAATGAAACTCTAGTTCCACTTGGAAGCCCAGGCAAGGGATGGGTCAGTGAGCAGGGCTCTCTTCCTAGTCTCAGGCCATGCCTGTGGCACCCTAATCCCACTCTCAAGATGTTGGATCTGGGCAGATGTGACAAATTCACACAACTCTGATTTTGTCTCAATTTTGTAGATCTTGTAGATTTCATCCTTCACTCTAATTTCAGCATCTAAAATCCTCGCTACCATGAAGAATCTGAGTATTTGATGAGACAGGGCTGAATATTGCAGTTTTTCTCCCAGCAACCACTTGGGGGCATTTGCTTTAAATCGATTGGAAAAATATGGCATAACCATTTGCACAAACTTGGGACAAATGATCTTGGGATAACGATCTACCAGAATAGGGAATTTTACCCACAGTTTCTGGGACAAAAACCCAGGAATCTCTATCATGATCAGCCTTCAGGCCTCCTGAAGAAGATCTCTCACAGTGTCCTATTCTCATGCTGAGGAGCCTGAAGTCCCTGCGTGAGGATTAGACAGTGGATTGTTATGTGTGTAGGAGAACCAGCTTAATATGTCTGTCCATGTCTGAACTTATTGCAGAAATTGAAAAGTACCAAGAAGTGGAAGAAGACCAAGACCCATCATGCCCCAGGTAACTTTGAGCAATTATGGATGCTTAATTCTGTGTTGACACCTGGAGATGCCAGGTCCAGGGAAAACAAGAGTATGTTCAATTTCATGTTTTCAACGAAGGTTGAATTACTCCTACTGACATTGCTGTTGGTTTTCCTTGCAGTAGATGTTTAGGTTTCCATTTCTTCCTCCCCTTATCATTTACTAACTTACTGTAGGTTGACCATACCTCAAAGGCTGTATGGCAACTGCATGGAATCTTAAGCAAGTTTATGGAAAATTATTGAGCCCACTCTTTTCATGATCACTGTTCTCTGTGTGTCCCGAGGGCACTAACTCAGAGTGTCCTTTGACCCCTTCATCAGTGTGTCACCCGGCCAATTCGCTGAGCTCACTTTCTCCTCTGTCTCTCTCTCCCTCTCCCTCTCCCTGTCTTTCTCTTTCATTCTTTTCTACCTGGCCCTGGTCTATCCCAACATAAAGGCAATAATTCATTACCTCATTAATGGATCTGTCCTTTTTCTGTTTAAACAGTTCCTTATGTTAGCCATGAAATGTAGCTGGGGCTGTGTGGTTTCTGATTCCCCCTGGCTTATTCTTTACTTTTTCCTACTTTTCCAGGCTCAGCAGGGAGCTGCTGGATGAGAAAGAGCCTGAAGTCTTGCAGGACTCACTGGATAGATGTTATTCGACTCCTTCAGGTTATCTTGAACTGCCTGACTTAGGCCAGCCCTACAGAAGTGCTGTTTACTCATTGGAGGAACAGTACCTTGGCTTGGCTCTTGACGTGGACAGTGAGTACCTTACTATGAAGGTGATAAGCCTCCACCTGGTCTTCCAGATAGGGGTGATATTCCTGTTCCCAGTGGCCCTTACTGACCCGAGAGATGTCATTGCCGCAGGCAGGACCTATGGGCGCATATAGGTTGTAATGAAACTGTAGTCTCCGCTGGAAGCCTAGACATGAAATGGGTCAGTGAGCAAGGCTCTATTCCTAGTCTCCAGCCATGCCTGTGGCAACCTGAGCCCGCTCTCAGCACATTGGACCCAGGCAGATGTAAAAAATTCACAGAACTATGATTTGGACTCAAGGGTTTGTAGATTTCCTCCCTCATTCTAATTTCAGTGTCTAAAATTCTTGCATCCATGAACGAGCTGGGCATTTGATGAGACAGGGCTGAATACTGCAGTTTTCCTCCTAGAAATCATCTAGGGCATTGTCTTTGAACTGATGGGAACAATCAGGCATAACTGTTTGCACAAACTTGGGATAAATGATTTTGGGATAACGATCTACCAGAATAGGGATATTTCACCCTTGGTTCTGAGATGCAAACCAAAGAATATCATGACCAGCTTTCAGGCCTCCTGAAGTATATCTCTCACATTGTCCTGTTCTCTTGCTGAGGAGCCTGAGATCCCTGTGTGGGGATTAGACAGTGGACTGTTACGGGTGTAGGTGAATTGGCTTATTTTGTCTGTCCCTGTCTGAATGTATTGCAGGAATTAAAAAGGACCAGGAAGAGGAAGAAGACCAAGGCCCACCATGCCCCAGGTAACTGAGCAATTGTGAACAGCTACTTCTGTGTTGACATCTGGAGACTCCTGGTTCAGGGAAAACAGGGCGGGCTGACATTATCGATTACATCTTTTCAACCGAGCCTGAATTATTCCTACTAACATTGCTGTTGGTTTTCATTGCAGTAGATATTTAGGTTTCCATTTCTTCCTCCCCTTATCATTTACTAACCTACTGTAGGTGGACCAGACTTCAAAAACTGTATTCTCATGGCGACTGCATGGAAACTTGAGCACATTTTATGGAAAATTATTGAGCACAGTCCTTTCCTGATCACTGTATGCTGTGTGTCCTGAGGGCACTAACTCAGAGTGTCCTGTTACTCCCTCATCAGTGTGTCACCTGGACAATTCACTGAGCTCATTCTCTGTGTGTGTGTGTGTGTGTGTGTGTGTGTGTGTGTCTTTCTCTTTCATTCTTTTCCATTTGGCCCTGTTCTGTCCCAACATGAAAGCAATAATTTGTTACCTCATTAATGGATCTCTCCTTTTACTTTTTCAACCACTTCCTTATGCTACCCATGAAACCTAGTTGGGGCTCTGTTGTGTCTGATTTCCCCTGGCTTATTCTTTACTTTTTCCTCCTTTTCCAGGCTCAGCAGGGAGCTGCTGGAGGCAGTAGAGCCTGAAGTCTTGCAGGACTCACTGGATAGATGTTATTCAACTCCTTCCAGTTGTCTTGAACAGCCTGACTCCTGCCTGCCCTATGGAAGTTCCTTTTATGCATTGGAGGAAAAACATGTTGGCTTTTCTCTTGACGTGGGAGGTGAGTACCTTTCTATGAAGGTGATAAGGATCCACTGAGTCTTCCATATAAAGATCATATTCCTGCTCCAAGTGGCCATTACTGAGCTGAGAGATGTCATTGCTGCAGTGAGGACCTATAGGCACATGTAGGTTGAATGAAACTCTAGTTCTAACTGGAAGCCCAGACATGGGATGGGTCAGTGAGCATGGCTCTCTTCCTAGTCTCAGGCCATGCCTGTGGCACTCTGATTCTACTCTCATGACATTGGACCTGGGCAGATGTGACAAATTCAGAGAACTATGATTTTGACTCAAGGGTTTGTAGATTTCCTTTTTCACTCTAATTTCAGTGTCTAAAGTCCTCACAACCATGAACAATCTGAGTATTTGATGAGACAGGGCTAAATATTGCAGTTTTTCTCCTAGAAATCATTTGAGGGTATTTGCTTTAAATTGATTGGAAAAATATGGCATAACTGTTTGCACAAACTCGGGACAAATGATATTGGGATAACGATCTACTAGAATAGGGACATTTTACCCACAGTTTCTGGGAGAAAAACCGAGGAATTTCTATCATGACCAGCCTTCAGGCCTCCTGAAATATATCTCTCACAGTCTCCTATTCTTATGCTGAGGAGCCTGAGGTCCCTGTGTGAGGGTTAGACAGTGGATTGTTATGTGTGTAGGGGAATCAGCTTAATGTGTCTGTCCATGTCTGAATTTATTGCAGAAATTGAAAAGAAGGGGAAGGGGAAGAAAAGAAGGGGAAGAAGATCAACGAAGAAAAGAAGGAGAAGGGGAAGAAAAGAAGGGGAAGAAGATCAAAACCCACCATGCCCCAGGTAACTTTCAGCAATTGTGGATGCTTAATTCTGTGTTAACACCTGGAGGCAACAGATTCAGGGAAACCAGAGTGTGTTTGATTTCATGTTTTCAACGAAGGCTGAATTACTCCTACTGTCATTGCTGTTGGTTTTCATTGCAGTAGATGCTTAGGTTTCCATTTCTTCCTCCCCTTATCATTTACTAACGTACCATAGGATGACCATACTTCAAAAGCTGTACTCTCATGGCCACTGCATCGAATTTTGAGCATATTTTATGGAAAACTATTGAGCTCACTCTTTTCATGATCGCAGTTTGCTGTGTGTCATGAGGGCACTAACTCAGAGTGTCCTTTTACTCCCTTACCAGTATGTCACCTGGCCAATTCACTAGCTCACTTTCTCTCTGTCTCTGTCTCTGTCTCTGTCTCTCTGTCTTTCTCTTTCATTGTTTTCTACCTGGCCCTGTTCTATCCCAACATAAAGGCAATAATTTGTTACCTCATTAATGGATCTGTCCTTTTTCTTTTCAAACTCTTCCTTATGTTAGCCATGAAATCTAGCTGGGGCTGTGTGGTTTCTGATTCCCCCTGGCTTATTCTTTACTTTTTCCCACTTTTCCAGGCTCAGCAGGGAGCTGCTGGATGAGAAAGGGCCTGAAGTCTTGCAGGACTCACTGGATAGATGTTATTCAACTCCTTCAGGTTATCTTGAACTGACTGACTCATGCCAGCCCTACAGAAGTGCCTTTTACATATTGGAGCAACAGCGTGTTGGCTGGGCTCTTGACATGGATGGTGAGTACCTTTCTATGAAGGTGATAAGGATCCACTGAGTCTTCTGGTTAGGGTCATATTCCTACTGCAAATGGCCCTTACTGAGCTGAGAGATGTCATTGCCACAGGGAGGACCTATAGGCACATGTAGGTTGAATGAAACTCTAGTTCCACTTGGAAGCCCAGGCAAGGGATGGGTCAGTGAGCAGGGCTCTCTTCCTAGTCTCAGGCCATGCCTGTGGCACCCTAATCCCACTCTCAAGATGTTGGATCTGGGCAGATGTGACAAATTCACACAACTCTGATTTTGTCTCAATTTTGTAGATCTTGTAGATTTCATCCTTCACTCTAATTTCAGCATCTAAAATCCTCGCTACCATGAAGAATCTGAGTATTTGATGAGACAGGGCTGAATATTGCAGTTTTTCTCCCAGCAACCACTTGGGGGCATTTGCTTTAAATCGATTGGAAAAATATGGCATAACCATTTGCACAAACTTGGGACAAATGATCTTGGGATAACGATCTACCAGAATAGGGAATTTTACCCACAGTTTCTGGGACAAAAACCCAGGAATCTCTATCATGATCAGCCTTCAGGCCTCCTGAAGAAGATCTCTCACAGTGTCCTATTCTCATGCTGAGGAGCCTGAAGTCCCTGCGTGAGGATTAGACAGTGGATTGTTATGTGTGTAGGAGAACCAGCTTAATATGTCTGTCCATGTCTGAACTTATTGCAGAAATTGAAAAGTACCAAGAAGTGGAAGAAGACCAAGACCCATCATGCCCCAGGTAACTTTGAGCAATTATGGATGCTTAATTCTGTGTTGACACCTGGAGATGCCAGGTCCAGGGAAAACAAGAGTATGTTCAATTTCATGTTTTCAACGAAGGTTGAATTACTCCTACTGACATTGCTGTTGGTTTTCCTTGCAGTAGATGTTTAGGTTTCCATTTCTTCCTCCCCTTATCATTTACTAACTTACTGTAGGTTGACCATACCTCAAAGGCTGTATGGCAACTGCATGGAATCTTAAGCAAGTTTATGGAAAATTATTGAGCCCACTCTTTTCATGATCACTGTTCTCTGTGTGTCCCGAGGGCACTAACTCAGAGTGTCCTTTGACCCCTTCATCAGTGTGTCACCCGGCCAATTCGCTGAGCTCACTTTCTCCTCTGTCTCTCTCTCCCTCTCCCTCTCCCTGTCTTTCTCTTTCATTCTTTTCTACCTGGCCCTGGTCTATCCCAACATAAAGGCAATAATTCATTACCTCATTAATGGATCTGTCCTTTTTCTGTTTAAACAGTTCCTTATGTTAGCCATGAAATGTAGCTGGGGCTGTGTGGTTTCTGATTCCCCCTGGCTTATTCTTTACTTTTTCCTACTTTTCCAGGCTCAGCAGGGAGCTGCTGGATGAGAAAGAGCCTGAAGTCTTGCAGGACTCACTGGATAGATGTTATTCGACTCCTTCAGGTTATCTTGAACTGCCTGACTTAGGCCAGCCCTACAGAAGTGCTGTTTACTCATTGGAGGAACAGTACCTTGGCTTGGCTCTTGACGTGGACAGTGAGTACCTTACTATGAAGGTGATAAGCCTCCACCTGGTCTTCCAGATAGGGGTGATATTCCTGTTCCCAGTGGCCCTTACTGACCCGAGAGATGTCATTGCCGCAGGCAGGACCTATGGGCGCATATAGGTTGTAATGAAACTGTAGTCTCCGCTGGAAGCCTAGACATGAAATGGGTCAGTGAGCAAGGCTCTATTCCTAGTCTCCAGCCATGCCTGTGGCAACCTGAGCCCGCTCTCAGCACATTGGACCCAGGCAGATGTAAAAAATTCACAGAACTATGATTTGGACTCAAGGGTTTGTAGATTTCCTCCCTCATTCTAATTTCAGTGTCTAAAATTCTTGCATCCATGAACGAGCTGGGCATTTGATGAGACAGGGCTGAATACTGCAGTTTTCCTCCTAGAAATCATCTAGGGCATTGTCTTTGAACTGATGGGAACAATCAGGCATAACTGTTTGCACAAACTTGGGATAAATGATTTTGGGATAACGATCTACCAGAATAGGGATATTTCACCCTTGGTTCTGAGATGCAAACCAAAGAATATCATGACCAGCTTTCAGGCCTCCTGAAGTATATCTCTCACATTGTCCTGTTCTCTTGCTGAGGAGCCTGAGATCCCTGTGTGGGGATTAGACAGTGGACTGTTACGGGTGTAGGTGAATTGGCTTATTTTGTCTGTCCCTGTCTGAATGTATTGCAGGAATTAAAAAGGACCAGGAAGAGGAAGAAGACCAAGGCCCACCATGCCCCAGGTAACTGAGCAATTGTGAACAGCTACTTCTGTGTTGACATCTGGAGACTCCTGGTTCAGGGAAAACAGGGCGGGCTGACATTATCGATTACATCTTTTCAACCGAGCCTGAATTATTCCTACTAACATTGCTGTTGGTTTTCATTGCAGTAGATATTTAGGTTTCCATTTCTTCCTCCCCTTATCATTTACTAACCTACTGTAGGTGGACCAGACTTCAAAAACTGTATTCTCATGGCGACTGCATGGAAACTTGAGCACATTTTATGGAAAATTATTGAGCACAGTCCTTTCCTGATCACTGTATGCTGTGTGTCCTGAGGGCACTAACTCAGAGTGTCCTGTTACTCCCTCATCAGTGTGTCACCTGGACAATTCACTGAGCTCATTCTCTGTGTGTGTGTGTGTGTGTGTGTGTGTGTGTGTGTGTGTGTCTTTCTCTTTCATTCTTTTCCATTTGGCCCTGTTCTGTCCCAACATGAAAGCAATAATTTGTTACCTCATTAATGGATCTCTCCTTTTACTTTTTCAACCACTTCCTTATGCTACCCATGAAACCTAGTTGGGGCTCTGTTGTGTCTGATTTCCCCTGGCTTATTCTTTACTTTTTCCTCCTTTTCCAGGCTCAGCAGGGAGCTGCTGGAGGCAGTAGAGCCTGAAGTCTTGCAGGACTCACTGGATAGATGTTATTCAACTCCTTCCAGTTGTCTTGAACAGCCTGACTCCTGCCTGCCCTATGGAAGTTCCTTTTATGCATTGGAGGAAAAACATGTTGGCTTTTCTCTTGACGTGGGAGGTGAGTACCTTTCTATGAAGGTGATAAGGATCCACTGAGTCTTCCATATAAAGATCATATTCCTGCTCCAAGTGGCCATTACTGAGCTGAGAGATGTCATTGCTGCAGTGAGGACCTATAGGCACATGTAGGTTGAATGAAACTCTAGTTCTAACTGGAAGCCCAGACATGGGATGGGTCAGTGAGCATGGCTCTCTTCCTAGTCTCAGGCCATGCCTGTGGCACTCTGATTCTACTCTCATGACATTGGACCTGGGCAGATGTGACAAATTCAGAGAACTATGATTTTGACTCAAGGGTTTGTAGATTTCCTTTTTCACTCTAATTTCAGTGTCTAAAGTCCTCACAACCATGAACAATCTGAGTATTTGATGAGACAGGGCTAAATATTGCAGTTTTTCTCCTAGAAATCATTTGAGGGTATTTGCTTTAAATTGATTGGAAAAATATGGCATAACTGTTTGCACAAACTCGGGACAAATGATATTGGGATAATGATCTACTAGAATAGGGACATTTTACCCACAGTTTCTGGGAGAAAAACCGAGGAATTTCTATCATGACCAGCCTTCAGGCCTCCTGAAATATATCTCTCACAGTCTCCTATTCTTATGCTGAGGAGCCTGAGGTCCCTGTGTGAGGGTTAGACAGTGGATTGTTA